>NC_000017.11:79339261-79639671 GCF_000001405.40 Homo sapiens | reverse complement strand
ATTCCAGGGATAAATTCCACTTGGTCATAATGTATAATCCTTTTAATGTGTTGTTGAGTTCAGTTTACTAGTATCTTATTGGGAATTTTTTTGCATCTATGTTCATCAGAGATATTGCCCTGTAGTTTTCATTTCTTGTGGTGTCTTTGTCTGACTGTGCTATTAGGGTGATGCTAGCCTCATAAAATTAGCTTGGGGCTGGGTGCGGTGGCTCACGCCTGTAATCCCAGCACTTTGGGAGGCCAAGGTAGGCAGATCACGAGGTCAGGAGATTGAGACCATCCTGGCTAACACAGTGAAACCCCATCTCTACTAAAAATACCAAAAAAATTAGCCGGGCGCGGTGGTGGGTGCCTGTAGTCCCAGCTACTTGGGAGGCTGAGGCAGGAGAATGGCGTGAACCTGGGAGGCAGAGCTTGCAGTGAGCCGAGATTGCGCCGCTGCACTCCAGCCTGGGCGACAGAGTGAGACTCTGTCTCAAAAAAAAATAAACAATAAAAAATAAAAAAATAAATAAAATTAGCTTGGAAGTGTTCCCTCTTTTTCTATTTTTTGGAAGACTTTAAGAAGAACTAGTATTAGTTCTTTGATTGTTCCATATAATTCAACTGTGAAGCCATTTGATTCAGGGCTTTTCTTTGTTGAGTGGTTTTTGATTACTGATTCAGTCTCCTTCTTTGATATTTTTCTGTATTTTAGTCCATTTTGTCTTGCTATAAAATAGCTGAGCATGGGTAATTTATAAAGAAAAGAGATTTATTTGGCTCACAGACTACAAAAAGTGTGATGCCAGCATCTGCTTCTCATGAGGGCCTCAGGTTGCTGCCACTCATGTAGAAGGTGAAGGGGAGCTGGCTTGTGCAGAGATCACATGGCAGGAGAGGAAGCAAGAGAGAGCAAGTGGGGAGGTGCCAGGCTCTTTATAACAACCAGCTTTCACAGGAACTAATAGAGCAAGAACTTGCTCACCCCTCTTCCCTAAGAAAGGGCATTAACGTATTCATGAAGGATCCACTCCTGTGACCCAAACACCTCCCATTAGGTCCCACCTGCAACATTGGGGATCAGATTTCAACATGAGATTGGAGGAGACAAACATCCAAACTATAGGATGTTTAGGCTTTCTATTTCTTCCTGACTCAGTTTTGGTAGGTGGCATGTTTCTAAAAATTTATGCATTTCTTCTAGATTATCCCATTTGTTGGCATATAATTATACATGATAGTCCCTTATAATCTTTTTTATTTCAGAGACATTCATTTTAATACCTCTTTTAAAATTTCTGACTTTATTTATTTGAGCCTTCTCTCTTTCTTTGTATTGCTAAGGGTTTGTCAATTTTATTTTATTTAAAAAAAAAAAAAAAACCAACTCAGTTTTGTTAATTTTACCTATTGTTTTTCTATTCTCTATTTGACTTATGTCTGCTCTAATCCTTATTATTTCCCTTCTTCTACTATATTTGAGCTCAGTTTTCTCTTTTTCTACTTCCTTGAGATATAAAGTAGTTGTTTATTTGGAATCTTTCTTCTTCTTTTTAAAAATGTAGGCATTTATTTTAATAAGCTTTCCTCTTGGAACTGCTTTTGCTATATCCCATACATTTTGGTGTATTGTGTTTTTGTTTTTGTCTTGAGATATTTTTAAAATTCCCTTTTGATTTCCTCTTTTGTCCAATGGTTGCTCAAGTATGTGTTATTTAGTTTCCACATATTTGTGAATTTTCTAATTTTCTTATTGTTATTGATTTCTAGTTTCTTCTCATTGTGGTCAGAGAAGGTACTTGGAATAATTTAGATCATCTTGAATTTGTTAAAATTCCTTTCCTTTCCCTTTTCCCCTTCCCTTCCCTTCCCTTCCCTTCCCTTCCCTTCCCTTCTCTTCCCCTCCCTTCCCCTCCCTTCCCCTCCCCTCCTCTCCTCTCCCCTCCCCTCCCCTCCCTTCCCTTCGCCTTCGCTCCCCTTCCCTTCCCTTTCTTGACAGAGTTTTGCTCTTGTTGCCCAAGCTGGAGTTCAATGGTGTGATCTCGGCTCACTGCAACCTCCACCTCCTGGGTTCAAGTGATTCTCCTGCCTCATCCTCCTGAGTAGCTGGGATTACAGGTGTGTGCCACCACGCCAGGCTAATTTTTTGTATTTTTAATAGAAACGGGGTTTCACCATGTTAGCCAGGCTGGTCTCGAACTCCTGACCTCAGGTGATCCACCCCCCTCAGCCTCCCAAAGTGCTGGGATTACAGACATTAGCCGAATTTGTTAAAATTTTTTTGTGACCTAACATGTGATCTATCCTGGAGAATGTTCCAAGTGCACTTGAGAAAAATGTATATTTTTCTGCTATTGAGTAGAAAGTTCTGTATATGTGTTAGGTTCTTTTGGTCTATACTGTTGCTTAGTTTTGCTGTTTCCTTATTGATTTTCTTTCTGAATCATCTGTCCACTATAGAGAGTGAGATATTAAAGTCCCCTACTACTGTTATATTGCTGTCTATCACTCCCTTTAGCTCTTTCAATGTTTGCTTTATATATTTAGGTGATCTGATGTTGAGTGCATATAGACTTATATTTGTTATATCTCTTGTAGAAATGACCCTTTTATCATTATATAGTAACCTTTTTCTCTTATAACAGTTTTTGACTTAAAGTCTATTTTATCTGACATAAGCATAGCCACCCATGTTATCATTTGTATGGAATATCCTTTCCCATCGCTTTACTTTCAGTCTATGTGCATCCTTAAAGCTAAAACGAGTCTCTTATAGGCAGCATGTTGTTGAATCTTGTTTTTTTTAAATCCACTCAGACATTCTACATCTTATGTTTGGAGAATTTAGTCTATTTACATGTAATGTAAATGTTTATAAGCAAAAACTTACTCTTGTCATTTTATTAATTTGTTTTCTGATTGTTTTGTAGTTCCTTTTTTTCTTTCTTCCTGCCTTCCTTCATGATTTGTTGATTTTTTTATAGTGGCATACTTTGATTCCTTTTGCTTTTGTGTATCCACTAGAGATTTTACTCCTTGTGATTACAGTGAGGCTTACATAAAACATCTTATAGTTATAATAGTCCATTTAAAGCTGATCACATTGCATACAAAAGAGTTTTGTATGCGATTGAAGTTAAGTAAAAGTAAACACTTTTACTTCTGTTCTTAAAACCATTTTAAAGAAAAATCTCTCTTAAAACAATTTTTCTATTAAAAAATTATATTTGATCATAGCAAAAACATGAAAACAGTATAGAAAAGTTAAAAAATGAAAACTAAAGTCTCCCTGGTTGACCTTTCTTAATGCCCCCTTTATTCCCATGGCCCAGCAGTAAAATTGGTAGTGTATTTTTTTCAGAAAATTATATATATAGGTATATTCAGAAAATCATGCACACACACACATAATCCTTTATAATCCCTTTTTCTCTACATAAATGGAATTTTATGTGTACTGTTTTTTGGTCACAATATATCTTGGATATAGTGTTCTATCAGCACATATAGCTCTATCTCACTTTGAAAATACTCCCCCTCACCCTATAGTATATTTCCTGCTTCTGTTGCATTTATGCATTGTATGTCCACCTTGGCTTACTTGTCAGGGTAAATCAGTGGGATAGATTCCTGGAAATGGAATTTTCAGATCAAAGGCACAAACATTTAAAAAATAATAAATATCACCAAATAGGTCTTCCACGTGGGTTTATCAATTTATAGACTTACCTACCATGTATCAAATGGTGTCTTTTTGCTCAGAACCTTGTTCTATCCTGGTATTATTTAATATTTTTGCCACTTTGACACTTAATAATCGTAACTTGCTATTAGTTGAATTTCTTTAATGATGAATGAGGTGGAGCCTCTTTTCCTATGTTTAATGACCATTTATATTTTTCTGTGAAACAGCATTTTTCCCACTCGTTGTTCATGCTTTACTTCTTAATTTGCCGTAACTTTTTGTTTATGAAGGAAATCAATCTTTTGTTATATGGGATATAAATCTCTCCCCCACTGTGTAATATTTCTTTTAACTTTGTTTATAGTCTCTATTTTTTCCAGTACAGAAGTTGTTTGTTTTTAGCCAGAAGTTTTTCCTTTAATGTCTTCTATGTTTTACACAGCATTTAACCATTCTCCATGCTCAGATTTTAAAATGATGTGTAATATTATCATCTGGTGAAAGTGACTTTCTCTCAGCCTCCTCAGATTCTTGCTTTGCATCCAAGAGAATCGTCTGGGAGGAGGCAGGAAGGGAACGTGGCAGGGAAGCTCCTATGTAACAGGACAGGGCTCCCAGGATCCTTCTCAGCTGCTCTTCTGAGGCTTTGGAAGATGATGGGACGATCAGGTTGCCACGTGATGCCTTTGAGCAGATGGTTCCAGGTGCCAGGGCCCATGAGTATCTGGGCTGCATCCTGGTGATGCCAGGAAGCCTTCCATGCCCCCTCCAGCCCTTAACCAGGCATCCCTGAGACTCTGGGAGTGTCTTACCCATGCCTCACTGCTCAGATCTGAATTACAGAAGCAGACAATTTGAGAGCCAGAAGGAACCTTAGATATCATCTATGTCAGTGCCAACGTTTTTTTTTTTTTTTTTTTTTTTTTTTTTTTTTTTTTTTTTTGAGATGGAGTCTCGCTTTATTGCCCAAGCTGGAATGCAGTGGGGTGATCTCGGCTTGCTGCAACCTCTGCCTCCTGGGTTCAAGCAATTCTCCTGCCTCAACCTCCTGAGTAGCTGGGATTACAGGTGCATGCCACCACACCTGGCTAATTTTTGTAATTTTAGTAGAGACAGAGTTTCATCATGTTGGCCAGGGTGGTCTCGAACTCCTGACCTCAAGTGATCTACCCGCCTCGGCCTCCCAAAGTGCTGGGATTACAGGTGTGAGCCATTGCTCCCCAGTTTTATAATTGAGGAAATGGAAGGAAAGTTCCAGGACATGAGGATGGGAAATGGCAGAACAGTAGGCCTCTCTGTGTGCAGCCAAGACACTCACAGCCCATGTGCTCCCTCCCGTTGTCTTAGGGGTGAGTTGGTCAATTACCCTGAAGGCTCCCTGAGGACCCTCTGTGCCTCATGCTTCTGTGTTACCCACGGTCTTTAGACAGAGTCGGACATGCAGTGGGTGCTCTATAGAACCCCATTTGCGGGTCTATGGGAACGCCGGGGTTCTGGGGCAGCTCTGATGTCCAAGGAGGCTTTGCAGGCTATGTACTGTGTCCATAGTTGGTTGGCCCAGAAAGCCCACTTTGGGTGTGGGTTTTAGCCTGTCTTGAGGACAGCAGGGGCGGAAGGCCTTTGGATCCCCTGGAATGGAATAGAGGGTGTGGGTGGAAGTGGGATTCACTCTTTTCCTACTGGTAGACGAGGGGAGGTGCCCCAGCCTTTCCTGCTCACCAGTGGCTCTGGCGGTGAGGTGGGCAGGGCTGACCCATGGCCAAGGGCAGATGGATCTGCAGTTCTTACCTGTCTCCTTCACCAGTACAGAAAGCAGAGTGTGAGGGTGGCGTCTGGGAAGCATGGGAGAGGTGTGGAGGTGGCCCTGGCCTCCAGGGCTCCAGGCTGCCACCCCTCCCACCTCTGGATGGGATGCCCAATGCCGGGCAAGGCAGATAAGCCCGGTGAGGAAGGGGATGAGCTGCCAAAGGCGTCGAAGACAAACATGTTAATAGCAGCAGACAGGAGTGGGAATGGATTAATGGGTTATTTTAGAGGGGGTCTTAGGTGCTTAAGTGGGGATTACAGATGTGCATGATAATCTGTTTGAACAGGAAGCAAAGTGGGAGAGACAATTAAAAAAAGCAAAATACGAGTTTGTCTCAGGGTTTTGTTCTTCCAAGGGTGGCACATCAGGACACGGGGCTCTTAGAAACTCCCACTCACTGGGGTGAAGGGTTGGAAGGATGAGAGAAGGAGCCAGGGCTGATGTGCCGAGAGCAGCCTCCGATGCCTCACGATGGAAATTCTACTGACCCACCTGGCCCTCGGTTTATTGACTTCTAATTTCAGTTACAAAGCATGTCCAGTCTCCAGGCCCTCAGGGTGTGGAGCACACAGAATCCGTTACAGTTAAAAAAAAAAACAGCCGCTGGAGTCTGGCTGGCACCAAGTCCCACTGGGGGCCTGCGGAGGCATCTGCCCATCTGGGGTTTGATCAGGCAGTGAGGAGGTGGCTCACCTGTGCATCCATGAGACCAGGGCCCTGCAGGGCTCACACTGGGGCCTGCCCACCCAGCCCACCTCCCTACGGTGGACACGCGTTCTGTGTTCTCCCTGCAGCTGCCGCCCCGGGGAGGGGGTGCACCCGGAATGACCTGAGCCCAGAGCTTCTCCGGTTGGTGGTGGCCTTGCCCGCTGGCACTGACAGTGGCTCTGGCCTGGGGCCCCACAGTCAAGCTCTCCAGGGAGTCTTCTGGCGGCCACTTTGCCCATGCAGGAGCCCCAGGTGGCTGAGTCTTAGCTGTGGCTCCTGGGCTCTGTACTCACAGTTTTTCCAGGGTATCTGGGGAAACCGAGCCCCGGACTCTGGAGGCCGAGTCATGGCCCCGTGAACACTGTGGGGCGTTGCCAACATGGGCCGACAGCTCCTTTAGGAGAAACTCTCCTTGAGGAACTTCGTGGATGGTCTGCAGAGTGACTTTAGGAAAAATGGCTGAGAAATTCCTGACTGGGTCCAAACTTGGGTATCTCAGGGACTTGGTAAAAGTGCCCATCTCTCTTTCAGTGTCCCCTGTGGAATACAGGAGTGTTTTAAATGAAATTTTTCAAGGCAGGGTCTTGCTCTGTTGCCCAGGCTGGAGTACAGTGTTGTGATCACAGCTCACTGTAGCCTTGACCTCCAGGCCCAAGCCATCCTCCTGCCTTACTTAGCCTCCTAAGTAGCTGGAACCACAGGTGTGCACCATCAGGCCTTGCTAACTTTTTTTTTTTTTTTTTTTTAGTAGATACGTGGTCTTGCTATGTTGCCCAGGCTGGTCTCAGACTCCTGGGCTCAAAGGATCTGCCTGCCTCAGCCTCCGGAAGTGCTGGGATTACAGGTGTGAGCCACTGTACTCCGCCACAGGAGCGTGTGGCCGGGGACTCGTGCATGCCAGGGAAGAGCACTGGCTTCCGGATCCTCTGACTTCACCATGTGACTTGGCCAGCAATGACCCTGGGTTAGAGATAGGTGGAGCGGAGGCAGGCAGTGGTCAGAGACCCCAGACATGGGGTCCTGGCACCACAACTGTGATTTTCCATCACTTTAGAGGCACCAACAGGGGTCCCTCTGGAAACGTGGAGCAGAATCATCCAGGATCCCGAAGAGGACTTTGTCCTCCTGCCCATTTCCAGTTCCTCTCCCATCTCCTCTGGTTTCCAGAAGCAGCACATCCCCGGCCCCACCCCTCATCTGTATACGGATCCTCCTAATGCAGACCCAGGTGATGGAAAACCCGTCTACAACGAACCAAGGCTGTTCGTGCTTTCAAATATTAAATTCTGTTCAGAATATTAAATAATTTCATCTTCAGTGATCCCAGTAAATTTAATTAGCTCTTGTTCTCCCAATAGAGTTGTCTCTTGGTTGCTGAAATGTTGCATTCTCAAGGAAGGAGGCCCACATTCCTGCAGCGCGGAGGGCTCGCTGTCTCCCTGCGCAGCCTGCCCTGCCGCAGGCACCACGGCACATCGGCTGCCAGGATCCCCTGTGCCCTGGCAGGAGGCGGATGACACGGAGCTCTGCTGTCCGTGAGCTGTTCATTCTCTGGGGGCAGGGAGAACCTTGAGGGATCTGCTGGGTACCCTCCGTCAGGGTGCTGTGCAAGGGCAATTATAAACGACACTCCAGGGACCCCACAGAGCTGGCATCCTTCTTCCAGGGGGAGCAGCCTGAGGGTGGCTGGGTCTGCCTGTGTCCTGGAGCTAGGCCCGTGAAGATGGGTCTCCATCATTTCTCCATCTTCTGGCCCCCGCTCTAGGGAAGTGTGGGCAGCTCCTCCTGAGAGGTGAGCCACTGGGGAGGGTTGCAGGGAATTCCTGAGACACTGCGGTGAGAAGACACTTCCTCGGTGCCTTGAGAACATAATCAAAGGTCAATACCATGAGAAATGGTGGGGAAGGTGGTGCCTCCCAGGCCCCGTGTGGTCAGCCCTGGCCGGTCCCTCATGGACCCCAGTCTGGACGCTGAAGGTGGATGTCTTCCTGGTCTGGGAGGACCTAGTCCCTGAAAGGCAGATGAGTGTACAAGCTGGTGTCTGACACTGGCTTGTAAATTCACATCTGGGTCCTCCCTAAGCCTCCAAATAGGCCCGTGCACCGTGTGAATTGCAGTCAACGACTTTCTTCCTGGAATCACTCTCACTGCCCGTGTCTCCTTCTTGACCCTGGGGGCATCTATAGAGTGTTTAGACCCACACTTCCTGATGAATTTCTTGAGATGGCCGAGGCAGATGATGTGGTGATTTGAAGGCTGGAGGGTTCCTTCCCACATCTGCAGTGGTTCTCACACTGGAGCCGCCTGGGGAGGTTTCAACGTCCTGATGCGAGTCCCACCCCAGAGGGTTGACTGCACCCTGTGTGGGCTGCAGGATGGACGTCCAGATTTAGAAATCACCCTGGTTAATCCAAATGCAAGAGGCACTGGCGTGAGGTAGTGGAGAGACGACTTGCTTTGCTGTCTGAGTGGACTCTGGCTCTGACGGCCGTCCCTGGCCATGAGGTTCTGAAGAGACTGTGGCCTCCACCTCGTGGGGCGGGGGCTGTCGTGCTTTTCCGGGTTGCTTGCTCTGGGGGAAGCCTGCTACTGGGTGCTGAGCAAACCTTGCAGGTCTGGGTCACTTAGACTCTCAGAGACTCAGTTTCCACAACTGTAAACTGGGGTCAATAATGCAGACCCGCTGCATTATTTTGAGGGTTAAACGAGAAAATACACGTTAGGTGCCTAGTGCATAGTAGGGAGTCAGTAAGTGTTACTCACTTCTCTCCCTTCCTCTCCTGAACCACGAGCGTTAAAAATATTTTGTAAGGATGAAACTTCCAGAACTTGTGTTCAAATAATAATTAACACGGGCTGGGCCTTTTCCTGAGAAGCCCCTGATGAGGGTTGGAAATGTGTCTGCAATGGGCCATTTGCTCCACTGGCATTTGGAGAGCCCCTAACATCCTGATACCGGCAAACCCATTTAAACTTGAATCTGGAAAGGACTGTCAAGAGGCAGGATCAAGCAACACAGTACCCACATTTCCTCCGAGAAGAGCTCAAGCCGCCTCTGGGTGGCTCTTATGCAACACGTTTGCATCTGGCCACTGAACAACAAATAAAAACAACAGCAACAATGACCCATCTCCCTGACTGAGCGATGACTTGTTTGCATCATTAGTGCCGTATCCAGTCTGGGCACGGAGGTGCTGCATGCTTGGCCGACCGTGTTTCCCTAAGGCGCTCACTCTGGAGTCTTCTTGGTCAAAGGCCTGAGACTCTGCGGGGTTCTCGAGCATCGTGGAAACCCTACAGGCGGACCCCCACGTTCATCAGGAGGCAGTCCTTTAGTCTTCCTTCCCCTGTGAGCTGGTACCTTGGGGGAGAAACTGGATCCATGACATGCCTTACCAAGTTAAAAAATTTTTCCTTATAGTTTTCTTAATTACAAATACGATTCAGATCCAATGTAGAAAATTTAGAATATAATCATAAAATTCAAAAAAGAAAATACAAAATAGCCCGTCGTCCACTTACACAGAGGAAACCACTGCCAGGCCCAGGAGTGTGTCCTTCCAGCCTGCTTCGGAGGCCTGGGGAGTATAATGGGATTGCTTTGCACATTCTGTTTTATAAATCTTTTCATTTAATGGTTTATAAACACTTTGCAATGGCATTCAATATTCTTCTACAATAGGATTTTTAATGAGTGCACAAATTATTTACCAAGCACCCTGGAGTTGGACATTTAGTTTGTTTTCAATCTTTTGATGTTATGAGCAATGGTGCAAATATTCTAGTACATAAATCTTTCCAGATAAGTCTTTGTGTTTGTTCCTGAGTTTCTCCTTAGGGTAAATTCCTATAAGTGGAATTGCCGAGTTAAAGGTTAAACACATTTGGAAAGCTTTTGATCCGAGTGCCAATCTGCCCTCCAGAAAGATTACACTGACTCCGAATCCCACCAGCAAGCGAATGAGAGGTCATTTCCCCGCACCCCCTGAAGCACTGGGTGCAATGGGCATTTTCAAAATCTGGCAGGTGGAAAAAATGGAAGTGGGCTTTTGTTTTGATTTGCTTTGCTTTGGTGACTGGTGGGATTCGACACTGTCCCTGCTTTGGAGTCATTTCTCAGTCTTCTTTTGTGAGTGGCCTCTTCAAGTCCCTGCATGCTGAGGTGTCACCCAGCATGTGTGGCCCTGGCTTTGGTAGTTAAAGATGGCCTGGGAGGTGAAGATGGCTGCATGAAATTTGGAGGACAATATTTGGAGAAGATGGCAAAGCCACCCTATAGGTTGATTATTTCTTCAGGTTTTTCTCAGAGCACTTACCAGGTGGACTTGTTATCTGGCTGTTCACCCACCTGTCTCCCCAACTCCACACCCAGGGCGCGGGGGCAGGATTGCATCTTGCTCGTGCCTGTGGGCCCCTCTGCCTGCCCCAGAGCCGGTCACTTCAAAGGTGGCAAAGAATAGTTGTTGAATCAATGAATGAACAAAGGCCCTGCATGAGCTACTCCTTTCTTTGGGCAAATAGCAAAGTGGATCACGAAGGCAGCTCAGGACACTGCTGTGGTCTTCATGCCCCCTCGTGTTGCTTGGGGCAGTGGTCAAGCCCAGGGGACAAGGGCAGTGTGATGCTCCTATTCCAAAGGGCCGGTGCTGTGAAACAAGAATAATAGAAGAAAGTTGCCTTTTGTCTATTTATCATCAAATAGACAATCTGCCTTTCTGGAGGGCAGATTGGCACTCGGATCAAAAGCTTTCCAAGGAAACACAAAGTCCAGTGGTGGGAGACAGGGAATTGCTGCCTCATGGGTAAGGTCTTTCCTTCTGGGATGATGGAAGGTGCAGCAAGATAGAGGTGCTGGCTACAAAACATGGTGAATGCACCGAGTGCCCCTCAATTGCACACTTTAAATGGCTACTTTTATGTTATATAAATTTCGCCTCAATTAAAAGGAATGGAGTTCAGGGCTCCCCTCGCTGGCCCCAGCTCCTGCCTCTTCAGTCTAAACCCGGGCACGTCATGGCAGACAAGGACTCTGCGGCCTTGTGATGAAGCAGGGATTGCATCTATGCACCCATCCCCTAATTTCCTGTGTTAGCCCTAAGATCTCAGATCAGAACTGGTGTCCCACAATCCAGGGGAGTCTTCGAGGGGGAAACGATCAGGTTTGCAGAGGTCTGAGCAGGAAGCGCATTGGGGCCAGGCCGGGGTTGGTCATCCCTAGGTCTGTCCTTGTTTGGGGTGGGGAACAGAAGGATGTGCTAGGCTGGGAGGGTGACTTGAGCCAAGGGCAGCTGGGGACCAGGGCTCCGGCCTGGTCAAGCATAGATCAGCACACCTGTTTGTTTGGAGTTGGGGGTCCTGGAACAGAGGAGGGGGAGTTGAGCCTGTAGGAGCTTTTAAATGCTTAAAGCAGCCGCTTTCTCTGAGGCCTGGGATGCTGTGAGGACCCTTGGGCGGGGAGCAGGCCTGAGCAGAGCCTCTGTGCAGTTGTTCTGCCGCCAGCAGAGAGAGGCAGCCCAGGGGAGTGATGGGGGCTCAAACAGAGGTGAGGGGGTTGACGGGGACCGTGGGGGTCTCTTTTGTCTACGCTTGTACTTCTGCATCTTGAGAACGTAAGCCCTCCCCTGCTCCCTCCGCCGGCTGCCCTTGCAGGGGGCACTTGGAAGCCTGGAGGAGACAGAAACTAGCAACCTGGGGAGGGAGGAAGAAGAGTTATTTTGGAAAAAACGAGCTGCCCAGAGAAGGAGGAGGAGAGAGGAAAGTCATCTCCAGCAATAAGCAGCTCACCTCTCCTCCCTACCACCCCAGCCACCTACGCCGCTGCTCCCTGCAGAAGAGAAGCAGGAAGAGGTTTTGCAGAAGGCACCAGGCTGCTTGGGTCTCGGATCCTTGGAGAGGCGCGGGCTCTTATTCTTTGGCTTGCTGTGGGCAGCCTGGGGCTGTTTCACATAGAATCACAGGTCTCACTCCTGGAGTCAGGCCTGAGGGCTTATGGGGTCTTTCCTGTTAGCAGAGGAGAAAGCCGAGCCCTGGTCCCATCCCTGGCAGGCAGGCAGAGCTGAGCCCGGCTCCCAGGCCCTCGGCACAGGCAAAGTCCTGGCTTAAACTCTCCTCTACTTCACCGGGGAGGCTGTGTTCCTATTTCTCAGGTGCCATGGGGCCTGGTTGTGCCCAGCTGGACACTCCAGGGGGTGGGGGAAGCTATGTTGAAGATGCACCTGGGGGGAAGGTGGCATCAGGTGGAGGCACTGGTCAAAGTCACCTGGGAGCCCAGGGTCCTTGATTACTACTGCTGGAAACAGAATAACAGACCAGGCTCCTCAGAGGGCACATTCCCTGGACAGGGAAGGGCCAGGGCTCCTGCAGTCCCCAGCCTGGTCACACCTCCGTGTGTGGCTGTTGGCAAATCAGATGACCGTCTGAGCCCCAGGTTTTTCCTTTCCTTATTTTATTAGTAACATGCCAAAAGTATTATTTGCTGGGTGCATCTTCCTGTTTCATTCTGAGGCTCGAGGCTGAATTGAGATAGAAATGGTGTTTCCGTTAAGACATACATGAGGCTGAGCATGACCGAGGCTCCAGGCTTCCATGGGTCTTCCACAGATCAGAAGTTAATTTTCTCAGAAGTGACCATCTGGAGGCAGGTGGCTGAGCCCCGGGAGGTCACCGGAGGCTCGAGCACCTTCTCTCTCGGGACTCCCCATCCTAAGGGTGTCGGCCCACATGCTTGGCCCAAGAAGGCTCACAATTCACCGCATTGCAAACATGCGGTAGAGATGGGGGGATGCCCCCTTCAGTGTGTGACCCGGGAGCTGGAGCTGTCACTTCTGTGTATATCCCATCGGTGGGAGAGTAGTCACAGACTCACACCCAGCCCGGGAGGCGTGGTCTTTATCCTGGACGATGAGGTGCCCAGCTGAATATCGAGAATCCTGCTATTGGCACAAAAAAGGAGAATGCAGATGGGGCCGTGAGAATCCTGGTTCCAGACGGGGGATGATGATTTTAGTATTAAGCCCCGGAGACACCGGGAAGCCCATTCCTTCCCTGCAGAAGCGACAGTGGCCGCTTCCTGCTTACTGGCGTGGCCCGCTGAGACAGGTGATGAGACAGCATCCTGCCCTAGCTGGGAAGGAAGGCTTTCCCCCTTTTCTTTTGTTAATAAGCAAAGAGAAGTGGCTAGGAGGCACTGCTGTGGACGGAATGGGATGGGGTGGGAGGTGCAAAGGTTGGAGGGTCTGCTAGAAGATGCTAACTTTTGGAGGATGAGTCCAGGGAAGTTTCTGGTCCACCTGACCCTTGGCAGAGGCCTCCCTGCATCTCCTTGCCCCCAGCATCCTCCCCCCACTTCCTGTGTTCTCCCACTGTCATGTAAACTATGAGAAAACAGGATGCCGCTTACTGCCCCAGGCCACAGTCTTAATAATTTTAATGTATTCTTGTTCTGTTCACTTCAATAAACTATTTCCCACTAACTGTTCATTAGCCCGCCTTTCCCCTGGAGCAACTGCAAAACCATAAACAGCACCTCGTCCCCCCAAACCCCCTCGCTCTCAAAGTTGGGGCTTCTGCTGGTGGTAAGGGGCGCTGCCTCCCATGCCCTAGCGGCCGCAGCCACCCCCGTCTGCGCACGTGTGTGGGCGAGTGAGAGTGGGCCACATGCCCACCTTTACCCAACTCATTTATTTATTTATTTTTGAGACGGAGTTTTGCTCTTGTTGCTCAGGCTGGAGTGCAATGGCTCGATTTCGGCTCACTGCAACTTCCACCTCCCGGGTTCAAGCAATTCTCCTGCCTCAGCCTCCTGAGTAGCTGGGATTATGGGCACCTAGTGCCATGCCCAGGTGATTTTTGTATTTTTAGTAGAGATGGGATTTCACCATGTTGGCCAGGCTGGTCTCGAATTCCTGACCTCAGGTGATCCGCCCCCACTCAGCCTCCCAAAATGCTGGGATTACAGGTGTGAGCCACCACGCCTGGCCCCAAACTCACTTATTTTTAAAAATAAAAGCACATGTCCATCCAAATGTTGATAGTGCCTTGATTTACGATACCCCTAACCTGGAGATAAATGTACACCAACAGCAGCTAAGCAAATTGTAGCACATCCATGCGATGGAATACTACTCAGCAATGAAAAGGAGTGAACCTTTGGTGCAGGCAAGGGCATGGCCGCATCTCTGGGGAATGGTGCTGAGGGAAGGCAGCCAGGCAACAAAGAAGTATGTACTGTGTCATTTCACTTATATAAACTCCAGAAAAGGCAAACTCATGTACAGGGACAGACAGCAAGGCAGTGGTTGCCCGGGGGTGGGGAATACAGGGAGAGGGAGGAGGAGGAGGAGGGCACATCAGGGCAGGAGGAAACCTTGGGGGTGACGGATATGTTCCCTATCCTGATGGTGGTGATGGTTTCACGGGCATATCTGCATGTCATAGCGCATAAACTGTACCCTTTAACCATGGGAGGTGTGCCATATGCCAGTCACACCTCAATCACGCCCTTTAAACACACACACATGCTGCCTTCCCCAGTCTCTGAGTACACAGGGCAGGAGTCCTGCCCTTGGGGCGCTTCGTGGTGGGGACCCCTTCCTTGAGCTTGGCTGGCAGTGAGTGTGCCCAAAGTGGGAGCTCCGGATGGTTCTCCTCGAGGGATGGGGCGGGGGGTGGGGGGCGGGGGTGCCTTCTAAGGGTGAGTTCAGAGGTGGGAGAACCTCAGTGACATGGGAGAGGCGTCTGCAGGCTCCAAGGGCTGCCTGTGAGTGGAGGGTCGGCAGGGCCCTTACTTCCAGAAGTGCCGAAGCACCTTGGCCATCCTGGACACAAGAGAAGCAGGTCCCGAGAAAATCCTCAACAGAGACAGAGGACTGAGGTGGTGCTAGGCACCAGGGTGAGCTGCTCCCTTCGCTCGGCTCTGGATTTAGTTCGGACTTGCTGGTCTCTGAGAGGGCTCTGTGGTCGCTGTTGGACTTGAGTCTCCAGATTCCACCAAACCCCCTGCCCTGGAGCTCCTCCCTGTCTTTCTGGCTGCCTGGCAACTGGAGGCCTCTCTGTGATGGAGGACTTTCTGGAATGATGGAACTTAGTAGGGTGAGGGCTGCCTCCCTCCCTTCCCCAGCCTCCCTCCCTTCCCCAGCCTCCCCTGCAGCTAAGGCCAGCCATGTGGCCCGGACTTGGCCAGGCAGGTGTGTCCATGGCAGACCCTGATCCGGGAGCTGACGGGTCTCGGGGAAGGAGATGAGGCCTCCCCTCTCTAGGAAGCTGTACTGGGGTGGTTGAAGCGTCACCCTTCTTGGTGTAGAAGTGGTAGATTAAGTTTTCTAGGACTACCGTAACAAACTGCAACAAACCTAGTGGCTTAAAACACAGAAGTTCATTATCTTGCCGTTCTGGAGGTCAGAAGTCCGACACTGGCCTCTCTGGGCTAAAATGCAGAAAGGCTGCATTCCCTTCTGGAGTGTCAAAGGTGCGGTCTGTTTCCGGGCCTCTTCTAGTCTCTGGAGGCTGCTTGCGCTCCTTGGCTCCCAGCTCCCTCTTCCTTCTTCAAGATGGAAGCCCTCACCCTGCGGAGCCAGCAGCACAGCTCTCTCCGACCCACCTCCATCATCACATTGTCTCTGACACCGACTCTCTTGCCTCCTCCACTTTTTTTTTTTTTTTTTTTAGAGACAGAGTTTAGCTCTTGTTGCTCAGGCTGGAGTGCAGTGGTGCAGTCTTGGCTGACTGCAATCCCCATCTCCTGGGTTCAAGCGATTCTCCTGCCTCAGCCTCCTAAGTAGCTGGGATTGCAGGTGTGGGCCACCATGCCTGGCTAATTTTTTATTTATTTATTTTTTAGTAGAGACAGCGTTTCACCATGTTGGCCAGGCTGGTCTCAAACTCCTGACCTCAAGCAATCCACCCCGCCTTGGCCTCCCAAAGTGCTGGGATTACAGGTCTGAGCCACTGCGCCCAGTCTCCTCTTCCACTTTTAAGGACCCTGTGGTTACGTTGGGCCACCTGGATCATCCAGGATCACCTCCCATCTCAAGGTCACCAGTGAGCAACCCCAATCCCATCTGGAACCTTCCTTCCTCCTTGCTGTGTAACCTAAGATAGTCACAGGTTCCAGGGGTTAGGACGTGGACATTTTGGGGCCAGTATTCTACCTCCCTCCTGTGGGGTATCTCAAACTCAGCGCCCAGGCTGTGGGCAGCAGTGGGCATGGTGGTGTTCTTGAACCAGTTTTTTGGTAGTTTTGGTTGCTTCTAGAAGTTCAGCCTTGACCCCATACCTTGCTCTGCGTCTATCAAGTCCTCAGTTTCTTCATCTGTAGATGGGGATGAGCACACCTGCAGAGGTCAGGGAAGGATCCTGAGTGGAGGCAGTCTCTTCTTCAGCTGGGAAGGATTCTGCTGGGGCAGTAACAGGGCTGGGGCACGTTTCTGGCTCCCCGGTCAGGTGTACATGAGTGTAGGGGAGGGAGCTGAGGGTCTGGGCTGAGGCAGGGCAGTGGGGAGGCCAGGAGGGCACTGAGGACAGGGCGTGGTAGAGATGGGGCCTGTGGCTGATGGGGAGTGGCAGCTGGGGAAGGGGAGGAGCGGAGGCTCTGCCACGTTTGCAGAACAGGAACCACTGTGGCTGTGTTGGAATAAAGACATTAGTAGAAGAAACAGGTATATCATGGGCCCCTCAAAATCTATATGGTGCCGTCCTAACTCCCAGGACCTCTGCGTGTGACCGTGTTTGGAGAGAGGATCTTTGAAGAGGTGATTCAGGTGAAATGAGGTGGTGGGATGGGCCCCAATCCAACCTGACTGGTGTCCTCAGTGGAAGAGGGAATGTAGAATGCAGGCCACATGGGGACGGCTGTGGAGGACACAGGGAGGGGACGGCCAGCTGAGAGCAAGGAGAGAGGCCTCCGAAGGAAGCCGTCCTGCTGACATCTCCATCTTGGACGTCTGGCCTCAAGATCTGCGGGAGAATGAATGTTTACATCCACAGTCTGCGGTCCTCTGAGACGGTGGCCTGAGCCAACTCAGACCTGGGGGAGGGAGAGCAGTGGTGGTCTGGCCCTGTGAGAGGGAGAGGCCACCTCCCAGCCCCACCTCCTCTGGCTGAGTCTCGGGGAGGCAGGGAGAGCCCGGGGAGGGTGCAGGGTACGGGGCTGCCACTCCCCGTGACAGATGCTTCTCCAAGAGCAGGTTGGAACTGGAAGGAGGGGGCTCGGTCCTGCCACCCCCCACCCCATCAGGCTCCACGGGCAGGCGGTCTGAAGGTGTGCCAAGATGTGAGTCTGGCTGGCGGTGGTGGCCAGCAGCTGCTGCCTTTGTGGGTGGTGACTGGGTTAGCCTGTGTATACCTAGTAACATGTGCATGGCTGAAGAGAAACCCACAGAGAGTCTCCAGGAGGAGAATGAGAATGAAAGGACACCTTAGAAAAGCCCTACTTTTGAAAGATCTTGAACTAAGGAGAATGAAATTTACATTAAGGGTGAATTCAAAGACACGCACAGTTCAGGGTCTGAGAGGTCTGAGATTAGCTTGCGGTCTTCTCTGCAGCCTGTCCCTTATCCTTCTCCCCGGATTCGGGTGTCTCTTAAGCGGTGTCATGAACACACGCTCGATCTTGTATGATGTGTGTGTCTTCACACGGGTGAGAGCAGCCACCAGCAGCTGCTGCCTTTGTGGGTGGTGACTGGGTTAGCCTGTGTACACCTAGTAACACGTGCTAGCAGTGCTAGCAGCAAGCTTCCCATAGAGGCTGCATCCCACACAGCCACGTGCCCCTGAGTCCTGCAGGCACGCATGAACATTTAGTGACATGCACGACTCCCGCACTTGGTTTCTGAAGGACACTGGGTTATGCCCCGATGAAACTGACATTGACCCGACAGTCATCACTGAGAAGTTCATGGACACTTGTACAGGTCAGAATTTGCCACCCAGGCACTCAGTGTATTGCAAACTCTAACGACCAACATGATTCAGTGAAGTCTCACTTCTGCCTGTTGGTAGAGACGTGCTTTTACTATGGTTATTTAATATCTGCACCTTGAAAATGTGTAGATTCAGGATGGCCCCCTCGCTGGGTATCGTTGGCTTTGCAGGGTTGCTCAGGGCTCCATTCCTGCTCAACGGTTTCCCCCAGCTTGGATCAAGCCCTTCGGTGCTGGGTTTCAACTTTGGGATAATACAAAGTGAAGGACAGGCTGGGCGTGGTGGCTCACACCTGTAATTCCAGCACTTTGGGAGGCCGAGGCGGGCGGATCACCTGAGGTCAGGAGTTCGAGACCCGCCTGGCCAGCATGGTGAAACCACATCTCTACTAAAAATAGAAAAATAAGCCGGGCGTGGTGGCACGTGCCTGTAGTCCCAGCTACTTGGGAGGCTGAGGCAGGAGAGTCACTTGAACCTGGGAGGTGGAGCTTGCAGTGAGCTGAGATTGTGCCACTGCACTCCCACCTGGGCAACAGAATGAGACTCCATCTCAAAAAAAAAAAAAAAAAGAAGTTGGATTAACTTTAACAGGAGTAAGAGAAGTACCCCACTGATGTCTGGATGTCCCCAGGAACGGCGTAGAAGAAACCAGCCTGAAATGAGATCGGGTGTGATGTGGCAGCTAAGGACGTCACAGTGGACAGCCTGGGTCCCAAGGGCAGGAATGATAACCCTTCTCTGCCGTTTGCCCTGCTGTGGAGGGTGGAGCCAGGTTCTGGGACCATTGAGGAACCCCCAGAGAATCATGTGGGGTTCCAGGAGGGCATCAGGGTGTGGAGGGGGTCGCCTGAGAAATACCTACAGGACGGCATGGGCACATGTGTGCATGTGCGTGTGTGCATGTGCGTGTGTGCATGTCCGTGTGTGTGCGTGTGCGTGTGTGCATGTGCGTGTGTGCATGTGTGCGTGCGTGCGTGTGTGTGCGTGCGTGTGTGCACGCGCGGGTGTGCACATGTGTGCATGCGTGTGTGCATGTGCGCGTATGCATGTGCACGTATGCGCATGTGTGTGCGCGTGTGTGCACGTGCGTGTGTGCACGTGTGCATGTGTGTGCGCATGTGTGCATGTGCATGTGTGCACGTGCGTGTGTGCATGTCCGTGTGTGTGCATGTGGGCATGTGTGCATGTGTGTGTATGTCCGTGTGTGTCCATGTCCGTGTGTGTGCATGTCTGTGTGCGTGCGTGTATGTACATATTTGTGCATGTGCGTGTGTGCGTGTGTGCGCATATGCGTATGTGTGCACGTGTGTGTGCATGTGCGTATGTGTGCATGTGCGTGTGTGCATGTCCCTGTGTGTGCATGTGCACGTGTGTGCATGTGCACATGTGTGTGCATGTGTGTGCATGTCCGCGCGTGCATGTGTGTGCGCGTGTGCATGTGTGTATGTGTGCATATGCGTGCATGCACACATGTGTGCATGTGCTTGTGTGCATGTGTGCATGTACATATGTGTGCATGTGCGTGTGTGCATATGCATGTGTGCACGTGTGTGTGTGCATGTGCATGTGTGTGCATGTGCGTGTGTGCGCGTGTGGTTGGCTTGGGCTCCAGGGTGCGGGAAGCAGCCACGATTGCTGTTTTTGTTATTTTTCGTTACTCCAGAAGGTAGGTCTGAACTCCAACCTGGACGACGGCCAGAGGAGAATTTGGTTGCTGTTGAAAAGGATGTTTTCCAGTAGAGGAGGCTCCCCCAGGGCTGGAGGAGGGGAGATGGTGAATGGCTTGTCCCTGGAGTGCTTCCTGGGTGACACCCTGTCCGTCCGGGACGTGGAGGAGATCAGAGGATTGCTGGAGTCCACCTGCCCCGGAGCCTGCCTGAGTCCCTTCACAAGCCCTTTGTAGTGGGTTGAGCTGCCCCCCATCCCCTGTTCATGTCCACCTAGAACTTCAGAGCCTGCCTTATTTGGACACAGTACCTTTGCAGGTATAGTTAGATAAGATGAAGTCATACAGGATCAGGGTGGCCCTAAGTCCAACGACTGCTGCCCTTGTACAAAGAAGGGCAGAGGAGAAGGCTGCATGAAGACAGAGGCGGAGGTCAGAGAGACGCAGCCACAAGCCCCGGAGTACCTGGGATTGCCCCTGGCCCCCAGGAGCGAGGAGGGAAGCACGGGAGGGAGTCCCCCTGGAGCCTTTTGAGAGAGCCTGGCCCCACTGACACCTTGATTTCAAACACCTGGCCTCCAGAACTGTGAGAGAATAAGTTTCTGTGTTTTCAGCCTCTGGTTTTGTGGGACTTTGTTGTGGCAGCCCCAGGACCTGAATCCATGCTTTTGTGCTGGCCCTGGGCAGTCTCTGCACCTCCTAAAAGAGAAGACGCTGTCGAGGTTCTACCCTCCTGGAGTGCTAAAGAGCTTACAATCAAATGGAAAATTGGTGCTATTTTTCACGATGCCACGTCCCCTGCCTCTTCCTTTGAAAAGTATTTGATGCTTATAGCCAACGTCTTAGCATCCACAAACATATTAATATGATTATGGTTTCGACTGAACTGTGAAAAATGCACGTGTCTTTCTTGCCCTGTTGCCTCCATCTCCTTCCTGGGAGCAGAAACCCCGACTGGGCGAGTGTGATCTCCCAGTTCCATTTCCCGGCTTCCTCTGCCTGGGTCTCTCTAGTTCCTCCTCCTGCTCCCCGTCTCTCCCAGGCCTGCTGAGCCTAGTTTTCATTTGCCTCTTGCTGAGGGAGATGCAGGATATTGAGAGGAAAGACTTCATTAACATTCAGACGCTTTGCCTACACAATTGTAAACACCTGGATCTTGGGAAGCACAGAGAAATCAGATTGATTTTTCCAGCGCGTATCCAGATGTTTCTCATCACGTGGACACCCCCGTCTCTTCTCCATCCTCCGGAAAATCCATTTGTCCAGACGGATGTGCACTCCGCCGGCTTATGCAGCCCGCCTCTCCTTTCTGTTCATGACTTTTGCTGAGATTCGGCTGAGCACATCCACACAAAAGGGACAAGGACTCTACTTCTGCAGAACAAGCTGAGCACGGCCCTCCTTCCCCCAGGACTGCCTGGAGTTGCCTAGCAATCTGACACTATTCTGCCTGAGCAGACACACGGCTTGGATGGATTTTTCCTATTTTTAATTTGTTTTCTGGGTGGTATTATTGTGCAATCACAGGCTGAGCTCAGAGATACGGCTCACGTCCCACTCAAGACAAGGAGATGGAAGACGGGGAAGAACCTGTGGGCCCCTGAGTGGACTGCGGCGCCTGTTCCCGGAGACACTGGCCACTGCCCCGGCTGCAGAAATTGACGGTGCCTCAGAAAACCTTTGCTATTTCCACTTGTGTGTTTTTTAGGCTATCGCCGCTCCCCAAACACAGCTGTGTCATCAAGCAGCACAAAAACAGTAAATCCTTGTGGTGTGGACGTGGGACCCTGAACTACCTGGACTTCCCTCTGACATTTCCCATCCACGTGGGAGGAGAGACGGACGGCGTGCAAGTGGTTCATCCTCCTCTGGAGAAGATAAATGTCAGAACTGAAAGCCACTGGGCACTGATATGGAGTCGCACACTCTTAAATAAAATATCAAGCCTGGAGGTGCACATGTGACATCGCAGATGCGCTTGCTGCTCCCTGCATGTGACACAAGAGGCGGCGGGGCAGTGGGGCTGGCGCAGTAGGCAGCATCCCAGGCCAGGACCCAGAGCTGCTGGCGAGCCACGGGACATTCTGGGCCTCAGTGTTCTCATCTGTGATATGGGCGGACTGTGCAACATGACCTCTGAAGTTGCTTTCAGCTCAAAATGCGGGGATGACTTCCACGACAGTGAGACCACTGGAGGGATGAGCTCATTGGGGAGAAAAATAGGATCACCTGGGAAAATGGGACGCTGGTGTTTAGGGAGAAGCAGAGAAAGACAGGTGGAGATGCTGACGTGCAACCTCGGGAGAGAAGAGTGGGAGACGGTGCTGTGGTGGAGGATGAAGTCGAGGTTTCTAGAAAGGGACTTGGCCACGGGGCCACCTGCAGTAAAGGATCAAGTAAACCAAGGAGGGAGTGCAGGCCTGGCTGTTTGTGATTCAGCCTTCCCTGGTGACCCGAGAGAGCCATTTCCCTGGGGTGTCCGTGGGTGTGGACGTGGAGGTAGGGATGCTTGTGATCGAGGGAAGGCGAGGATGGAAGGGGAACGAGGGGAGAGAAGAGCATCTAGGGGTGCTTCTGGAAGGATGGGGAAGACCAGATAAGGTTTTTAGGCTGGTAGGCTAAGACCCCCCCATCCCCAGAGCAGGAAAGACAGAAGAGGATAGAGCAAGAGAGGGCTGGATGGAGGGAGAAAACGGAAGAAGAATTTGAAAGGGAGCAGGAAGACAAGATGAAACTAGAAGGAGGCGTGCAGGGAGAAAGCTGCTCCCACTGAAGGCTCTAGCTTCAAGGTGAAACTGTGCCACCATCTGCCAGGAAAAAAGGGTCAGGAGAAAGAGGGATGATAAACCTTGGGACTGAAGTGAAGAGCGGAGAGCCAGCCGGCGGACACAGCTGAGGCTGAGGCTGGGTGTGTGAGGGCCGAACACCTCTCTTCCAGCTATGGGACAGAGCACAGCCCGGCCCTGTGACGTCTTCATTTAAGTTAGCTGGTTGGCGTCTCTGACCTCCAAGGTCTCCTTGTGACCTACATTCCATGGAGCCCGGACAGGTGCACAACCCCTGAGAGCCCACACAGTATAAATGTTTGCACATCTGCCCCGCGTGTTTCGTGAAACAGTAGTGGGGCGTTTTGATCATACATTCCCTCAGGTCGTGTGGGGCTCTCCCTAAGTGGTATTTATTGATGCAGGACTGCACAGGGTCCCACAGCGTGCTTGGATGGTGGCCTGAAGGGGAGATCCGACACATACAACAGCGGTAGCAGGCCTGGCAGTAGTGGGGAAGTAGTAACACGTGTGTGTGTGTGTGTGTGTGTGTGTTTGTATAGAGAGAGACAGAGAGATCCATTCTTTTTTTTTTTTTTCTTGAGATGGAGTCTTGCTCTGTCGCCCAAGCCGGAGTGCAGTGGTGTGATCTTGGCTCACTGCAATCTCCACCTCCCGGGTTCAAGTGACTCTCCTGCCTCAGCCTCCTGAGTAGCTGGGATTATAGGTGCCCTCCACTTCGCCCGGCTAATTTTTGTATTTTTAGTAGAGAGGGGGTTTCGCCATGTTGGCCAGGCTGGTCTTGAGCTCCTGACCTCAGGTGGTCCACCTGCCTCGGCCTCCCAAAGTGCTAGGAATACAGGTGTGAGCCACCGTGCCCGGCCGAGAGATCCATTCTTAACAAGGAGGTTACGACTACATAGAGTAACCTTATAATTTACTCTGTTGGACTGAGAAAGCAAGCAAGGCAGCCAATGGCGGTGACATCAGCTCTCCAACGGGCCGTCGGTGCTGGCCATCTGTGGACCTCACAAGAACGTCAAAGACCAGCAAGGAAAAAGCAGGCCCCTGATCTCTTGCTTTCCTCGATCCTTCTACAGTTGCATCTTCACCTCCTTTCTATCTGTGGATGTGTCCAGTGCTGAATATGAAAGTGGGGCCATGATGTCCTTTCTGTCTGTGATGATTTGGGTCTGCTACCCTTAGACGGAGGAGCCTGGGAGAAGACAATGTGAAACTCTGGAACCGCAGCTGCCCCACGCTTTACAAGAGCCTCTTTTAGGGAGTTCTTGGGCAAGGCATGAGGGGTCCTGGGGAACCAAGGGCCTCCTTGGCTGGGGCTTCTTGCAGGTTGGTGGGCTGATGTGTGTTTTCTGTTTCTTTGTTCCCTGTGGCCACCTCCTGATGCTAAGAGTAGATCAAAGTAAATGCTTCCATGGGGCGAAATGAGGGTCTTCAGCTTACACAGGTGGCAGTGCGTGGAAAGGAAAACAGGCACTCCACTGCAACACGGCCCGAGCCGGCCGGGCACAGAGGGGAGCAGGGGCCAGGCTCACCTGGCACTGAAAGGGTGGTACAATGGCAGGAGGCATCTTGGTAGTGACAGCCCTCTACATGTCTGAGCCCTAGGCAGCTGGACATGCCACCACCCTGCTCTCATCTGGACTGGCAACCTCTTGCCCGGTACACAGCTGCCCTCCTGCCCTCCCTCCTCTCCCACTATGTGGATCCCTGCCCGCTTACTAGATCCTCTGTTTCTTCCATCCCTCATTGCCCTCTTTCATGCTTTACACCCTTGTTTTGTTAGAGCACGTCCTCTGGTAGCTGAGAGATGGTGTGTGGGAAATAATTTTGTCGAGATCTCGCATGTGCAAATGTCTTTGTTTTAATCTCACGTTTGATTGTTAATTTTGTGAAGTAAGGGATTCCAGGCCAGAAATCACTTGCCATCAGCTTTTGAAGGCACGCTTTGTGATTGGTTAGCTGCCCTCTTTGTGTTGAGAATTCTGGAGCTATTCTCGTTCCTGCTCTTTTTTATGGCACCTGGAAACTTGGGGAAACATTTTTTTTTTTTCTTCAGTGATTTACTTTTCAAGATAATGTGCCTTGATATGAATCATTTCCATCGATTTTGTGGACAATTTGGAAACTTATTTCTGGAAAAAAATTCTTAAGTAATTGATGATTTCCTTTCTTCTCCTCCTCCTCCTTCTCTCTGGGGGCCCTATGGGGGTCGGGGTTAGAATTCCTTTTGTGTTGAGCCTCGTGAATTGATCATCTAGTTTTTTTTCATCCCCTCTTTCTTCTTTTTCTCCTCTTTGCCTTTTTGCTTTGCCTTCTGGGGCATTCCCTTACTTTTCTCTTCCAGCCTGTCTGTTGAGATGTTTTGTTTCTGCTCTCATGCTTTTAACTTCCCAGCTTTTTTGTTCTCTAAATGTTCTCCTTAAAATAGCACCCTGCTCTTGGTTCATGGATGCGGTATCTCCTCTGATCTCTGGGAGGATATTAAATACTGCTATTTCTGATGTTTTCTCCTCCCTGCCTAATATCTGTTTCCTCGAAGTCGGCCCCGCTCTGTTGCGTGTTTTGGCGGCTCCTTCTCATGAAGGCTTTCCGCAGGTGTCTGGTCATCCTTGGCTTTTTACTCACCTTAGGGGGGCTGCAAAGCTGGTTGGCAGCTCCGAGCAGGGAGTGGGGCCTGTGCTTGGAAGCAGCAAAGCTCTATCTTCAGGTTTCCCCTCTGGGTGCTGGTGAGATTCCCCAGAGGAGATTCTTCCGGCCTCCTGCCAGGAGGGTGGAGGTCAGGATGCTGACAGGTGCCGTGAGGGAAAAGGGGGGCTCTCCGTGCAGGACGCCCCTCTGTCCGCAGTGTCTGGCGGCCCCCAGGCCACAGAGGCTGCTTCAGTGTCCTCAGGGAATAAACCTCCAGAGGGGCTATCCGAGGATCTCCAGGCTTCCCCGGGTCTTGGGCCCCACGCCTTCTGAGCCTTCGGGGGATTCCATTGTCAGCCTTCCCTGCCTCTGGGCCGAGACTCAGCTCCGTGAGGGCGGGCCGCCACTTCTCCTGTGCCTCCCCGCTGCCCACAGCCGGCTACTGTTCTCTTTTCTCCTATTCTCCAGGTCGTTGGGGTTTATGCCTTTTTAAAGTTATTCTTATTTGAGATGGAAGTCTCACTCTTGTTGTCCAGGCTGGAGTAGTACAGTGGCGCGATCTCGGCTCTCTGCAACCTCCACCTCCCGGATTCAAGTGATTCTCCTGCCTCAGCCTCCCAAGTAATTGGGATTACAGGCACCCACAACCACACCTGGCTAGTTTTGCTATTTTTAGTAGAGACGGCGTTTCACCATGTTGGCCAGGCTGGTCTCGAACTCCTGACCTCAGGTGATCCACCCACCTCAGCCTCCCAAAGTGCTGGGATTACAGGCTTGAGCCACCATGCCCAGCCCCTTTTTAAAATTTTCTCTTTGTAGTTTTAGTGGGATTTTTCAGAGGGCACGAAATTAGCTCTGTGCCTTCAGTCGTCCTGTTGGCCCCAAGCCCAGTCTCCCTGTGTTTCTCTCCTAATGATTATTACCAAGGACTCCCCAGTCCTCCCCATGTGCTCACTTTTTAAAAATTAAAGTTTCCAAATCAGAGGTTTTAAAAATTCTCTTAGATGACGTCCCCAAATGGAAAATCTCCCGGTTAGTGCTGGTATGTCCTGCTGGCCCTGACACTTACTCTCTTCCGGCCAGATCCCTGTCTACGACAGCTGAGCACGAAGGGCAAACTCTCTGGGGCTGGTAATGAGGCCGGCCTGGCTGGGGCCTGTTCCCAAGGGGTGTCCTCACGCGCAGGCCCTGTGGCCAGTCCCAACCACAGAGGCCAATTTCAGTTTACCACCCGGGCGTCTGAGCAGGCCCACCGTGTCCTGAGTCCTGGGCTGGGACTGGTGGAACTTGGAACAAGATTTGGTGCTGTCTTCAGAGAGCTCTTCCAGAACGTCCCCAAGGAATGATTTACCGGGCCCTATGCTTTGCAGGGACCCCTCTTCCACTCGGGCACACAGCTCTGCCAGGTCAATGTGTCCCCACTTCACAGGCACATGCAGAACTCGCATGGGGAGCTGAAGGGAGACGGAGATGGGCTCGAATCCCACTCTTCGAGAGGTTTCTGCGAGGAGGCTCCAAAGGGCAGTAGGGTCTGGACCAGAGAGGAAAAGGCTCCCCAGGGAGAAGAAATGTGGGCAAGGGACAAGCGGGACCGACAGGGGGCACTGCCGGCACAGCGAGGCAAGAGCCCTGCCTGCAGGGAGACAGGTGCCTGCCAGGCAGTGGCTGGGCCCAGCCGGGAGTTGGAGGCCACGAAAGCCTGGACCATCTGACAGCAGAGAACCAAGAGGCCCAATTAGGGCTTTAGAGCTGGAATGCGCCATTTCAAATCCGGTGGCAGGGGAAAGTTCAGTCAACCAGGCGGCTGCCTTGCTCGTAGACACGGCATTTATCTGGTGGTTAGCTGTGGGGCTGTTTAGCTGTATGCTTGGAATTGTATAACACGATTCCCACCGGCCAAGACAGATCAATGACCCAGACGGGCTGGAGGGCCAGAAATTAAAAGCATGACGCTCATAAGTGGGCAGCGGCCACTGTCTTGGCCACCGTCTCTGCTGCCCTGCAGGGGGGGCAGCCAGCAGCCCAGAGCCCCTACTACCGAGAAGCTCCAAATCCATACTCCCCTCTTCCTGGCCTCTGGGTCTTCCAGGCCCCTACCAAACCCCAGATTCCATGATGTGCTTTTCACCTCACACAGAAAAGCAGGACAGTCAGGTGCGAGGAGGAGGCTAATTGTTCCAGGAGCAGCCTTCAGGAGCAAAAGTGACATGGGGACGGGTTTGGATCTGTTTGTGTGTAATTTGGAAATGTCCTTCGATGGTGCAGGCTCGTTTCTCCAGCCTGGTTGCTGCACCAGAATGTCTTTTGTTTTGGAAATGATTACTCAGCCTCCTGCCTAAACCTGTTTGGGACCGTCCAGACCTTCTTGCCCACTTCTGGTGTTGTGTGCCAGTGGTGGGCTGACCCCAGCAATAGATCTCTCCTGCCTTTCCAGAGGGTCCCCACTCCACTGTGTCCTCAGCCTCTGCTCTCCTGCTCCCTCTGCACCAAGGATAGAGACCCTCCCAGAACTCACACCAGGCCCCTTACTCTAGATGCTGGGGGAGGCTGGGACTGGGGACAGGAGCTACCTGATCTTTTGATTTTAGGGAAATCCTAAGCTGACCTCCCACAGTCCTTCCTCTCCAGCCAGGCACAGGTGGAAATGTTTAAATGGGTTGGGTTGGCCAATCTGGACTAACAGCACGGAGTGGGCCCGATCCCTTCCTTTCCAGTGGTCCTCCAGGAAGTCAGGGCACCTGGGCCTAGTGAGGGGGTTTGGGGTATGTGGGCAACTCAAAGGCATGGCATGGCATGCGGGGTGGGGTGGCATTCGTCCCTGATGCTTGGTGACCACGTCCCATTGCTGGGGATCCCTGGGCCTGGCAAAGAAAAATGGCCCCCAGGGACAGCGAGGCACAAGGGCAGGGGTCCTGTTAAGGGTCACCTGGGTTGATCCGCCCCCAAGATAGCTTGGAGGTGGGGAGGGGCAGCGGGCTTGGGGCTGCCCTTGAAGGGACCAGGGCAGCACTGGGTTCTGGGATCTTCCGTGTGTACCCCACCTCTTCTGTGCCCCTGCCCCGAGGAGTTGGCGCTGAAGGCTGCAGGGTGCTGACCGCCGAAGCCCACCCGGTCATGGCTCTCCCCGCTCCGCCGCCCTCCCCGGCCGCGCGACAGCCAGAGCCCCCTCCCATGCCGCGCGCTGCGCGCTCCGCTCGAGCTGCCACCGCCGCCCGCGCCGCCGCCGCGTGCTCCTGCTGCCGCCTCGCTCCAGCCGAACGAGCCAGAGGAACGAGAGAGAGAGAGAGAGAGAGAGAGAGAGAAGGAGGGCGGAGAGAGAGAGAGAGAGAGAGAGAGAGAGAGAGAGAGAGAGAGAAGGAGGGCGGAGAGAGGAGGGAGGAGAGAGAGAGAGAGAGGAGGCGAGGGAAGAGCGAGCGCGGGGCTGCTCCGAAGCCAGCAGAACCTCCTCGGACAGCGGCCCCAGCCGGGCCCCAGCAGCTCGCGTGGTCGGAGGAGAAGCAGCTGCCACAGCTGCCGCCCGAGCCCGGCCTCGCGCGCCCCTTGCCGCTGGCTCGCCGGTGCCTGTGCGGCCCCAGGACGCCGCTGCCCGCTCGGCGGCCGGGATGCAGCCGGGGCATGGCCGCCGGCCCCCAGTCACCTGCCGCGGGGAGCGCTGAGCCCGTGAGTAGCCTGGCCTCGTCGCCCGCCTCGCTCTGCGGCGGTCATTCCCATCGGGCTGAGCTGGGGGAGGGGGACATGGCCGCGGAGGGGCGCATGGGACCCCGCAGTGGGAGGCGGGCTGCTGAGCGCGGCCGGGGCTGACCCGAGGGCGCGTGGGGTGGGGTGGCGCCCTCGGGGTCAGGGGTCCCTGCGCGGGGTCGGGGTCCCTGGGTCCCTCCGGGGCTGGGGTCTGGACGCTCTGTCCGGCCGTGGGCCAGAGGGGCGATTTTGTGAATGGGAAGGCCCGGGGGTCGGGCTCCATGGAGACGCCAGGGAGTCCCGCGCGCTGCGTGGCGGTGGCAGTGGCGGTGGCGGTGGCGGTGGTGGTGGCTGTGGCGGCGGCGGCGGCGGCACAATGCCCGGCGCGGGGAACTCCCCGGCGGGGGGAGGCAGAGGCGCGCGGAGATCCCGGCCCCGCGGGGCGCGTCCGAGCAGGCAGCCGGAGCCCGCGCGGGTGGGAGAGAGGCTGGCGACCCGGCGGTGGTGCAACGTGCGTCTGTCGCGGCACCCAGGCCCGGAGAGAGCCCTGCCGGGGTCCTCTGAAAGGAGGGTCGCTGAGAGGTTGATGACCCAAAGGAGTTGTGGGGAGGAAGGGGCTGCCACAGCTCCCCAAATAGGAGCGGGGCCCGCAGCACCGCGGTGTGCGCGGGGGCCGAGCAGCGAGGGGCGAGCGGCGCGCAGGGCCCTACAGGGGGCGGGCTGGGGGCGCTCCGGGCCGAGTCCCCAAGCACGATAGGAAGGCTGGAACGGGAGCAGAGGCTGCCTCTCTGAAGCCTCGGCCACCCCCAGGGCCTCGAGCAGCGCGGCCGGGCTGGGAAAGCCGGGCACGCCCCTGGCCCAAACTTTCTGCCCTGGTGGCCCCGGGCGGTGGTGGGGCTCGCCCGGGGCGTGTTGGGCTCGCACGCTCGGGAAGGTGGTCTTCTGTGGCGTCTCGGGGTGGCGCGAGGCCAGTGGTCATTTTGGTGCTGGGGGTCGCAGCCTCCCTCCCCGGGACGCGGAGCCTCCCCTGGCGCGCAGCCCTGCAGTGTCGGTGCGGGGACCGAGACGCGGCGCCCCGCGTGGAGGGGCATTGGGAACCTGTCGGGTCCCCAAGCGGCCCTGGGATCCCTGGTATCACGTAGGGTGGGGGTGGGATGTTCCCGGAGTCCACTGGTGGGGGCGGGGGCCCAGCGAGGTGGGGAGAAACTCCTGGACAACAGAGCTGCCTCCCCCTCCCCTTTCCGTTCCAGCTTTGGCGAGGTACCTGATTTATTTAATGATCACTTTTAAAAAGGAGTCCCGCGGAGCCGCTAGTCCCGACGCGCGAGACACCCCACGGTGGAGGCTAAGGACAGAGACCCAAGGGATCCATCCCTGGGTTTAAGTCCCCCTTCCTGCCCCAGCTGGTGGTGAAGTCGCTTCTCGGGCGCGCAGGTTGCTAATTTCCTGCTCCAAACGCAGGTTGGACTCGGGGACGCCTTGGGCATGCACCCGGGCGCCCCGGGCACTTAGCGTGGAGCAGGTAGGAGGCTAATGGAGTGGGGTCGCCCGTAATGAGGTCTTTCAGCCGGAAGCCGGCTTCGGTTTTACTGGTCTGCAAAACATAATGGAAAAAAAAAGTATAAACATTGCGGCAGAACCTGCTCATTAAGTGTGCATCGCGGATTCGGGACGGATGTCTTAATTAGGCTGCGTTGTTCACGGGGATATTACACTAATTAAAAACCGACCCTCCAGGTGAGCAAAAATTGTGAGGGGAGAGAGGGAGAAAAGTTGTCGAGAAGGCGCTGCCTGATGAAAGCCGGGTATGGGCCTCTTGCAGGGGCGCCCCAGGTCACTGAGCGCCGGCGGGGTGGGGGCGTGGGGGCGGCATGGCGGGGGCGGAGGAGGGGAGCCTTCTTAGAACCATCCCGGCGCGCCTTCCTTCTCCGCCTCCTGCGGGCGAGGAGCTCCCTTTGGCCGAGGACCGAGGCTGGCCCCCCCGCCCCTCCCCCAGGACTGGAGGCCTTCCTGCGTGGGCGCCTCGCTCACCGCTCACCGCACACTCCTGGAAGCAACGCTTAACCCTTCATTTCCTGGCTGACAGCTTCTGGGAGGGCAAGGCTGTCCCCAGGAGGGAGACAGAGCGGGTGACGTGGGGACCACTGAAGGGGTTAAGGAGCAAGAAGCACGGTTGAAGGGACGCACCCAAGCCGAGACAGCCTGGGCCTGGCGAGGTGGCTGCGTGCGTGCGGCAGGGGTTGCCACTGGTGCTGGGCTGTTTGCGCTTGCACGGCCGGGGTTTTCTGGGGTGAGTTGTCCATTTCTAGCAGCTATCCACCCTCCTCCCCCCAAAGAAAAAAGGGAACCTGGGTGATTGCTTTGATCCACCTTCCTCAGGGGCCTGGGGCCTAGAGAGACCCGTGCCCACCCCGGGGACCTCGGGTCGCCTCTGGGTGCCAGGAGGAGCCAGGAGTCCAGGGAAGTCCCTAGGCTCCGCCCCTTACTCGGATGGGCCTTTGCGGCAAATGCTCCGCACCCAGTGACCTCGGTTGGGAGCCACAGCGGGGCTGGGAGTATTCACTGCCCTTCCGCAGGGACCAGAGGCGGATGTCGAGGGAAGGTGGCGGCATGGGCGGCCCCTGCCTCTGAGTGGCTCAGCAGGCACTCAGCGGGCGCCAGCACCAAGGACAGGGCCGGGGCCTCCACAGCCTGCCCTCCTCGCCCTCCCTCCTCTGACACGGTCCCAGGGCCGCTGGAGGCGCTGCGGGCGGCCGCCCTCAGGCTGCTGAGGACATGGGGAGGGCTCCCGAGGCTCATTCAAGAGCCAGAAAAGCCCAGGGCCTGCGAAGAGGTAATTACAGCAAGGAGGCCTCCTGGGTACCATTCCAGAGTGGGCCTTCTGTCCTGCGCCTGTCACTTACTCAACTTGGAGCGTGGCTGATGGCGCATCGGTGAAATGGAGAGATTATCGGGCTCTTTGGTGTCTAGGGATGAACTAGACACTGTAGTGGCCAGAGAAAATGCCATCTTCCCTGGCTGGTTCAGCCCTGTTGCCTCTCCCCTGCAGCCTTCTTTGACACCTCTCTCCCAGCCACATTCAGCCCTGGCCTAAGGCGCCTTCATACCGATGTGTGGCAGTTGGAGGTGCCTTGCTGCTGAGGGCAGGGGCCCTGCTTGGTTTATCTGCCCCCTCCCCCATATACGCAGATGGTGTTCTGACCCATGATGCCTGTGCAATTCGGAAGGAAGGAATGCATAAGTCACGCTCCTATCCCTCCCAGAAGCGCCAGAGTGGTGGTGGTAGGGGGTGGGGGGCAGTAAAGAGAGGAAAACATGTCAGTGGGCCAGAGCCACAGTGCTGAACGCGAAACTGCAATATTATTTTTCAGCCCTTGCAGGGTGGGGCTTCCCTCCTCTAGCCCAGCCCAGCCCAGAGCCTGCAAGTTTTGGTCGGTTGTCTCCCTGTGTTTATTTATTTCCACGCTCCTGCTTGATACTCTGTTATAAAGACAAATGGAACCTGACACGCAGCTGACATTTGGTGAGGAATTTTTTATTTTTAAACAAGTGAAGGGGAAGAAGCCATCTTGAAACTTTCTCCCCCTTCAACAGAGACCCGTTTGTTGGTTGGTAGGGAACCTACCATTCCCTAAATCCCTGCCTGCCACAGGCCCCTGCTCCTGGCACAAGGCACCGGCTTTATAAACACATCCCGTTTGTACCTCCACCCTTTGATAAGCTGCAGCATCTCTCCACGCTCTTTCATAAAGCAGCGCGGTATTTTCACAGGCTCATGAAACATTCAGGCAGCCTCAACATCTTACTTTCTGCTGCCTCTCTGAAGAAGGTTGCTCCCTGAGCCATCCCTGTCCTCTATAACGTCCTGGGTCTATCTCCCTGTCTCCCTGTCCGTCTATCTCTTCCTCTCCCCAACTCTTTTTTCCTCCTGTGCTTTCTGAGTGGCGCGGATGCTTAGTGTGTGATTGCCTCCTTGTGTGACCTGTGAGGGTTGAGGACGGCTCTTGGTTAACAGTTGCATGGCGGGCATGCAAGGAGCATTGCACACATACATATGCTGTGCATACCCGGCGGGGCCTGTTCTGGGTTGGGGACCCACAGACAGACGAGTCACCTCCCTTCAAGAAATACCACGTGACACAGACTGATTTGGTGTATAAAATAGACATTTTTAAGTGCAATGCACTTAGTAAATTAGTTTGCTATCACAGTTTCTCCAACACATAGACTGACACCAAAACACGCCTTAGAGGGAGGCTGGAATAATAAAGAGTATAAAGTCTGTTAGTTTATTTGTAGCTCGGGGCGAGCTCAGTCTATCAGTTGCATTTTGAAAAGTGTGGCCAGGGTCTAGGTGGAAGGAGTCATTCTGGATGCGTCTTGCCCGGGTACCACGGGAGTCCCCCTCTTGGCCTGGGAAAGGACCATCCACCATCTTTAATTTAGGGGCCTAGGGATGTGCTCCACTGTGTGATAGGACTCCTATAGAAATTACAAGTGCTAAGTGGACAAGTATGTTTTCTCCCAAAGCAAAGGCCACCTCTTGGGTGCAGGGAGCTTGGTGTCATCAGGCCTCTGATCCTGGCCCTTACCTGTAAGACACGTGGGGGCCTTGACTGTTCTGGTCAGGCCCAGGCGTCCTTCTGGTTTCTTCCTGGTCTCTAGACAGACCAGCAGCTTGAGGTGGTCTCCTTGCCCCTCCTCTCCCTTCTCACTGCTGCTGCCCCTGCCAACTCACTGCACTCGAAACATTGACAAGACTGTGGTATCGAAGGCTCTGCAGTCAGGGGATAGGGGGCAGAAGAACAAGGGATGGGGTGCTCTCCTCTGTGGGGAGTGTTCCCCTTGTGGGTAGAGAAAGCTGCGGCTTGGGGAAGCTTTTTAGAAGTGAAAATCAGTCTTCCCTTGGATCCGTCTCCACTCCTTCCGTGTAGGTTGGGGCCAGGGCTCGTGGGTTCCACCTGAGAGGTGGGTTGTAACTTGCTGGCGTCAACTTGAGTTGGGGGTCCTCAGCCTCCGTGGTTTCCTCTTAGGACCAAGAGCCAAGCACTTGCTACTGCAAGTTTTCTTTTAAGGTTTAATTATTTGTGCTCAGAACATATTCCCAGCAGAAAAAAGAAAGAGGAAGAATATATGTATTTTTAGCAGGAATTTACTTGCTTATTGCTTTGGTTAGCGGCTGTGCTGAGAGCTTTCTCCCAAGACTCCAGAAGAACAGAGGCCTAGGCGGAGCAACCGCTCTGTACCTGGCCGTCTCCCTACTGGACCCACCGCTGGTCATCAGCTCTGTATGCGCAGGTCTCTGCGTGGCTGGCTGCTCCATATTTGGGGAGGTGAGCCCACCCTGCCTTGAACGCTGGGCTGTGAGTGGAAGCCAGCTGGCGAGGAAGGTGGCCGGGTATGTCTATTTTAGCCCTTTTAGAAAATAATCCCATTTGCAGGCAAGGAAACTGCCTGAGCATAGAAAGCTGCCACCAGCCAGCCCCTGAACAGTTTCAAGTCCTTGTTTGGGGGCCCAGTTGAGATCATAACATGTATCTTTTGTGCCAGAGCGGAGAATCCTGTGTGCCAAGGCATCTTGTCTTGCTCCAAAATTCTCCCTCCATCAAAACAAACAAACAAAGGTAACCCGGACCTCCAGATCAGATTCTCTTCTGCAGGGCCACCAATACAGTAGTGGAGGCAGTGTGCCACGCAAACCAAGGGCGCATTCAGAGTTCTGCCCTTGAGCAGCCCGAACACCATGGACTGCAGTCCTTCTCATCCACGTCTCCTTGTCTATGACACCAGGTGAGACCCAGGGATGAAGATGGCAGGAATGGTGTCCCTGGAGTCCAGGTGCTTCTCCTGCCCTTGCTCTCATCCTGCAGTTCACATCCTTGGACACCAAGCAAATGCCGATTCCTGGGCCAGGCTCATGTCTCCGGATCGTTTGCTTTTAGGCAACGGTCATGAGAACATGGAGGAGCAGGCTATCCTCAGCAATGAGATTTTTGATGGAAAAATGGGAACCTCTTTTGGAGCCAAAGGACATAGGGTTTCCTTGTATTAGGAAGGTCCACAATTTGGAGAAAGATTTAAAGCAAGTACAAACACCCTGGTACCTTTAGAAATCATTTCTCACTAAACTTTCATAGCTCCAAACTCTTAATGCAAATTAGAGGTTTCTCTCCTGGATTACATCAAAAACAACTCCTATTTTTCTGGAACTTTTGAGGGCTGGGGGCTGGCTGAAGCTCCAGGGTCTGTTCCTAAGAGCTTCTGGGCACCTTGGAATCAAGCACCTGCTGGTGACCTCTTCTTCCCCACCCCACCCCAGCCCACCCCACTTTTTAAAAAGCAATGGCAAGAAGGGCTTTGTAGCTTTTTGTTTTCAGCAGCGAGGTGTGAGGATGACTTTTTAATGTATCACCTGGGAGAGCCGCACACACCGGTATGTCCCGACATTACCCGTCACCTTGAGATCCGAGCAAAAAAAGGAAACCCAGAATATGCTTTAAACTGGGTCCATGCACAGGCTCCTGATGGGCTCTGCAAAGCCTAATGACTTGGTGTTGACACCTGCCCTTCACCCTGGAGGTGTGGCTGAGTCTTCACTCAGTTAGTTTCCTTATTCATGGGAGGTTCTGAGGTTGTACATCTTGGCAGCTCCCCACTCCCATCAGCTGATTCTTACAAGAATCACCCTTTGCCCGTGGGCACACACAGTTACATGCACATTGAAATGGAAGTGACTTCTGAGCAAGGCGGTATGTCAGTTACCTTTCATGAGCTCTTAAAGCCCATCAGGGCCGGCCGCACAACCTGTGGGTGTGGTGAGTGGATTCGGCCTGCACCTGCTGGCTGGTGGGCGGGCTCTGTGCAGGGACAGCCTGAGGCCGGAGCTGACCTCTGATGGTGGCAGGGTTGCCTGCAGCATACCGCTGGGGAGGGCGTGCACCCTTCCCAGCCTTGCCACCCAGGGCAGGCTCTGGAACCTCAGTTTACCCTGCTGAGAAGCAGGGACTGCTGCGTGGATCAGGCGATCTATGTAAAGCCGCTGATGTGGTGAGTGGGACCCTTCCCTGGGGCTATCCACCTAGTAGAGGAACGAGCATGTTGCTAGGGTTCGGAAGGGTCAGGGTTAAGGAATGGATTCCAAACTGTTCCCTGTGGGTATAATTATGAGGCTGCTTTAATAGAGCTCGCTTTAAAAGATAAACTTGCAGATGTAAGGATGGAAACAACCCTTAGCATGTCTCTATAGAGAGGTTGGGGTCTGAGGGGACCCTCACTCCCTTGGGTGGCCTGGAAGGGCTCCCTGGAGCAGCCCCCAGCAGCTCATGTCCTTAGGAACACCCCGAAGCCAGGCAGAAAGAAGTAAGGTCCTGTCTGTGGGGCCGTGGACTCAGTTGTTACCCGGGTCAGGCCATCCAGGGGATAACAGGGCTCCTGCCTGTGCTGTGTCCCCTCAATGGGCCCGGTGTGCTCTCCCCATGCCTCCACTGCCAGCGGGGTGTCAAGAGTACCACAAGGAGGCCAGGGCAGGGTGTCTCACGCCTGTAATCCCAGCACTTTGGGAGGCCGAGGCAGGGAATCACCTGAGGTCAGGAGCTCAACACCAGCCTGGTCAACATGGTGAAACCCCATCTATACTAAAAGTACAAAAAATTCGCTGGGTATGATGGTGCACGCCTATAATCCCAGCTACTCAGGAGGCTGAGGCAGGAGAATCACTTGAACCTGGGAGGTGGAGGTTGCAGTGAGCCAAGATCATACCGCTGCACTCCAGTCTGGGCAACAGAGCAAGACTCCCCCTAAAAAAAAAAAAAAAAAAAAAGGGTAGCTCAAGGAGAGAGGGGCACTGCAGCAGGTCCTCTTGCTTTTGCAAAGGGAGTGGCATTGGATCATCAGAGATGAGGCTCCAGACCATGCCAGTTGGATTTCCCATGAGGGAGAGGAAAGGAAGCAGGATCATGGCCTCCCTCCCCCAGCCCTTCCCGGGCTCCTCTGAGCCTATAGTTTGCTGCCACATCGCTTACCGCGCAGGCTGAGGGATTCCAGCTCACCCCTGCCTTCCGTGTGGATATATGTTTTTGGATCTCAGTTCTCAACCCATGAAAAACCGAAGCACAGCTTTGCAAAGCCCATTAGAAAAAAAAAACAAAGTGTGTGCTTTTATTCTTTCTGGAGTATTGACTATCATTGATGTCATGCCATTAGGCACAGCTGGGGGCCTCACGGCAGGGACAGGTGAAGTGGAACTAGAGACCCGAGGGGTTGCTTCCACAGGCTCCTTATAGACCTGGGACGGGGCGTGTGGTTCACCGGCCATCCTGGCTGCGTGCCCCCAGCTGCTGGGGAGAAGACCGACAGTGGTTGGTTGTGTTCCTCGCAGGGGTGCTATCCAAGGGTACATTATTCAAGTATTTTGGAATCTTAGCAGAAAAGAGAAGAAATTTAAGGTGAGAATTACTGTTGTCAGTGGCGTAACATTATAATCAACACTCCCAGACAGCCAACGCTGTGTCGAGCTTTATCGTCCAGAAGTCTGTTTGATATCTTGACAGCTGGGAACCTTCAGCTGATGGCCAAAGGGCGGGAGGGAGAGCAGGTGGACGATGGCCTGTGTTTGATGGGGGAGCCTGTTACCCTTTTCCTTACCATTAAAGCCTTGTGACGTTGTCTGGGACAACTTTATAGGATGATTAAAGGCCGTCTTCCAGCGGGTACATTTTTCTTTCTCACCGGCAGATCTCATCTAGGACAGCTGAGAAGGATACACCTAGAATCTGCATGCTTTTAACTCTATCGGCATCCCCAGGCCACAGACAGGAGACTTTCTGCAGATCTGCACTTTGTGTTGGAAAATACGTCTGCTTGTGTGTGTGCGTCGGCAGCATTGCCATAACCAGCATTCACTTTCCTGACTTGCCCAGGCTGCAGCATGCAAGATGAGTGTCGCATGGGTACCTCCCCGCCTCTTGGACTTTTAAAATAGAGCCGTCTCTCCAGAACAGACGGGCACAACTAAGGCCAGATCACTGATAACAGTATCAGTATCTACATGCTAAAGACACAGCCCGCCCCCTTCCCATGGGGTTCTTTCCTTGGCAGAAGTCACCAAGGAGACTGACTTTGGGAGAAGTAATTTCTCCCCCTTCCGGATATGTTTTGCTTAAAACCTAAGAAGAAAACTCACAAGACCAGACTAGGAAAATTTCAGCCCCCAAGGATAATTTTTCAGAAAGTAATGAGCACTGGAAAATGAGGGCTATAAAGGAAGTCTTTAGGTAATAATCATAACTATAATGTTCACCACTTTGAAGTGCATTAATATATACTAAAATTACAGAAAATATTAAGTCTGCTGCAGGGGAAGGGGGCGTGCTTTGGAGCTTGTGGCTAAACCTCCTGGACCAGCTCTGTTCTCCCGGCCACAGCTGGGGCTATGTGGCCCCTGGCCTGTCCCTGCCCTCACAGAGACACCCACCCTAAGAGAGGATCCTGTGCCCCTAGCTGGGGTCCAGTTGCAGACACCGTGAATGTGGGATGGAGAATCAGTATCCCCCGCAGCGGGCTCCTTTTGGGGCTGTGATGTTTTATAGCCTGGCAAGGGAATGCCAAGACTCCCTGAGGGTCTGGCTCACTTTATCAGGGTCCCGCTGCTTGAGAGCAGGAGCCTGGGAGGCGAGGTGTGTAGACGCCCCAGCCGGGGCCCCTCGAGGCTGCAGTCGGGCTGAGGCATTCATTCCTCCGCAGGGGCCCCGGGGCGGGAGCAGCGGGAGCATGGCCATGTCGGCTGCTTGCTTTCTCCTGCTGCCTGGCTCTCTCTGTTCCCCTCCTGACCCCCTTCTGCCTCTCCTGCGTTCCCCTTCCTCACTCCCCTCCTTCACCTTCAGAGCCAGCGGACTTCTCCAGGCTGCACGCAGGCGAGGGGCTGGCAATTGCAGGTCAAGCAGGCTCAGCTCGGAGCAGCGGGAGGAAAGATTTACGGTTCCTCCCTGCCCTGCTTGATGGACAATTAAAGCCGTGCATGGTTGGAGGAGAGCAGTGTCGTGAAGAGTCAGGATGGTCAGAATAAATCAGTCACCTCCACTTAGACGGCTGAGCTAGACTGCTTCCCCGGGCCTTCGAGGTGGGAGCCCCCTGGGGTGTGGCTTTGAAGGTTCCTGAATGGACTGTTCAAGGGTTTGACATACTCTGAGCTCCATCAGAGTCAGAGCCTGAAGACCCCGGGGGTCTCCTCACAAATGGGGCATGTGCTGTAGGGAATTAAGGGAAAATTCTGGATAATGTGTTTAGAGGGCGTTTTGTCTCCATGGTATCTGGCATTTGCAAGAGCCTCAAACCTGAATGTTTGGAAGTCAGGATAGTGGACCCCCACCTGCAAGCAGAGCTTGTGCACATGTATGTGTGCACAGGTGCGTGCATATCAGTGCACACATGCACACGTGTAGATTGTACATGCATGTGCCTGTGTGTAGAGTGTGCACACAGGCATGCATGTGCATCCTGTATGTGTGCATGTGTGTGCATGTATGTGCACATGCACAAGTGTGTTTCTGCATTTGTGTACCCACATGTACCTGTGTGCGTGCATGAGCATATGTGTGTCGTACATGTGTGAGCACATGTGTGTGTCATGTATTGGTACTGGTGCTTGCCTCTTGGACATCGCAGGCTCCACTTGTGTCTTTAAACACACACGCCCCTCTGCAAGGCTGCCGGGAGCTGGGCTTCTGAGCATCCACCAAGCCCTGCGGCCGTCCTTCTTCATTTGTTCTGTGTGTTATTTCAGTACCTTGAAGACTCTGGCAATTTCCTCAAGGAAACTTTGTCTTTGTGGAAATGAGATGCCAGCACTCCTCGGCCCTCCCACTGGCTAATTGATGATATGATCCCGCGTGGGAGACTTGCCATTCCTGGAAATGCTCTTTATTTCCTGGGCCCCCCCTGCCCCCTGCCCGCCATCGTCTGATTTCTACGAGCTGCTGCATGTGAGGTGCAGGGCCAGGCATTTGCTGTGACTCAGCCCATGTGCCAGGCCTTTCATTAACTTGGATACTACAATTATGTGTGCCAAGAGACTGCGAGGGCCATTTAGGATTTTTCTCCCTTTAAGAAAATATTCCTTTTTCCCCAGCCAGGTAGCCCAGCCCTTTGCCTCTGCAGCTGTGGCCCAAGCACTCCTCAGCTCTCCCGGCACCAACCTGCAACAAACTCTTGTTGGGGGGCTGCGGCTCCGCCATGGTTCTGTCGGAGGTGCTCAGTGGGTGGTCAAGGCAGCCTGCCCTTGGGAGCCGCAAGACGTGGCCTGCTGCGGTGGCTTCACGGTCACGGCACGAATAGCAGCGTGCGTGCTTTTGTGCCTGTGTGAGCACATGTACACCCCATCGGCACACGCGAGGATGACCTTTGGCACAGAACACCTGCTGCTGTGGCCTGCACAGAGAAGGGCTGACCCCAGGACAGCGGCTCCCATTCGCCTCCACCAAGGCCAGCTGGACCCTTCAAGGGACCCTGAGAATCTCCGAGTGTGGGCAGTGGGGTCGTGTCGTGCGGGGGTGGAGTTGCACGGGTCTCCTGTGCACCTACACATGCGTGCTGGCCAGCATATTAGTATGTTCGCAGGGGTAGCCTGACCCTCTTCCCCCACTTAGGAGATGCGTGCGTGGAAACTTGCCCCCGTGGGTGTCTTGGGATGAATATTTGGGATCCTGGTGGATCTGGATTGCAGAGTAGCTGGGCACTGTAAGAGTTCCTGTAAATGTTGGGTCTCCTGGGGAGGGGGAGGCATGGAGCACTTCTCACTTCTGTGGGTGGGTGGAAGGTTGGGGAGGGGCCACACTGGCTCAAGATCACCCCACAGGGAGCAACCTAATCTGAGGACAGACCTGCCTGGGACTCTGTGGAACTGAGATGAGACACTTGCTTCCCCCTTCAAAGGTCATGAGATTCTGGGGACACGGGCTGCCTTCCATACGGTACCCACAAAGCTCATTAAAAGCACCATTCAGAGGCCTCGTTATCTCAAAAAGGAAGGCAAGAGTCCAACCCACTAAGCACCAAATAACAACTCAACAACTCAAAAACTTATTTTTTTAAACTTCCTGGAGTTGCCATGGTTACTTGCACGGTCCCTGCGTCTCTGTTGCTCTACGTGGAGCTGCTTGGAGGAGGAATTAAAGCCTCCAAGGTTCACCCCTTGGAAGGGTCTGTTTATGCTCCTCTGTGGAGGAAAAGAGCTGGAGAAGGTAGGGATCTTCCAGGACCATGGGATGTGATTTTCCAACATTGCACTTCGGAGATGCTGGAGACAGAATTTGTCTCCCACGCTAAAATAATTATAGCCAGGAGAACAGAGAATACATCATTCTAAGTTAAGGTCCTTAACAACGAGGAGGGTGTGTGCGCGTGTGCATGTGTGTGTGTGTGCGCGCACATGTGCATGTATGTGTGCACATGTGTGCATGTATGTGTGTGCATGTGCATGAGCGTGTGTGTGCATGTGTGCACGTGTGCATGTGTGCATGTGCACGGTCATCTCTGCATTGCCACCACCTTCCTCCTGGAGTGCTCTTTTGTACTGGCCACGTGTGTAAAGGCAGTGGCACCTGAGGCCCCTGCACCTGTTGGTCACCCTCCAGCAGGCAGCGCTCCTGCTCCTGTGGCTTCTGCCCAGGCAATGTTATTGGAAGGCAGATTTCTGCAGCAGGATTTTGGGGAGAATTGCTAGTGAGGGATGGTGGAAAGAGGGTGGGTCAAGGAGGAATAATAAAGAAGCCAAGACTCCTTCTGATCAGGCTCCTCTCTGCTCTTCAGATTGTGGGGTTCCATCCTTCTACCTGCCGCGGCTCCATGGGAAGTCCCAGGGCCCAGATGTGGCCCATGCAGTCCAAAAATTAGCTGCAAAGAGGAGAGTCCGTGCTGTGGGCCAGCTGTTTGCCCTAAATGCCCCCTGCCTAGGGTCTGATTGTTTCTCCCCCATGGGATGGACAGAGTGGCAGGTCATTTCCACTTTGGGGGCCCTGCAGCCCCAGTGGCTTTTGGGGGTGTCTGCTCCCTGCTGGCCACAGGGTGAGTCTGTCCTCCCTCCTGGGAAAGGCAGGAGCCAACCCCTACCTATGGGGGGTACTTAGTAGGTGACCGTGGATGCAGAGGCTGAAATCAGGCGGTACCTTCTAAGTGTCGGGCTGTAGTGACAGGTGAGGAGGGCCTTCCCTGGCCCTTCTTGTCCAAGGTGGTCTCAACCTCTCCCTCTGTTTCCCACCTCACTAGGGCATCCCTTCCTCCTGTCAGGCAGGGCAAAGTGCCCCCCAGCGCTGGTGCTGGGCCACAAGGCCACACACAGGACGACGGCAGAGGGCTCATTCTTGGCCAGGGCTCTTGTTGTTTTCCCCTGTGCCTCCTCTTTCTGCCCTGGGTGGGGGCGGGCAGAAAGCCCTTCTACAAGTCTGTAGGAGGACTGTGTCTGTCTTGCCATCTTACCCGGCCAACACTCTCTCATTCCCAATGCAAACCGGAGTCCCTGGAGCACAGCTGGGCTGGCAAGACCAGATTCCCCAATTTGAGGCCAGCCTTGCTTTTCCACGGCTGGGATATTTTAGCAGCAAGACAGGAGGTGATCTCAGGCTCCTGCATCTCCTTTTTGGCAAACTCACGAGCTCACAGTGTGAGGGCAGGTGCTTTCTCCAGGAAGCATTTGGGGTGAATGTGTGTGGCAGCCACGGAGGTCTCCCTTGTGAAGTCCTTTCTTACGTGTGGCCAGCAGGAGGGAGGCCTCGGCCAGGGGTGACCCCAGCATTTCTCTTGCAGTGTCCTAGGAGGGGCGTGGCTCGTTAAGTAGACGGTGAAGGCCAACGGGAAGGTTTTGGATCCTTCTATCAACACGGAACATAGCGAAGCCATAGGTTATCACTGGGTGTATCTAAGGCGGTGAGCAAGTGGGACGTACTGACGTAGACAGGCACGCAGAGGACATGAGAAGCATCCACAAAGCCTCCCTCTGGGCCTGATGTCAGCACCTGCTTCCCATAGCACTTTCTGGGAGCTGTAATCAGCACTGAGAAGGAAAAGCAAAAAATCACAGATCCTGATGGGCGTCTGCAGCTCCATCTCCCGTATTGGGCTGCAAGTGCTTCGCGGGCAGGGGCTGCAGCTGATCCATGTCTTCCCAGAGCACCTAGCATGGCTGTCTGCTCATAGTCCATTCTCAATCAACATTTGTTGAATTCTGAGAGCTGGTTGGGGGGCAGGGGCCTTTGTGGCTCATTAGCTCTGTGGCCTGGCTGGGCCCACGGTGGGTGGCCCTGGTGGGTTTCCGTGCCTTGGTTATTTCTGTCTCTAGAGGCTCCACTGAGAAGGGGTAGGAGGGTGTGCCGGAGGCCCTGGCCCACCCCTGGCTGGTGCTGGGCACACTCTCTGCCTGCTGATCAGAGAGCCCCAGGGCCTGGGGGCAGAGGGCTGTCAGAGGAACAAGGACCCCGCTGATCTGCAGGAAAGCCACTGTGGTTTCTGGCCCAGAGAGGAAATGGGCCCTGGTTCTGCCCTGAGGGTTCAGTTGGGCTCTGCATCAGCCCCAGGAGCTTCTTCCCCTCCTTCCTTGGAAGTGAACCTTGGAGCGTGTGCAATTGTTTCCCAGAACCAGAGTCAGCTGCCAAATAGAGCAGACTGCCTCTGAAAGGGGGGTCTCAGATGTCTCTTTGAGCCACCCCTCTTTCCTGGGCTTGGAATGAGGAGTAGATAAGAGGGAGGAAAAAGTACCAGGAAGGTTCTGGATTGCTCTAGAAGATGCCAGATAATTCTGGAAGATATCCTGAGGCTCCTCCAGATGTGTGACCCTGGGGCCAGCTGCATCCTTCGGAGCGTAATGTACCCCGTCCACAGGGGAGTACGCTCGTGATTATTGATGCTAATGGAAAACAGAAGTGGAATGGATAATTCAAGATGGCAGATGAATCAATATTATTTATATTTAGCCTGTGAATGCGCTGCATATTTCTCCGCTGGCAGATTGGGCTTCACAATTATGTTTTGCAGAATCCAAGAATCTGCTGCCCATGGGCCAAGGGCTGCCACCTTGCTCTTCCTCTAGGAGGGTTTTTGGAATGCATAGGAGCCCCTCGTGACTTGGCGGCTGGCTTAGAGGGAGATGCCAGGTCCGTCCTCCCCTCTGCGCGGCTGGCATGCCACTTCCCACAGGTCTCCCCGCTGCTAACACACTCCCTGCAGCAGGGGATTGGTTAAAAGCGTTCAAGAGAGAATGGCCTATTCATACACACGGTGGGTTTTAGGCAGCTGCTTTCCATGGATGTGGAAAGAGACCCACAGTCCATTTTCGTGGAAAAGAAAGACGGCAGAACCGTCAGTGTGATTTAATCCTAAAGCGTGTGGACCTGGTGCACTGTCTCGTCTTCATCTGGTATTCTCAGTGCTTAGCCCAGTGCCTGGCACAAAGCAGGTGCCCAGCGAGCGGTTGCTGACTGAGCATGTTCTTCGCTGGGGCACGGTGGGCCTCAGTGGGAGGATCGAGTTCCTGGGCTGGGGACCCAAGTCTGCTCTCCAGGGAGCTGCGTGTCTGCGTGCCGGTTTCTTTCTGGCAAGCTTGACCTTGCACCTTGGTGGCCCCATTATGGTCAGCCTCGGCACACCTGGAAAGTGGCTCGTTTCTCTCAATACCGATGGCTCTCCAGGCGGGGGTGGGGGTCATTCCTGCTGTTACTCTAAGGGTGGGATGGGGAGCGTCATCCCAGGGAGGGGATCAGCGTCTTCTGAGGGCGTGTCCTCAGGGCTCCGTTCTTGGTCAGCACTTGTGCCAAACATGGTCCAGTCTGGTCTCCTCTTTGGGGACCCAGTAAATGCAAACCTTCTGGCCCTCTGTGTGGCACCCACAGGGGATGGAGGATAAGAGGAACCACACGTGAAAACTCAGAAATTCCCAGTGGAGGCTTCTGAGGGTGGCTTCCGGGGCATGCCGAGGGTGGGGAAGCGCTGAGTGGGTGCTTCCTTGTATGTTCAGGGGTGCCCCTGGAAGGCCTCGCAGCTGCCTACACCCCCAGCCCCTGGACACCAGAACCTTTCACATCCAAGTTTTAAAAAATGGCCTCTGATTTATAAGGTGCCTTATGTTAGACGTCACATTGATGTACAGTTCTGTATTTAAAAAATTGGCTCTGCTCACACTGCCCTCGAGGAAGAGTGCTGTTGGGTCCTGCAGTCCCAGGGACAGGAACAAGAACCTCGAGGTGCTGGGTTTGTGTGGCTCGAGTCCTCCCTGCGCAGGGGCCGGGCTGCACAGCCGGATTTAGGCCCCGGGTGGCCCTGGAGTGGACAGCTTCTGAAGTCAGCATGTGGGAGGCAGAGCCTGGAGGGGGCTGGCTGGTGGTGTGAACAGGAGCATCTGGGGACAGCAAGCCATTTCCATCTCTTTCCTTGCTATGGCCTGGGTGCCTCCAGAGGGTCAGGGCTGTGTCTTCCACTTCTTGTTTGTCCCTGCTGCCCCGCAGAGTGCCGTCTCCACAGCTCCATATGCAGAATCTTCTAGAAGAAAGACCTTGTTTCTGGACTCACCCCTCAGTCTCGAAAGTTTCCAAGGGTTTTAAAGAACATTCTAGCACCGTCTCAGCCCTTAGCTCTGAGATTCTTCTACTTCCAGTGGAGAAGGTGGGTCAGGAGGACCCACCTCTCCACTCCCTGGCACAGAGTAGGCGCTTAATCAATGTTGTGAGAATGCAGGAGGGACTGTCGCGCTGTCCTGATGAGTCAGACAGAGGCAGGTTCATTTTCCTCAATTGCGTGCTTCCTCTGTATCCCCTTGAACCTAAAAACAGCTATCTCAGGAAGAGGGAGGAGAGCGAGTTTGACTGATGGATTCCCCAGGTGCCCAAACCCTTTGGTCCAAGTGCCTCCCACCCCCAACAAGTGCCAGCGGGTTTTGGTTTCTGTCCTGGAGCCTGCTGGTGCCATACTCTCTCAATTTCCTCTCCTGGCCCTTGGGAGCAGGGAGAACAGACGTTGGGCCGCTGCAGATGACCGACTGCCTGAGGCCAGGGCCTGAACTGGTGCCCAGTGTGCCCATCGGGTTCCGTCGCTCCCCGACTCCTCTTGTCGTTTTCAAAATCAAGACACAAAAAAGAAAACTAACATTTGCAGGAGACACAACCACATCACAAAGTTATCTAAAGTGAGCAGAGGCCACTCCGGTCCTCAGAAATTAGATTATTTTAGAATTGCATTGAATTAAGAAAGGATTCCTCCCTCGGTGTTCCCAGATCTCTGCCCCATTCTCTGGCAGCCCCTTTCTCCACGCCCACCCTCCCGTGGCCATGAGAGATTTTCTGGCGGTGTCAAGGCAATGTGACCTGGTTCTGTAATAAGGAGGAGGCTTATTAGAATTAAGGCCTAACAGCGTTAAAAAAGCAATCTTTGCAAGATTGAGGCCACAGGGGAATTGTAAATTCTCAGCAAAGACCTCATTTAAGGATTGGAATAAAAACTCGGCATGCATGTACAGGCGTGCACACATGACGCGCCCTCCAGAAACAGACTTAGTTTACAAAAAAAGAGCTGGGAGAAGGAGGAAGGATTGGGAGCTGCCAGGGAAGGGCAGGTGGTGTCCGTCCTGGTGGGATGTGGGGTCTCCTGGGGGTGTCTGCCTGCCAAGAGTGGGCTGTGGACACACATGTTCCTCTCTTAGGGGTTTCTTCTGCACCTGCACCCCTCCCTGGAGCAGCTGCCACCCACTTCTGTCCCCCGAGAGTGGCAAGAGCCCAGTGTGGGCTGCCTTCCCTGACCCCCACCTCCGAGCACTCAGGCTTTTCACCCGGTGGTTGCTGCCACTAAGCAGACTGTGGTTTGGGGTCTGCCAGGTCAGGAGTGCAGGGGGCCATGGAAGCAGGGGTGTGGGGTAGTGGGTGTGCCAGGTTCCTTCTGGGCAGGGAGAAGGGGCAGGGGAGCACATGGCTGTGGGATGAAGTCTAAGGTGCTGCCATCATAGAGAACATTTGGGATGCGCCAGGACTGCTGTACATTTCCCTGTCAAGGGCCCCATGCCGCAGTGCCCAGTCTGAAACAGACGACAGCCTTGGCTTGGGCCTGCTGGGGCCACCTTGGGAGTGGCTGTCCCTGGGAGAGTCCTGGTGTCCTGAGCCCGCAGTCCTGGGCTCAACTCAGTGGGAGAGGAGGGAGTGTGTTCACAGCGCAGGTGGGAGTGTGGGGAGGGAACCACTCCCTGCCCCAGCCTTCCCAGGGACAGGCAGTCCACGGGGTGACCTGGAAGGTCCCCATGGATCCAGCTCCAGTTGCCCACAGGGTGACCTGTTCAATAACACTGCATAAACGCACGTACACATGCACACACTACACACATGCACACCTGTCCACACACATATGCACGCACCACACATGCACACGTGTGCCCATACTACACATTCCACACATATCACACACTGCACACACCACACACATGCACTCATTTACATATGCACATGTTCACACACCACACACATACACAGGCATGCATATGTGCACACACAACAATATTCCACACCCCCCCACCCACATACACATGCATATATGCATCCACAGACGACAATACTCCACACCCCACACACACATGCATGCATGTGTGCACATACGACGACAGTACTCCACACCCTGCAGACACACACACATGCATGCATGCACACACGACAATACTTCACATTCCACACACACTACACACACACACATGCATGCATATGTGCACACAAAATACTCCACCCCTGCACACACCCACACACATACACATACATGCATGTGTGCACACACTACAATACTCCACACTCCACACACACACACTGCACATACCACATGCGTGCACACGTTTACACATGCCACACACAACACATGCACACCCCTCCACACACCCTCCACACATGCACACCCCTCCACACACCCTCCACACGTGCACATGCCTCCACACACCCTCCACACGTGCACACCCCTCCACACACCCTCCACACGTGCACACCCCTCCTCACACCCTCCATACGTGCACACATAGCTTTTATTCCATCCTCATCAGGCTCCCAGATAACCTCACACCAGCTTCCTGGACTTGCTCTCAAACCAGCAATCTGTGCCCCAACCCTTGCCCCAGGCTCTGTTTTCAGGGGCTCCAAGCAAAGGCGGTGACCCAACAGAAAACACGATACTGTTTGGGGCTGAATTCCAGAGGGGACAGGAGGCCCAAGAGGAAGGAAAGACGGGGATGGGCTGGGGGTTGGGGGTGGCCGCCACCTTCTGCTGGGACCTTTGGCGCTGTGCCTGGCTTTTATCACTTCAGGCTGTGCCTGGAACACAGTAGGTGCCCAATAAATGTGTACCAAGGAGTCTGGTGTCCATCGGATGGGCGCAGCCTGGCTGGGGGTTCTCCTTTTTGGTGCCAGGATTGGTCCTGGCCATGGTGTGTCTCCTGTCCCCAGGAAATCTAGAGTGGCAGCGTGGCTGTGACAACACTCTGAGTTTTGAGATGAAGGAAGCCCCCGAGGCAGGTGGGCTCATTCCAGCAGTAACTTCTGAAGCCTTGGCCCCCAGCGACACCTGTGCCAGGGGGGACACATGGCAATGGGTGCCGACCCCCGGGACCACGTGACTGCCAGGTTCAGGGGGCCTCTCTGGGATCTCCCCTCATGGAAACCTTTATTCCCCCATCCTGGCTCTTCTCCTGGACTCCTTGTTTCTGGAACAGTGAGCAGGCTTGGGAGGAAGGGGCGGCGACAGCTCCCTGCTCCCAGGGTCCCCGGCAGACACGGGAACTTCTCGTCCCTCCGAGGGCTGGGAAGCTGCTCACAGGCTTCTTTTGTGCTCCTGAGAGGCTGGATGCTTGGGGAATTCTGAGAAGTTGGCTGCAGTCTTGAGGCCCCTTCTTGGGGTTCATTGAAGATTTCTTTGAGATTTGGGGTGGGGTCCATGCTGGCTGTGTTTGATATTGTCCTCCTGGGCCTTGTGGTGATGAGAACTCTTACCCCAGGGCTGAGCTGATGTCCTTGCTTTCTCCTTTTCGTTCTGGTGAGAAAGGGGCCATCTGAACGCCAGGAGGTGGACACGCAGCATCCAGGGAGAAGGCAGGGGAAGAGGTCTGGTCTCTTGCTCCACTTTCGGTGCCAGGTGGCCAGAATGAACTTCATTGGTATCCTGGATTTTCCGCCTCCTTTCCTGGAGGAGCCCCAGCTGGGATGTCCTGGGAGGCGGACTTCCCTAGACCTCATCCCAGCCCCAGGAGACCCACAGGGAAGGCAATTTACATTTCAGGTCATTAAAAAATAAAAAAGCAACCCAAGGGGGCTGGGAAGGAAATAACAGTCCCAAACTTGGCAACAAATAGGTTGCAATTTTTGGAAGCTTTTTTGTGTGAAGAATGAGTTTCCAGCTCTGCAGGAATATCCATGTGCCTTTTAAACAAAGGGCAATTATGTGCAATCCATCTTTGCTTTTGTGGGCTTCCTAGGAAGGATTCTTGGAGTCTTTGCCTCCATCTAGCCCCCTCCCTTTTAAAACGACAGTAATGTGAAAGTTTCCAAATAATTGCTTGTCTCTTACCGCGTGCTATCTTGGCGCGTGTCTGTCCCCTATCAGGGCCTTGTCCCCTGGGGTTCTTATCCTGGGTATAGGACGGATGGGGATGGTAAAGAAGTGTGTGGCCTGGGGGGTGGGGAGGCGGTGTTGGGGCAAAGCCAAGGCACACTGAGCAGCACAGGAAGCACCCCCAAATGGGGCATTTGTCTCCCGGTCCCCCACCGCCCCTGCAGTGCCCTCCAGGGAATACATGGGGGGTGGAGGGCACCTTCCCTGCTGCCTCTTCCTCCTCTTTCCTTTTCTTCTTCTTTTTTAATCTGAGGGCTTCATTTTCCAGAATCTGTCATTTTATATAAACCTCGCACTGAGGCACATCCGTTCTCACTGCCAAATCTCCACATCAAACGCTGGTGTCCACCATTGAACTGACAGCCCTCCCCAGCATGCCTGGGCCTTGCCGAGACCTGGAAGGACAGACCCCCCATGGTGGGACGATGCAGGCCAAACCCACATGGGGGTATTGGGTTGTGTGGAGGGTGTCGGGGTGCATGTGACCCCTCTTCACTGCCGTTCTCCAGGGTCCCTTCCAGGGGGTCCCAGCTCCTCCCCGTGCATTTCTGGTACAGCCCCCAGGGCGTCCCAGGGAAGCTCCAGGAGCCTGGGCAGGCAGCAGGGAGGAGATTGGGAGGGAAGAGGCTACCCATTCGGGCTGAATCATGTCCTCCCAAAAAGCCATGTTGACGTCCTAACCTCCGGGACCTCAGAATGTGACCTTAGAGACAGGGTCTTCTCAGAGGGGATGGGGGGCCCTAATCCAACAGGACTGGTGTCCTTATCTGAAGGGTAAATCAGGACACAGAGGCACAAACAGGGGACGGTGATGTGGAGAGACAGGGAGAAGACAGCACTTGGCTGGGGTGAGCCAGCCACAGGCCACGGACACTCAGGAGAGCACCTAAAGCCAAGGAGAGCCCTGGGGCGGATCCTCGCTCAGAGCCCCCAGAAGAAGCCCACCTGCGGAGTCCACACCCAGACTCAGACGGCAGCCTGCCGCAGCGCAAGAGGATTCATGCTGTTGTTTGTGGCCGCCAGTGTGCAGTCCTGTGTTATGGTAGCCCCAGCTCTAATGCCCCCTCCCAGGCAGTTCCTTAAGTTCCCCACCCTTGAGCACTGCTATGCCCTGAAAGAACTGTCCAAGCTCAGGACGGGGTCTCACTATATGGCCCAGGTCCAAGCTCAGGACGGGGTCTCACTATATGGCCCAGGTCCAAGCTCAGGATGGGGTCTCACTATATGGCCCAGGTCCAAGCTCAGGATGGGGTCTCACTATATGGCCCAGGTCCAAGTGCAGGACGGGGTCTCACTATATGGCCCAGGTCCAAGCTCAGGATGGGGTCTCGCTATAGGGCCCAGGCCCAAGCTCAGGATGGGATCTCGCTATATTGCCCAGGTCGAAGTTCAGGATGGGGTCTCACTATATGGCCCAGGTCCAAGCTCAGGACGGGATCTCGCTATATGGCCCAGGTCCAAGCTCAGGATGGGGTCTCACTATATTGCCGAGGTCCAAGCTCAGGATGGGTCTCGTTATATCACCCAGGTCCAAGCTCAGGACAGGTCTCTTGGGGGAGGGCTGTGCTTAAGGGTGGGGATACCTGCAGAGTGCTATTCATTTTTAGGGAAGCAAACAGCAGTGAAGGGGGTGTGGGGTGGGCTATAGCTCAACACATCAAAGAGAAATTGGCTTGCAGGTTCTTCCTAACCTGGGGTGAGGGTGGTCAGTACCTTGGTCAACTACTATTTATTTTCCTGGCTGCAGCAAGGTCTGCGCTCGGCTCCTGGAGTGGCAGGAGGAGGATTTGATGCCAAGCCTGCCCTCAGGATGTTTTTTGGTCTTCATGGTGGGATGAAGCCCAGAATGTCTCCTTGCACCCAGAGTCCCCGGGGGAGAATAAGATCAGTTATCAAGTGCATTAGAAAACACATGAGAAAATGCCCAGTCTTGGGCCTGGCTCACGTAAGGCTCAAAACCATTTGTTTATGAACATTACTGTGAGCTCCAGAGCTGGATCTGCATGGTCCAGCTCCAGCAACTGCATCCCACCTGGAAACTCCTATGCATGCCTCAAGACCCAACTCAGGCCAAGTAAGGTGGCTCATGACTGCAATCCCAGCACTTTGGGAGGCCAAGGTGGGAGGATGGATTGAGCTCAAGAGTTCAAGTCCAGCAATATAGTGAGAGCCCTTCTTTACAAAAACATTTTTTAAAAAGAGCCAGGCATGGTGGCATGCCTCTGTGTCCCAGCTATTCAGGAAGCTGAGGTGGGAGCATTGCTTGAGCCCAGGAGTTCAAGGTTGCAGTGAGGTATGATTGTGCCACTGCACTCCAGCCTGGGTGAGAGCCCATCTCTAAAAAGAAAAAAGACCCAACTCAAATGTTCCGTCCTCCCGTGAAGTAGCTCCGTCTGCTTCCCCGTGGGCTCCTTCATCTATTCTCCCACAGCCTTTCCCCCTGCCTCCAAGTGGGACCTCGATCAAGGTCCTGTGATTCCCTGGTTACATACCTGCTCCCTTCCTAGGTGCCGCTTGGTCCGAAGCTTGTGGTCTGAAGCTTTCTGGCCAGCCTGCTGCTCCGTGGGGGGACCTCGCCTGGCTGAGTGACTTGGGCAGCTTGGGGCTGAGGGTCCTGGCTGAGTGGCTCCACTGGGTTTGTAGACGATGCCGGTGTTCCCTGTTTATTCTCACCAGCCGCCTTCTCCCAAACAGGGTTGGCCTGGCCATCACAACAGATAAGTCCAAGTTAGGATGAAAACAGCAGGGGCTGGGGTCCCTAGCCTTGCTGGTGTCTACTGCAAAGGACACTGGACTGCAAGGTGGAGGTCTTGGGATCAGGCTGCCGTGGACATGCTATGTAAGGTCATGCTGCCTTGGCTCCATGGAGCCTCTCCTGTGCAATGTGGGCACCACTGCTGCCCCTTACATTGCACAGGAAGGATGCCAGCACCATAGTGACCGAGTGTGGAAAAGGGCTCTCGTGACCAGCCATGCTCCCTTCTCCTCACACCACCTTCCTATTCTCAGGGTTGCGGGGGGTCTTGGAGAGTGGAGGCACCACAGGGTGTGTGGTCTAGGCCTTAATGGTTCACCTTTCTGCCTTGCGCCCACCAGTTACTCTGGCTACAGACTTCTTGGGACCGGCCAGTTATTGAGTCAATTTCCAGTGGTCTTTCTTGGACCAGTTTCTGCATCTGTAGCAGCAAATCTATTTTTTATTTTACCTCCAGTGTGGAATTTTTCCCAGTTATTTTAAATAAGTTTCATTTATTTGTGCCTGGAATTCAGGTATTACCAGACTTGCACAGATGCAAATTCAGAGTCATAAAGGAATATCGACAGCAGTTGCAACCACATCACCATCTCTCATGCAATCAAATGCCCTGGCTGCCATCAGAGGAAAACGTAGCATTTGAAAAGCTGCAGGAGAATACACTCTCCAACAAACAAGGTGGGCTCTCCAGAGAAACCCGGGAGAGGATGCTTCTGAGAACTCTGCAGGGACATTCAAAGCAGCTTCTGATATTTCTGATTGAAAACATATGAAAAGAGAAAATCAAACGGAAGATCTCACCAAGTAGCTCAATTACAAGCCCTACCAGAATGGATTTAGCCACATGGCTCTGTTGGTTTCTAGCTAATCCTGGGAAGCGGGATGAAGTTGAGGAACGTCCTCATGCCTGGGGGAAGGGGGTACCAGTCAGCGACTGCCGCATCACAAACACGCCCCAAAACGCTGTAGCTTGAAACAGCAGTTGTTGTTCTTGCTCATGAGTCCAGGGGTCATCTGGGCCCTTCTGCTGAACTGGGCCATGCTTGGCTGGTCCCAGCTGGGCTTGCTGGGACCTCTGTGGTCAGCTGGCAGGTGGGGCGGAGGCCGCTGGACTTGAGACAGGTCCCTGCTTCTCCTGGCTCTTCCTTCTCCAGCAGGCTCACTCAGGCTTGCTCACACGTCCGTGCCTGGGTCCCGGGACAGAAATGGAAGTGAGCAAGGCCTGCTGAGGCCCCACCTGGAATGGGGGCACCCTCGTGTCTAGGACATCTTTTGGTCTGGAGGCCAGCCCTGATTCAAAGGGCAAGGAAGTAGACCCTGCCTCTTGGTGGAAGGAGCTACAAAGTCACATTGCAAAGGGAATGTTTCCATGGACATGTGAACAGTTGGGGCATCTCTGCACTCAGTCCACACCAGGGGCAAGCCTCCATGCTGGGAATCACCCCAGTCTGAGGGCCCCAGCCTGGGAGATGGGAAGGCTGGTTGGTGGATGCAGGAGCTCAGCTGGGGGTCAGTGCCAGCAAGACAAATGAAGACTTGGTCAAAGAAGGCCTGTGTCCAGCTCCTCTCCTGTCCAGTCTCAGCTCACTGCCCGGCCCCACGGAGCCCATCCTAACCTTTCACTTTCTCTTGTCTCTCGGCCCATCAGGCTCATCTGTCCACCCTGAGTTCAGATGCTCTTGCTTCCTGGGCTCATCCTCCCTACTGGCACTTTGCTGCTGGGAGTTCCTAGAGGCATCATCCTCTTTCTTCACTCTCCCTGGGCTGGACCAGGGCTCAGCCAATACCCAAGTGCCAGCTCATGCAGGCCCCTCCTCCTGAATATTCCTAGACCTCCCCCAGGTCTTAAACATTTTTATTTTATTTTATTATTTATTTATTTATTTTTGAGAAGGAGTCTCGCTGTTGTCGCCCAGGCTGGAGTGCGATGCTGTGAACTCGGCTCACTGCAACTTCTGCCTCCCGGGTTCAAGCGATTCTCCTGCCTCAGCCTCCTGAGTAGCTGGGATTACAGGCTCCTGCAACCATACCCAGCTCATTTTTCGTATTTTTAGTAGAGATGGGGTTTCACCATGTTGGCCAGGCTGGTCTCGGACTACTGACCTTAGGTGATGCACCCGCCTCAGCCTCCCAGATTGCTGGGATTACAGGCGTGAGCCATCATCTGGCCTTTTAAAAATTTTTAATTGTTTAATTTTTTTATTCCAATGGGTTTCTGGGGAACAGGTGGTGTTTGGTTACATAAACAAGCTTTTTAGTGGTGATTTCTCAGATTTTGGTGCTCCCATCCTCCCAGCAGTGGACGCTGTACTCAGTGTGTCGTCTTTTATCCCCTCACCACCCCCCACACTTTCCCCAGAGTCCCCAAAATCCAATTTATCGGCTGGGCGCCGTGGCTCACGCCTGTAATCCCAGCGCTTTGGGAGGCTGAGGCGGGCGGATCACGAGGTCAGGAGATCGAGAACATCCTGGCTAACACGGTGAAATCCCGTCTCTACTAAAAATACAAAAAAGTAGCTGGGTGTGGTGGCGGGTGCCTGTAGTCCCAGCTACTTGGGAGGCTGAGGCAGGAGAATGGCGTGAACCCGGGAGGTGGAGCTTGCAGTGAGCTGAGATCGTGCCACTGCACTCCAGCCTGGGCGACAGAGTGAGACTCAGTCTCAAAAAAAAAATAAATAAATAAAAATAAAAAAATCCAGTGTATCATTCTTAATCTTTGCGTCCTCATAGCTTAGCTCCCACAGATGGGTGTGAACATACGATATTTGGTTTTCCATTCCTGAGTTACTTCACTTAGAATAATAGTCTCCAGTTCCATCCACGTCGCTGTGAATGCCATTATTTTGTTCCTTTTTATGGCTGAGTAGTATTCATACACACACACACACACACACATACACACACATATGTATATATAACATTTTCTTTATTCACTCATTGATTTGATGGGCATTTGGCCTGGTTCCATATTTTTGTAATTGCGGATTGTGCTGCTATAAACATGCATGAGCAAATATCTTTTTTTGTATCATGACTTATTTTCCTCTGGGTAGATACCTGGTAGTGGGATTGTTGGATCAAATGGTAGTTCTACTTATAGTTCTTTAAGGAATCTCCGCACTGTTTTCCATAGTGGCTGTACTAGTTTACATTCCCACCAGCAGTGTAAAAGTGTTCCCTGCTAACATCTGTGCCAACATCTATTATTTTTTGATTGGTTGGGTATGGCCATTCTTGCTGGAGTAAGGTGGTGTTGCATTGTGGTTTTGATTTGCATTTCCCTGGTCATTAGTGATGTGGAGCATTTTTCCATATGCTTGTTGGCCATTGGTATATCTTCTTTTGAGAACTGTCTGTTCATGTCCTTAGCCCCAGGCCTTTTGTGATCCGTGCCCCTGCCTCCTCCTCTCCCAGCATTCTCCATTTTAGAGGACAGCACCACTCCCAACTCACTTTTTGTACAAGGCGGAGGCTGGGCTCCTCCCTCTGTGCTCTCCATCCCCCGCCATGTCCGCTTTCTAGGCACCCCCACACCTTTCCCCTCTCACCTCCTAAAGCCCTCATTCTGTTCACTTCCCTCCTTTCCCATGGCCACCACCTTCTCTGGCCTGGACCATGGCCGCGGCCTCCTGCCTGGGTTCACAGGCTTTGGCTACTGAGTGGGAGGTGGATTGGAGGGGAGCATGGGCAGAGCATCTTTTAAAAATGCAAACATGATGATAGTGCTTCATGAAATGCTACCAGAGCCACCGTACCTCCTGGCCGGTCCATTCCTCTAGAGGTTGCACTCCTCTGGGCCTCAGGGCCTTTGCACAGGCAGCTCCTGCTTGGAGTGCCTCCTCTCCCTCTCCCCTTGACCTTGTCATTGATCCCGACCCAGTCTTCAGAGCTCAGCTCAAATGTCACTCCCTTAAGGAAAGACTTCCTTAACTGTCCCCACTTAGGGGTCCCAGTTAGCTGTTCTTATACCCCCACATGCCCCCTGAAGTTTGGACCCCAGCTGAGTGCAGTCACTGTGGGGCACTGCGTGACATCTGTCTGTCTTCTGTAAGGTCAGGGGCCCTTCGACCTGAGTCACCGTGGGGTCCCAGGACCTGCCGTGGCGCTCACTCTCTAAAGACTAAACAGTTGCAGAGACCAGTGAATGAAAGTGTCAGGGCCTTTCACACACATCAGCTTACTGCATCCTCAAAGCATCCCTGTGAAAGAGGGCCCTGCTTTACCAGGAGGAAGCTGAGGCTTGGGGAGGCCAGGGTCATGTGTCGATGAAGAGCCACTGGTCCACACTGCCCAGTCCCCAGCACTCCCTCCCCTGCAGCGCCCAGTGCTGACTTGGTACGGCTTTCATTGCTTGTTTTCCATGTGTTTGGATCTTTCATCCTTGATGTGGCCCCTTAGGAACGGGCTTGCCTGTCCCCTGCAGTGCCCTCAACAGCCTATGATGTGGCACATCTGTGGGAAGCCCTGGCGGAAGTGGGCACCAGAGGCCCATTGTGGGTCGCAGTGGTCCATGGCTCTGGGAGGCTGAGACAGGCCTGAACGAGGCCCTCAGGAACGAGCATCTAAACACATCCCATGGGCAATCACACAGGGCAGGGCGCTGCTAGCCACTCAGGTCCTTCCAGGAATTGCATCCTTTTTTTTTTTTTTTTTTTTTTTTTTTGAGACGGGGTCTTGCTCTGTCTCCCAGGCTGGAGTGCAGTGGCGCGATCATGGCTCACTGTAGCCTCAACATCCCGGGCTTCAGTAGCCTCCCACATAGCTGGGACTACAGGCATATGCCACTATGCCTAGCTAATTTTGTATTTTTTGTAGAGATGAGGTCTTTGTTGCCAGGATGGTCTCAAATGCGTAGGCTCAAGCAATCCTGTTGCCTCAGCCTCCCAAAGTGCTGGGATTACAGGTGTGAGCCACCGCACCCGGTTGGAATTGCATCTTGAACAGAGATTTATTGAGAAGAGAAAGATCTTGTCTTCCCCTTCCCCAAGTCATCAGGGATGGACAAAGAGAGGCTGTGGGGAGGTGGAGAAGGAGCACACACAGAGTGGAAGCGAGGCTGAATGCCCACTTTTCCAGGGCCAGACACTTGCACACACACACATACATGTAGGGACAGGCACAGGCACACACACACAGGCATAGGCACATGCATGCACACAGATGCACACACAGGCACATGCATGCATACACAGGCACATACATGGGCAGGCACATGCATGCATACACAGGCACGCACAGGCACATACACGGGCAGGCACGTGCTTGCATACACAGGCACGCACAGGCACATACACGGGCAGGCACATGCATGCATACACAGGCACGCACAGGCACATACACGGGCAGGCACGTGCTTGCATACACAGGCACGCACAGGCACATACATGGGCAGGCACATGCATGCATACACAGGCACGCACAGGCACGCACAGGCACATACACGGGCAGGCACGTGCTTGCATACACAGCCACGCACAGGCACATACATGGGCAGGCACGTGCTTGCATACACAGGCACACACAGGCGTGAGGGGAGCTTTAGCAGAGGGGCAACCTGGCCTCTGGGCTAACACGATTCCCTATGGTGGCCAAGTGGCTCTAGCTCCATGGCAGATGCTCCATGGCAGTGTCTATGAAAACCATGCCAAATCCCTCTGGGTCCAGCTTCCAAACTCCTTGGAACAGCAAGAGGTGCTCCCCTGCCAGGTCCGGAGCAGGTGGCACCTGCCCTCCTCCAGCCCCTGGCTGTGTGGGCACAAGTACAGCTCTCTTCTCTTCCTGCAACAGGAAACCAAGTGGAAACCTCCCGCATATCAAATAATGGGCAGAGCATCCTCAGCCTCGGGGCAAGGCAGGCCAAGGAGCGTCTACACAGCCGTGGCCCTCTGTGTGGGGGTGTTTCTGTTGCCATGATTCACGTGTGCATGGAAATGGCAGCGGTGAGTGACGTAACGACTCTGACAGTCCCTCTGGCTTCATTCCATCTTCTTTCCTGCCTGATGCTCTGGTGTCCAGGGCATCCAGACTGCAATCTGGCCCAGCTAAGGGCAACCCCTGAAGGAGTGGTCAGATCCACTTGAGCCCGAGGGGAAGTCTTCCTTCTTGTTTCTGCAAAAGCCCGGAGGCTTCCGTGACAACCTAAGTGCACTGGTGTTTTTTTTTGGTTTGTTTGTTTTTTTGTTTGTTTTGTTTTGTTTTGAGATGGAGTCTCGCTCTGTCGCCCAGGCTGGAGTGCAGTGGCACGATCTCGGCTCACTGCAAGCTCCATCTCCTGGGTTCATGCCATTCTCCTGCCTCAGCCTCCCGAGTAGCTGGGACTACAGGCGCCCGCCACCATGCCCGGCTAATTTTTTTGTATTTTTAGTAGAGACGGGGTTTCACCATGTTAGCCAGGAAGGTCTCGATCTCCTGACCTCGTGATCTGCCTGCCTCGGCCTCCCAAAGTGCTGGGATTACAGGCGTGAGCTACCGCACCTGGCCGCACTGGTGTTTTATGATCTGCATTGGCCTGGGTTAGTGTCATTGAGACAGACTCACTTTGGTCACAAATATTTGGTGTCTCTGCTCTGCCCAGCTGTGGAGCTCTCATGTACCTCTGTGCCTTTCTTTGGCCAATGACCAAAGTCATTGATATGGGGCTGGAAGTCGTGTCTGCCATGGGTTAGGATGGAGTGTATCCATCCCTCTTTCCTCTCTGTCGTGACCACCAGGAATGTTCCAGAAAGAGGTTGCTTTATCAGCCTGGCCCCTTGTATGAGGAGCAAGACGGACCCATGATAGGAACATAGCATGAGCAAAAAAAACTTTGCTCTAAAGAGTGTCTGCGACTTGGCAGCTGTTTGTTACTGCAGCGGAACCTCCTCTCTCCTGGCTGATCGAGGTGCCTCACTGAAGTCGTCTCTCAGCCTCTGGCAATGGTTTAATTCACTGAGCACCGCTGAACAGTCGTCTATGCCCAGAGTGATGGAAGCAATAAGAATGGGATTGGGTTTTTGTCTTGGTCTAATGGGGTTGCCTGTCTGGCTGGGGGGCTGTGGTTTAAACCTATGAAAAGATAGGACATGCTGTTGCTCGGGGTGGGATGAGGGAGTTGTTGGCTGATAGATCAAATCTGGATAATCCAAGAAGGGAGAGGGAGGAGAAGAAGGAGGAGGAGGAGGAGGATGGGGGGGGAGGAGGAGGACGGGGGGAGGAGGAGGAGGAGATGGAGATGATAATGATGGTGGGACTGGGGCAGGGACTGGGTGGACTGCAGGTAAGACAAACCCTTAAGCAAAGCCATGGTGGGAGGACGGAGCACAGAAGCCCAAGGGGCACTCAGGAGATGGGACTGGGATGCCAAGTTCTCAGAGATGAGATTGGGAAGGTACCAGGTGCAGTTACCTCGGAGGGACCAGCTGAGTGCAGTCGCTGTGGCACCAGTTCCCATTTTAGAGATGACAACTGAGGGTGAATGGCAGCCAGTGACTCCCCGACCCAGTGACTCCCCAACCCTGTGACTCCCCCACCACAGTGCGAGTGATCCCCCCACCACAGCACCAGTGACCCCCCACCACAGTGCCAGTGACCCCCCACCACAGCGCCAGTGACCCCCCCACCACAGCACCAGTGACTCCCCACCACAGCGCCAGTGGCTCCCCACCATGGCGCCAGTGACACCCCCACCACGGCGCCAGTGACACCCCCACCACGGCGCCAGTGACTCCCCACCACGGCGCCAGTGACTCCCCACCATGGCGCCAGTGACTTCCCCACCATGGTGCCGAGTCTCAGTGGATGCCTGAGCCACCTGACCACATTCTGCTCCATCTCCTGATGGCTCCCAGCCTGTCCTCTCCAGCTCCCGCCAGCCCCGGAGCTTGCCTCCTCCTCTCCTTCATCACTCGCGCGTGCTGGATGCTCTCCTCTCCACAGCCTTGCCTCAGCATTGCCGACCCCTCTGCCCTGCCCCGAGCAGGTCCCAGGGCCACGTTTTGTGGAGATGGTCTGCAAGACAGAATCTTCCTGAGTATCCAAGGAAAATGACCTGTGAATATCAAGGCCAAAAGCGGGGTGCAGTTCTTGGTTTTGGGGAGCAAACCGGCTGATGTGATGTTGCCTCCCATGTGGGCTTTTCTGGTAGGAGCCATGGGCCAGCGGCCGGCAGCAGAGCCAGCACCCGGCAGCAGAGCCAGCACCCGTGTCAACCGCAGCATGCATGTCAGACTGGGCTGCCTCGGGCAGGGGACAGGGAGCCCAGTCGGGTCTGTGCCTCCCCACAGGGCAGGACCAGACGAGGTTCCCCCAAAGAGCATGGAGAACAATTAGGCAAGGGCAGGAGTGGGAAGCAGAGCTGGGCAGGAAGAAAACAGCACAAAGGCCCGTCCTGTTCAGAAGGGAAGAGGGAACGCGACGGAGACGCATGGGAGATGGACCAAGCACGATGCTCAGGACGTTGAGGGGGCAGGAGGCTGAGTCTGAAGTGCAGCCACCCTGAGTCAAGGCCACTGCGTCTTAGAGAACGTAACTAACCAGGGCATTTGCAGCAGGTGTAACCACAGTTGTGCCACTGGGGTCATGCGGTGATGGAGCGAGCCCTGAGGTCAGCCCTGGGCAAAGACCCTGTGCCAGGAGAATGGTGGAATTCTGGAATGATCTGCTGTGCTCCAAACCCAATGCCAAGCAAACCCTACACCAGCTACCCACACCTCTGGCTTCCTGGAAGAAGCTGCACTTCCTTTTAAATGTTTATTATTTTATTATTATTTTTTCAGAGCCAAGTCAGGGAGTTCCTCTCCCACAGACAGATGTTGTGAATTCACGCAGCATCCAGACCAAGGGTCTCTGTTGAGGATGCGGAAAAGGTGCACGAATGTGCAGGTCCCTGGCCCGGAGCGGGTCTCAGGATGGCCGGCCCGTCCAGGCCTTCACCTCATCTACCTGCCTCCAAGGGAGGGCACAAGCCCATCAGGGGTTGAGTGGGTACTGTGTGCATACACCCACAGCCACCTCCCCAAAGAACGGCACCTGTGTGCCCACACAGAAGAGGATGTGCAGGGAGCCTGCCCCAAGGGGTACCAGGCAGTGGGCACCCTGCCTCGGTTTGGTTTTGCTCTGTATCTGATGGGCTGCCTATTTTGCATTCCTGATTGACCATGTGCTGTTTGGGGAAAGGTATTGGAGGGCTTGAGTGCCCTGATGCTCCCCAGAGCGGGTTTTGTTGCAAAGCTCCTGATTTCCCCGGGCTTTGTGGTTGCTCCCGGCATCGCCAAAATCCCCCACGGGTAAGAGAAGCGCTCCAGGTGGCCTTTGCTGTTGGACAAATTTGGGCCACCCCCCTTCCCTCCACCACTACCCCAGGTTGGGCTCAGCTCTGCCTCCTGCCCATCCGGAAAGCCAGCAGTGCTCAGGCCGAGGAAGTGAGGACACTCTGGGGCCAGGTGGAGGGACAGCAGGGTTCTGAGCTGAACGGATGCTTATTTTTAGGAGCCTGTGGGCACTGCCACCCACGCTGGGTCTGCACGGGCCCCTGAGCTCCATCTTCTGTGACAGTGGTTCAGAGCCACCCTCGCACCAGGGGGACCTAGCCTGGCATTGCCGAGCTTTTCACAAAGGGTGCTCAATGCTGCTCTGGTCCAGAGAGGACCGTACCCCAGTTCTCCTACACTGGCCTCCCTGGCCCCTCCACCTCTCTCCCTCCCCTTCTCCTTTGGGTTTTCCAGGGAGGAGGTGGGTTGACAACCTGCTTCGGGAGCTGGAGCCAATTCTGAAACAAGTCAGCAATGATAAGCCACAGACGTGTGTGTGTTGGAAGTGGGATCTTTGTTGGCAAAGTGTGCGCCCATCACCTTTGACTGTACTTGCAGAAACTTCTGTCGCTCATGCAAGGGAACTTGGCACTGGAAACACAAATGCTTTTCTTGTCCCCGCGTATGTCATTAAAATGGCCTTTGAGTTTATTTCTTCAAGTTTGATGATAAGTGTTTAAACAATCAAGCTTAGAGACATTTTTGACATTGCTGCTTTTTCCTCTGGTGCATTTCCCCTGCCGAATTGAGTCTGCCCGTGCGTGTGAAGAATTGCTCACTTTCTTCCATCTTCAGGGCCTCGTTGCTTCCCCATGGAGGGTGCCATTTGCCCCGTTCATGGTGCCTGACTCCCTCAGTGATCCTGCACCCCACCAGGTTCTCCAATGTCTTACTCACCCACTACTTTTCAGTTCTAGCCAGAATTGTCGGAAATCTAGCTTTTGGAAAGTTTAGATCTTGGTCATTGGAAGACAGACACGTCCTGCACTGGCTCTGTCCATCTTCATCAAAGCCAAGATCACTTCTTGGGGTTTGAGGGCAAGGCTGGGATGGGGGTCTGGAGAGTGAAGAGTCCAGAGTGAGACCTCCATGCTGTGAGTCGTCTGTGTGTGGGCTCTATAGGCTTGAGTAATCCCCCTCCATCCTAGTCAGGTCTTTGGGGTCTGGGTTTTGGGGCTCTCGGGAACCCCATTTTTAAGATAGAAAGGTGGACAGCAGGAAACATCAAGCCATAGCCAGGTGGGAGGGGACTACAAGTGTCTGGGACCAGAGCTGTGGGCACCTGTATCAGTCAGGGTTCTCTGGAGAAACAGAACCAGTAGGCTGTCTCTACCCATCTCCATCTCCATCTTCTCCATGATCTCCATCATTTCCATGTTCTCCATGGTCTCCATCTTCTCCATCATCTCCATGATCTCCATCATCTCCATCTTCTGCATGATCTCCATCTTCTCTATCATCTTCTTCATCATCTCCGCCTTCTCCATCATCTCCAACTTCTCCATCATCTCCCACCCCTCCATCATCTCCATCATGTTCATTATCTCCAACCTGTCCATCATCTTCTTCATGATCTCCACCTTCTCCATCATCTCCATCATGTCCATCATCTCCAACTTCTCCATGATCTCCATCTTCTTCATCATCTCCAACTTTTCCATCATCTCCATCTTCTCCATGTTGTCCATCTTCTCCATGATCTCCACCTTCTCCATCATCTCCGTCTTCTTCATCATCTCCATCTTCTCCATGATTTTCATGATCTCCATCTTCTCCATCATCTCCATGATCTCCAGCTTCTCCATCATCTCCATCATCTCTGTGATCTCCATCTTCATCTTCTTCATCATCTCCATCTCCATCCCCATATCTCCATCTATCAAGAGATTTATTTTAAGGAATTTGTTCACATGATTACAGGTGTTGGCAAGTCTGAAATTCCTAGGACAGGCAGGATTTGTGCTTCAGTCTTCAGGCAAGAATTTCTTCTTCTCTAGGAAGCCTGAGTTTCTGCTCTTCAGGCCTTCAGCTGATTGGTTGGGACCTACCCATCCACCTTCTGGAGGCTCATCTCCTGTACTGAAGGCAGCTGATTGTAGATGTTCACCACAACGACCAAATATTATCTCAGCAACACCCAGATTCATGTTGGACTTAATCCCTAGAGACTATGGCCTGGCCATGTGGACACAACACTGACCAGCACAGCATCCCTCCAAGCTCCCAACAGGACTGGCGACTTTTGCTTGGAAGTTTGGTTTGGATCAGTGGTTTCAGCCTAACCGAGGGGGTGGGCTTGCTACTATCACAGGAATACCATGAAATAATTTGCAGCCTTATGGGGAGGGGCCAGACTAAAAATAGCATGTGTTGGGCCTAGGGCTAGATTTGCTCTGGCAGGCTGCCCCGGGCAAGGACTTAGCTCTTTCTCAGAAGTCGGAAGTGCCTTGACCCCATGTTTAGTGCTAAGACAGAGGTGCCCTAGTTGTTCAATTTTTAGCCTCATTTAGAATAGCTTTTTCAAAGGGTGAGTGACAGGGACTTAAACGACTGTCTTCCTTCTTCTTCCTGTGCACTTCCCTCCAACCGGTTTCTCTAAGCCGAAGGCTGACCTTGTCACTACTATATTCAAAACACCTCAAAGGGCTTCCCGTGGCTTTTGGAAGATGGAGCTCCTACCTATGGCATGAGGTCCGTCCCCCAGCCCTGCTGGCTGCCCCTGCACCTCGACCCACTTCCATCGTAGCTCTGTGGCCTCCCGGAGTTCTTAGCACCTTGTCTTCCCTGGCCTCAGGGCCCTGGAAAGTGGCCCCTTTGTCTCCCTCACTCTGCCCCCCTATCCCATGTACTCGTTCCTGCCCCTTAACTCAAGAGCCCCCATTTCCCTGTTGCATGCCCTCACAGCGTTTCATACCTGTCCTTGTCTGCAGGACATCCATGCTGTAATTCATAACTAATTGCTGGGTGTGCGTTGAACCAGCGCCTTTCCTCTTAGATCAGGGGTTCTGGGCCCAGGCTCCATGTTGGAATCGCCTGGGGGGCTTCACAGCCCCCATACCCAGGCTGCCTTCAGAACCTAGGGGGTAGACCCCAGGGCAGCAGTCATTTTGAAACTCCTTGGCTGGTTCCAGTATGCACTCAAAGTTGGGAACCACTGTGCCACTCAAAGTGCGATCCTTGGACCAGCAGCGGCATCACGCAGGAGCTGGTTAGAGATGCAAACTCAGGCCTGGCCCAGACCTGCTGACTCAGAACCTGCCCTTCAATGAGATCCCCATGTGGCTGGGGGACATGTGACAGTTTGAGGAGGGCTCTGGGTACCACCTGGGAGGCTGGACCCTGGCCTGTCTCTGGCACCAGCGTGGCAGTGGCTCACCACGCTCTCACTCAGCGAACCTGTGAAGCCTTTTTTCTTTTTTAAAGTGAAAAGCAAGTTTATTAGGAAAGTAAAGGAATAAAAGAATGGCTACTCCATAGGCGGAGCAGCGGCATGGGCTACTCAACGGAGTATACTTATAGTTACTTCTTGATTACATGCTAAACAAGGGGTGGATTATTCATGAGTTTTCTGGAAGAAGGATGGGAATTTCCCGGACCTGAGGGTTCCTCCCCTTTTTAGACGGTACAAGGTAACTTCCTGATGTTGCTATGGCATTTGTAAACTGTCATGGTGCTGGCGGGGGTGTCTCTTAGCAGCTAATCCATTATAATTACCGCACAGTGAGCAGTGAGGATGACTGGAGTTCACTTTGATCGCCATCTTGGTTTTGGTGGGTTTTGGCCGGCTTCTTTACTGCATCCTGTTTTAGCAGCTGGGACTTTGTGACCTGTATCACTTGACCTCCTGTCTCATCCTGTGACTAAGAATGCCTTAATGTCCAGGGAATGCAGTCCAGCAGGCCTCAGCCTCATTCTGCCCAGCCCCTATTCAAGATGGAGTTGCTCTGGTTCAAACGCCGCTGACATATTCCCTCCTCCCTTTGACAAGGGGACCCTTAATCCTAAGGGTTGAGAGGGATGAAGATCCACCTTCTGTAACTTCTCCGTGAGGACTTTTTAAACAACCCCTCAGATTTCTCCTTTTGGATCCCTTCCTTGCTGACCTGCTCCCTTGAGGGCCAGCCCACCTTCTCCAGTGGGCAGCCCACCCCTGGGGGCTCGCACCCCTTCTTCATGGGTGGAGACGCTGGAGTTTCTGTTTTTCTCCTCCCCGCCTGGTTTCCCACCTCCGCAGTTTAGTTTATTCCTAGAGAATGTTGTCCTGAGCCAGGGAGGAGAAGGAGGCATTGTCTTTCTCCAGCTGGTGAACGTGCCCGCGTGGCTCTGCTTTAGGCACCCTCCCCCCACCGGGCAGATTCAGAGAGAAAAACTCCAAGTAGGATGGAGATTGGAGGCAGGTGATGCCGGGGGGAGGGGAGGGGACAGAACATTCCAGAGGAAGATGGCAAGGCGGAAGGGGAGGTTTTTGAACACAGCTAGGCTTGAATCATCGCATTGGAAAATCCCAGATGAGGTTCTCAGCAGCAATCATTCACATCAAGTGGTCACAGCTGTAGGATGGAGAGAGCTTGTTAAAGGGACAGGTGCCTGTTCTTCCCGTGCTGGGGAAGTCAGGGTGAAAGCCTTGAAGGGCCTCTCTCCTTGCCTGGAGCCCCTCTGCAGACCAGAGAGTGTCTCCAGGGCCGTGGGCTCCGAGTGCTCAGCCTGGAAGCCCCTCCTCCAGGCTGCACGAGGTCCTGCAAGATTGAAAGGCCTCAAAGCACGGCTGGGGACTGCATAGCCCAGAGTCGTCCCACAGGTGTGTGTGTGTGGATGCAGTGCTGCGTGCAGCTCCTTCCAGAGCCCAGTCTCGATGCCCAGCTCCCTCTGCCTTTGTTCCCCGTGGCCTTGGTCTTTCTCTCCTTTTCATCTGTCTCAGGCTTGGAGGAAGTATTTCCAGTGGCTCTGCTGCTGCGCTCTGGAGAGGGTGACTTCTAGAGTGGCTGGGCTTGGCTCTTGCCCCTCTGGGAATCTTCAGGGAGAGGGGACAGAAAGAAGAGGAAATGCCTGAGGCATAAGCAGGAAAGGTGTCAGGTGCCGTAGAGGCAGGGCTGCCAGGTGTACCCAGGACGCCCAGGTAAACTGGAATTGCAGATACACAATAATTGCTTAGTATGAGTGTGTCCCAAAGATTGCATGGGATATACTTATCCTATAATTGTTTTGTCTTCTCTCTGGAATTAGTGTTTTACTGGCTATGCTGTCTTATCTGCCAAATTTGGCAAGCCTGCATGGGGTGAGGGTGGGTGGGGAATCCGGAAGGCACCTCAGGGCAGCACGGGTGGCCAGCCTCTGCGTCCCTGCAGCGTGGCCATTATTCTGGTCCTCAGAGCCCTAATGAGCAGCTGAGCTTCCCCAGGTCTTTGCTGTGAGACAATGAGCCTTGGGAAACACGCACGTTTGCAAACCGCTGTAGGCCATAAAGTAATCAGACAGGCTGGCTGCCCTCCTGCCTTTGTTAATAAATACTTAAGACTGTGGTACTCACCTGGGGCCACCTCCGGGGAAAGGGCTCAGCTCCCACTGCCTTCAGCTTGGCTCCCCTTCCCCCTCCCTCCCCCCACCCTGTTGAGAGGGCTGAAGGCCTTCAGGATCCACCAGGGAGGCCTGGTGGGCAGAGCTGGGGTGGGAGGGGTCTGGGAGAAGGGGCAAGAGGGGTGGGATCGGCCTCGGCTTCATCCATGGGTGTGCATGGTGGGTGGGCACCTGCTGGGTGTTAGGCACTGGGGCCACAATGAGCTCCTGGACACAGGGACCTTGCCTGAGGAGAAGCCACTCCAGGTGCCCCAAGGACTGTGGGTTCAGGGATGGCTAAGCCGGGTGGCGGGGCGATGCTGCCCTAAAGACTCACTGCCAGGGGCAGGGGAATGCCCTGGTCTGAGCACCAAATGGACCATGGTCTGGGCAGCAGGTGTGTTAGGGGCTCTGTGTCAGGCTGCAGGGGGACCTGAATCCCAGCCCAGTCCCCACTGCCCTAATTGTGTGACCCTGGGCAAGTCAAACAGCCTCTTGATGCCTTAGTTTCCCCGTGTATAAGATGGGAGGAGTGATAATAACACCCGCCTCTCGGGATGCCCAGGAGGGTTAAATGAGAGAATACTTAGCACCAGGTAGTGTCTGCACCCGATGGCTCCCAGCAAATCACCTTCTTATGACAAAAGTCCTGCAGGTGAGGGGTCGGCAGTGAGATAGGACGCTGGGGGGAGGTGAGCAGGCCACACCCGGGGTGCTCATAGGCACAGTCTTCTGCCCATTCTATTGTCGCCACCACAGGCCTTCCTGTTGCCTACCTCATTCCCTCCTTGAGGGATCCTTGGATTAGAGTCTACTCAAGGAGCAGGAAGAGGAAGCCAGACCCCCTGCAGCAAGTTCACGAACATCCAGTCTTGGCCAGGTCGGCTGCGTCCTGACCCACCACCCTTGCTTGGTGCGATGCAGCAAGATAACGTGAGATCCTGCAGTGGAGATTCAAAGCTTAATTAAAACTGTAGATCACAAATATGAGACTCCAGGTTTAAGACAACCTGATCAAATTATCCTGGTACACTTCCATTTAAATCTGAATTTCTGTGATGGAAGAGAGTGGTTGGGGGGGCGGGGGGTGGGAGTGGGGACACCCAAGCAGATGAAAAACACTTATGACACTTCTTTTATGATGGGGCCTCGAGGAAGACTCTGGGCTGGCAGTGGAGAGGATATGGCACCCGCAGGCATAGGCAGAAGGGAGAGGGAGGCCTGGCCGTAGCCTGTCCTAGCCAGGCTTGACAGAGGCCAGGTCAGGGCTCTGCTCAGGGGTCAGCTGTACAGCAAGGACCATAATCTGCTGGCTCTAGGGCAGGCTCTGCCATTTTCTTGATTTGGGGATATTTGGAAGCCACAATGCTGACTTCTTTCAAGAACCCAGAGATGCTAGGGGACCCTGGGATTCCTTAAGAATCTTGAATGCCTGATGCTACCAGATTGTTAGTCCAAAGGGTAAAATTCCAGTAATGAGAAACATCCTTTTCAACGAGTTAAATGACAGCTAGGCCAGGGCCGGGGACGTGGAACTGGCATTACAATAATTACCTAATAGATTAACTTCATTGCAGCATTTTTGGCCTCACTCCTCCTCCCTGCCACTCTATTTTATAAAAAATTCTTTTCTCCCGGGGGCCCCCCCTCATCCTTCAGTAAGAGTCTCTTATCTGTGGTTTACAGGTTTCTTCATCCTTCCTGAGACATGACATTCTATTTTTTAAAAGCAACCCACAGCTATTGCAAGGCATGCAAAGCAGCCCGGCCCACAGGCCCACTCCTGGAAAGATGTGAGCCCTGCATCAGGGGTTCCCAGCCCTGGCCGATCCCCTGAGCCACCCGAGAGTTCATGAAAAGCACTGACTGTGAGCTCCACCCTAGAGTGTGGAGTCAGGGTCCCCAGGGGTGGGGTCTGTAAGTGTCACTTTGGAAATGCTGTCCAGGTGACCCTAAGGGACAGGAGGGCTTGAGAGCTAGTGGCAGCCAACACTGTTGGTGGGAAACATTACTCAGATACAGACAAGGTTTGAGACAAATGAAGGCAGGCCCGCTCAGAAGTTCTTAGACTGCTGCTGTGCCAGTCAGTAGGGGGAAGGGAGGAGCAACGTGGCTGTGATGTCTGTCCATCCATCTGTCCACCCATTCATCCTCCATATATTATCCATCTGCCCATCTATCCACCTATAATCCATCTATCTATCTTCTATCTACCATCCATCTATTATCCATCTGTCCATCTACCATTCATCCATCCACCATCTATCTGTAATCCACCTATCCATCCATCCATAATCCATCTGTCCATTCCTTCTCTACTATCCATCTGCCCATTCACCATCTGTCCGTAATTCATCTGTTCATATACCATCCATCTATAATTCATCTATCCATCCATCCATCTACTATCCATCTATAATCCACCTATCCATCTACCATCCATCTATTATCCATCTGTCCATTTGCCATTCATCCATCTACCATCCATAATCTACCTATCCATCCATCCATAATCCATCTGTCCATTCCTTCTCTACTATCCATCTGCCCATTCACCATCCATCCATAATTCATCTGTTCATATACCATCCATCTATAACTCATCTATCCATCCATCCATCTACCATCCATCTATAATCCACCTATCAATCTACCATCCATCTATTATCCATCTGTCCATTTGCCATTCATCCATCTACCATCTATCCATAATCTACCTATCCATCCATCCATAATCCATCTGTCCATTCCTTCTCTACTATCCATCTGCCCGTTCACCATCCATCCATAATTCATCTGTTCATACACCATCCATCTGTTATCCATCATCCATCGATTTTCTATCTTTCCATCCATCCAAACACTCTTAGATGTTGACCTTGGCCACCAGAATATCTTGCATCTGGTACAATGTTTGCAGCAGGCCCCGCTAAGTAACAGCAAATGGAATAAATGCACGTTAGCATTTATTTAATCTGCAGGTTTAATCTGCAGGTTGGCAGATTAAAGAAATCTACTGACATATACCCAAAGGAATTGAAAACAAGGACACAGATACTTGTATGCCAATGTTCACTGCATCATCATTCACCACACAATAGTGAAACAGCCCAAATGTCCGTCAACAGGTGAGTGGGCAAACAAAATGTAGTATATCCACACAATGGAATAGTGCGTAGCCATAGAAGGGAATGAAGCTCTGACAGTCTACAGCATGGATGAACCCTAAAAATGATGTGCTGAGTGAAAGAAGCCAGACACAAAAGGCCACACGTTGCATGATTCCACTTAGATGAAATAACTGGAATACAAATCCATACAGACAGAGGGTAGACGAGTGGTTGCCAGGGCTTGGGGGGAGTGGGGAGCTATTGTTTAATAGGAATGGAGTTTCTGTTTGGGGTGATAGAAAAGTTCTGGAAGTGGGTCATAGTCATGGGTGCACAACATTTGATATGTAATTAAGGCCACTGAATTGTACACTGAAAAATGGTTTGAAATGGCAAGGTTTTTTTTTTTTTCTTGCTATAGATGTTTCCACAATGAAAAAATCCCCTAAAACAAGAATAAAGAAACCTACCTGAGAGGCTAGTGGGGGTATTTCTCAAGGTGGGTGGGTTGAGGAGAAGGCAGATACCTAAGCATCTAGTGGGGAGGTAGCCCCCATCACCCCTCAGCACATCCTCACTGGGTCCGGAGCTCTGGGAGGTGGGGCGGCAGGGGTCTCGCTGACTCAGGTGCTTTCCACGGAGCAGGTCCTGGGGGTCTGGCCAGTTTGCCCTTGGTGGTGGTGAGTGGGACACAGGAATCTGGCTTATGGGCCAACCAGTCGCCTTCAGAGCGAAGGATTTTTTAAATGGGGGCGGAGCTGGGAAATTAGCCTTTTTTCACCATACAGGGCATGGGGGTCTCTTGAGTCTTCCCAGGCTCTCATGAGGAGGAATCACCTCTTTGGAATGTATCGAGGGTGCTGTGGGTGGGTGGCCCCCAGCACTGGAGAAACATTGAAGAAGGGGCATTACCCCCAGCTTTAGTTGTGGTGGGAGTCAGGGGAACCAGCAGAAGTTTGCCTACCAGTTGCATATCCCTTATCTGAAATGGTTGGGACCAGAAGTATTTCAGATTTTGGATTTTTTTTTTATTTTGGAATATTTGCTTTATACTTATCAGTTGAGTGTCTCAAACCTAAAAATCCAAGAACCAAAATGCTCCAGTGAGCATTTGCTTTGAGCATCATGTCAGTGCTCACAAAGTTTTAGATTTTGGAGCATTTTGGATTTTCAGATTTGAGATGCTCAGGCTGTGTGATAAAAGGAATCGGTTCTCTGTTCTCTCAGCACATGGACTTGCTTGTGGTATCGGTACTGAGTTTACAGCATAGTGTTGCTTAGTGGGGGCCTTGGATGTTTGCTTCCAAGACCAGATAAAGTCTTTGTACTCTAGATGTGTGTCACCCCAGCTTGGGGGCTGGCAGGGGTGAGGGAAAGGTGAGCCCGCACTCCTTCCAGCAGGCTATTGCTCTGGAAGATAAGAAGTACCCAGCGCAAGTACACGCAGTGTGACTGTCACTGGAGAGCGGGCACCCATGCTGTTCTGGGAGCATCCTAGAAGGGTTCCAGGAGACTTTACATCATTGATTTGGTCTGCAAACCATCTCTTAATAGACAGTGCAGAGGTAAAGGTCAGGCAGGTTCTTTTATATGAATTTCAAATTGATTTTCAAATTCTGAATGTGTTGAATTGGAAGAAAAGAGGGTTTTCTTTATTGATTTGACTTGGCTAGCCCTGGCTTGGAGAGCCTGGAGATGGAGTCCCAGCAAGGACTCTGTTAAAGATCGCTCTTCCCTGCCAGGAACTTGGCACGTAGCATCTCAGCAAATCCTTACGACAGCCCTAAGAGGTACGGACAAGGAGTCACCTAGTTTATTTATTTACTTATTCCCTTTATTTTTAGTTGACACATAATAGCTGTACATATTTATGGGATACAAAGCAATATTTTGATGCATATATACAGTGTGTAATGATCAAATCAGGGAAACCTGTCATTTATGGCAACATGGATGAATCTGGAGGACGTCATGTTAAATGAAATAAGCCAGGCACAGAAAGGTAAATCCTGGCTGGGTGCGGTGGCTCACGCCTGTAATCCCAGCACTTCGGAAGGCCAAGGCGGGCAGATCACTTAAGGTCAGGAGTTCAAGATCAGCCTGGCCAACATGGTAAAACCCCATCTCTACCAAAAAATACAAAAATTAGCTGGGCATAGTGGTGGGCACCTATAATCCCAGCTACTAGGGAGGCTGACTCAGGAGAATCGCTTGAACCTGGGAGCTGGAGGTTGCAGTGAGCCGAGATCACACCACTGCACTCCAGCCTGGGCGACAGAGTGAGACCCTGTCTCAAAAAAAAAAAAAAAAAAAAAGAAAGAAAGAAAGAAAAAAAATAGCACATGTTCTCACTCATACGTGGGAACTCAAAAGAGTTGAGCTCATGGAAGCAGAGAGGATTCTGAGGCTGGGAAGGAGAACGGGAAGAGGAAGATGGGAGGAAGTTGGTTAACAGACATGAAATTGCAGCTAGATAGGAGGAGTGAGTCCTCGGTTGCAGGGTGACTTCCATTAACAAGAATTTATTGTGACCTCATTTTACAAAGAAGAGAACAGAGGTGCACATGAACCAGGTAATTTGCTTAAGAACAAGTGAAGCAAATTGCTGGTGACTCTTGCCTTGCCGGATGGGGCTTGGACCTGTCCCATCAGGTGCCAGGGCCCAGCCATTGTAACTGCCTCGTGTCCCCTCTGGGGCAATGCTCGGCTGAAGGTGCTGGATGTCCCACAGAACGAATGAACCACAGATACTGGTTATGAACAGTGGCAAGCAAGGCTTCTGCCTCTGGGGTTGAGGGCAACCACAGTGCCCTAGGCCCACAGGCAGGTCAGCATCTTGGCTGGAGTGGCCTGGGTTGTTGGGGACCCAGCACAGCCTCATCTCCACTGGCTGATTCTGTCCATCATTGCAAGACTTTCCTCAAAGCATGGAAGGACTGGGGTTCTGGCGGTTTGGCTTTAGGATCTGCTGTGGACCTCAGCTCTTCCCCCGTCCCCTGGCCCACCCCAGGATGCACAGCACATGGATGGATGCGGTGCTGGGCCAAAGCTGGTCTTACCAGTTTTCCTGCATGCACCTGAGAGTCCCCCTGGAGCTGCAGGACCATGGTGATGAAGGACGGAGCTACTGAGGAAGGCTCTTTAGCGCTGGCCGCTTCTTACAGTGGATGAGTGGAGACCCCAGGCCCAGCCTGGTGAGGCTTAAATAGGGACTATGGCAAGACGTGCTTACGCAAAGGGAGGGCTCATTCATCATTCGTAATTGGTTGAATAACAAATGAAAGCTGATTAACAAGTAGAAGAAACATAGAGGGAGGTCTCTAGAGATGTGCCATAGGGCTCTATCAGCACCTTCTCCCTGTTCCTTGTGGCTGCTGATGTCTCGGATGGGGCGCAGGTGGCAGAGTTATTAAATCCGAGGATGACAGGGAGCTGGAAGGATTGGTGAGAGTGCTTCGTAGACAAGCTTAGGATCTAAATATATCTCGACAGTCAGAATGGTAGGGTGAAGCTAGCAAAATACAATTTAGTAGAACCCAAAATACTGGGGTCCAAATAGCCAAGCTCTCCAAGCCTGTGATGGTGAGACAGAGCTAGCTGGTTGCATGTATGACTTAGCAAGCTGTAGCGTGAGCCAGCAGTGTGACAGAGCTGCATCCAAAATGCAGAGTGGTCTTGGGTTGCATTCATAGAAGTATTGTCTGCAGAAGAAAGGAGGAGACCCTGCTCTACCCTTTCTCAGATAGGGCACTGCCAGGGTCTTATGTTAAGATCTTTATGCCCTACTTTAAAAGGACTTTGATTAATCAAGTAAGACTCCAAAATGAATTCTATTGCCAAAAAATAGATGTGCTAGGCTGGGCATGATGGCTCACACCTGTAACCCCAGCACTTTGGGAAGCCAAGGTGGGCGGATCAATTGCGGTCAGGGGTTCGAGACCAGCCTGACCAACATGGTGAAACCCCATCTTTACTAAAAATACAAAAAAATTATTGGGTGTGGTAGTGCATGCCTGTAATCTCAGCTACTTGGGAGGCTGAGGCAGGAGAATCGCTTGAACCTGGGAGGCAGAGGTTGCAGTGAGCTGAGATCATGCTGTTGCAGTCCAGCCTAGGCAACAGAGCGAGTCTCTGTCTCAAAAAAAAAAAAAAAAGATGTCCTAAATGTATTGTTTGCTTCTTAAAAAATATTTTCTATGCTTATAGTAAATAGTGTCTCTTTGCAAAAAGTAGAGAAAGCACAGAAGAGGGTAGAGATGGGAACAAAAATCAATCATAACCTTACCTTAATCTTCCCACCCAGAGATAACTACTTTAACATTTTGGTATATTTCCTAGCAGTCTTTTAAAAAAATACATATTTTAAAATAAAATTAGAATGATATTTATATATAGTCTGTACCCTGTTTTTACTTAATATGACAAGGTAAGCATCACTCTTTTTTTTTTTTTTTTTGAGACAGAGTCTCGCTCTGTTGCCCAGGCTGGAGAGCAGTGGTGTGATCTCTGCTCACTGCAACTCCGCCTCCCGGGTTCAAGCAATTCTCCTGCCTCAGCTCCCTGAATAGCTGGGACTACAGGCGTGTGCCAGCACGCCCGGCTAATTTTTGTATTTTTTAGTAAAGATGGGGTTTCACCATATTGGCCAGGCTGGTCTCGAACTCCTGACCTCGTGATCTGCCCACCTCAGCCTCCTAAAGTGCTGCGATTACAGGCGTGAGCCACCGAGCTTCTACCACAACCACACACTTCAGTGGCTGCTGACTAGTCTGTGGTGTGGATGTCCCCAAAATTCATAATTTGTTTCCTCTTTCCTGTACTGTCGGCTGTTTGGGTTGTTTCCAGTTTTTTTCTGCGTTATAAATAATCCTGTGATTAACTTCCTTGTACATAAATCTTGGTCTGCGCCTCTGATTATTTCTGTAGGATCAATTCCTAGAAGTAGAATTCCTGGGTCAAGGAATATAAATGTTCTTGAGGCTCCAGCACCGTTCTGCTAAGGCGTCCTCCAGGAAGGTTCGGCTCCTATTAAGATGTGCACACCAGCCCCCACCAGCCAGCAAGGCCAGCTCGGCCATTATCCCTAGATGCCACCTTCACCAAGGTAATAGGTGAGAATGTTGCCCCTTCAGGCAGGTTCCCACTACACCAGCTCCTGGTTTTCTTCCCAGCACGATTAATGCCATTTTGGGTTTGCTGCTATTGGGAACCTTGTCTGTTTCATCTGGCTCAAAGTGCATAGGGAAGGACTGTTCAATGAATGAAAGGAAGTCAAATGGGAGCTGCATGGCAAAAAGAGCCTGATGGTTTGGGCTTCGGGGAGAGCAGGATGGCTCAGGGCAAAGCCAGAAGCCACCTTGCCTGATTTAAATGCTGGTTCTTTCCTTAGCTGTGTGACCTTGGGTAAGGTACTGACCCCAAAGAAGCTGCAGGTCCTCCATCTGTTTTGGGGCTGAGTGTCACAGTGGGGAAGCAAAACCATGAAATGTGCAGGGTACTCAGCCTGGCATAGGGTACGTAGCATAGTTAGTGCTCACTTAATGGGAGACATTTTTCTTAGAATCATTATTCTTGTTGCTTTTGTCTATATGAAGAATGCTTTTATGACTCATGGGAGAACTTCCTCAACTCCATCCTCTGGTTTACCCAACAAATATTTATTAAATGCCAGCTCTGTGGGTGGAGAACATGTATTGCACAAGCAAATAGCGACAAGACGCCCTCAGACCTAGACTCCCGGCCAGTGGGGGATTCAGGCAAGGCACTGAAGATGGATTGGTTTAACTCCAAAGGAAAAGAATGTGCCAAGAAAAAAGAGCAAGAGAAGACCTATTCTACTCCTCTAGTATATGGAAAGGAAACTCATCTCACGAGTAATCAAACCTGTACCAATGTCAACAACGTAACACCTCTTTTCCCAGATTGTTAGCAAAGACTTAAAAAATGCTAACACACAATGCTGGGAAGGTTGTGGTGAAACAGGCACTCCTTTAAATCATGCCATGAAATCAAATGTGCTGTAGGCCAGAGAGAGAAACATGCTGAGAAGTGGCTGCCTTCATCTTCCCCCTAAGGGGCTGCTGAGGGCAGTGGGGCGTAGGGATCCTGCCCTTTCCTTGCAGACGGAAGCGAGGCGTTTCATTTCCTGCCTCACCAGGCCGCTGTCTCTGAAGGGACAGTCTGATCAATAGATGAGTCAGCCTCTGGCTTGTTCATCCTCTTCCTTCTCATTGAACATTCCTTAGAGATTCTTGTTTTTTTGTTTTTTTTTTTTCAAAGACCCGTTGGCTACCTGGCCCACATTTTAAAACATCCTTTTGTTGGTGGTTTTTGTGGGCTATTGATCCTGTTGGCTTGTTTTCTGAGATCCGCTTCATTTCAAATGTTCCTAAAGGGAACTTCAGGACAAACCAGGCCTTCTTGCTCCCCCCGCCCGCTCTGCTGCTGCGCAGGGGCCAGGCGGAGGCAGTGGGCGAGTGCTGGCTGGCACAGGGCCTCATCTCCAGGTTTTCATCTGAGCTGTGATTTCCCTAGGCAGGTGGGAGGCAGGCGTCCAGCAGAGCCGTGCTCTGCAGAGGGGAAAAAATCCCAGCACAGCTCTGTCGAGTCTTTCCTGCTGGATTCCTGGGGTGGGTACGAGCCCCTTACCTGGGCCCCGTGGACTCATTGATCATCATGTCATTAGGGTCCCTGCTCCTTTTATCTGGAGCTGGGAGGAGAAGGTTGTATGTGGCAGGCAGCAGGGTTCTGGCCCCTACCCCGATTCCCTTATCTCCAGCCGGGGCCGGGGCCCACCCTCCATGGACTTTCTCTGGCGCCCCCAGACACCGAAGCGGCAGCAGCAACAGCCCGGGTGGTACTTCGTGCTGGATGTGTATTTTCAGAAGCTGCGGGGGACGTCATGTGTATAAAATTAGCATTGCCTTGTTGGCCCCTTTCAGACTAATTCGGAGTGAAATGTTTTAGCAATGGTGGGCTGATTCTATCAGGAGAACAAGAACTAATTAAATTCCCTCTGACCATCAAGCAGTAAATTATTTATATCCAGACAGATGCAATCTAATCTCTAGCATCCAGCGAAACCCAACATGCATGCTACTTGATTTTTCAAGGGGAGAGGAAGAAAAAAAGACAAGGCTCAAGTACTCAAGAGAGGAGATGGACGGCGGAGAGAGCCACAGGACTCTGGCCCTAGAGGCACTCAGCTCCGTGTGTGGATGGGGAAGCCGCCGACTCGGGTGAGGGCTCAGGACTTCCATTCCCGGTTCCCAGTAGTCTCAGCCGGCATGCTATTCCTTGCAGGCAGGAATAAAGAAAAAAGGAGTCCACGAACCATTCTACAAGGCTTTGTTTAACACAATCTCAGCTGTTTAGGGGGAGAATTAATTTCACTAATGAATTTGCTAATGCATGTCACAGACGTACTGGTCTGCCCCTTTTGGTGGCCTTTGGTGGCTGCTGAGTGGCTGCCAGCTTGCATTTTGGAATGGAGTGATTAGCTTGTCCCCATGAGGTGAGCTGTGTGGGCCGCTGCCCATCTCTTCTGCTGCCCACCCAGCAGTGGGACTCATAGCACCATGCATGGGAAGCCCAATGTCCCTCCCCCTGATGCCAGGGATGACATCTTTGCTGGGCGTTCCTGCCCGTCCCCACCAGACACAGGTGTGGACGGGAGCCTGAGCCTGCTTTGGGTCTAAGTCCCTACCCTCATGTGCCCCTCTCTTGGGAAGAGGTGAGGGCTGCCCTCAGGACGCTGGTTGCTGCTCTGTGACTCGGGCCGGGATGAAGGGAGGGCTCCTTTTGCAGAGTTTGCTGTGAGGACACCTGCTTCAGTGCCCAGCTGGGTGGTGCTTGCCTCGAGGGGTCTGCATACACTGGGCACTCACTGCTGTCACCAACACGCACCGCTTTTCAGTTTCAGCGGTGACATCGGCTGATGGAAAGGCGCTGACCCAGTGGCCTCGTGGAGCTGGGGTGTGGGGTCAGCCTCGTTCGTGTGTCTCTGGGGACTCCTGAGTTTGGCGACCCTTGCTCTCTGTCATCTGAATCTGCAGTGGTGGTCTCTGCTCACCCTTAATCCTTGGGGGTGACTGGAGCAGAGGGAGGTCTAGGATTTGGAGAGCCTGGGGAAGGGCTGACTGTCCAGCGTTTCTTCCTGGAAGCTGGGCTTGCCGGCTGCTCAGCCCTGGCAAGGCTGGGCTCTATTTCTGGCACCCCTGACACTCCCTTTGAACCCTTGGAGCACGGTGGTGAACTTAAGCCCCCAGGGGCATACATGGTAGTGACTTTTTTAAAATGGCAAAAGGACCCTTTGCAAAGCAGTCACCTTACTAAGTTCTAAGCATCTGTTCCAAATCTCTAAAGATTTTGAGACTCCTCTTTTGGACTCACTGTAGTGCAAGGTCTATTTGTTTGAATTGTGAACACATCCTCCTTTGAGGGTGCAGCTGATTGTGGGAGAGGCCAGGCGCCCCCAGCTCTGTCTGGTGGGGAGCCTGGCCCATAGAGTTGGCTGGGGTCCAAATGCTGGCTTCACTTCTTATTACACACGTGGTCTTGGACAAGTTATTGAATCCCCATGAGCTTCCGTTTCCCCAACTGTGAAATGGGACCAAGCATCCTTCCTACCCCCTGGGGCAGCTGAGAAAAGGAGAGGACGCAGGTGAAGTCCTCCGCATGCCACCCAGTGACAGGCTGAAGCTCGGGAAGCACCTGCAGCTGCAGCTCTCGCGCTGGCCGTGCTGTCATGGGTGGGGAAGTGGGTGGGGGCATCTGTGGATGGAGACTGAACGGCTTCCCGCCACGAGTGTTCTGGCTGTGGTGAGGTGAGGTTGCTGTGACAGCACTGGCTGGCAGGCTTAGATGTGGGGAGTTGGTGCTGGAACATAAGTCACTGAACCCCATGATCCCTGGAGTGCGTATTCTTCAATGTTCCTGGACACGCCATGGTCGGGTGGGCAGTAGCTGCTCATTAGGTGCCCACCGTCCTGGTAAACATAAAAATGAAATTGCTGTTTCTTGAGTACCTGTTCTGACTGGTCCTGAGGCTACAGTCAAGGAGAAGTAAAGTGGTTGCCCTCTCACACCTTCCGCCAGCAGGACAGGGAGGGCACTTCATTTGCAGTGGGATGGCGAATGAAGCATGAATACCTGCATGGGTTCTCTGCTCTGCAGTTCGCAAAGTATCCCTGTGTATGTGAGAGCTGGGCATTCTTAGGCTTTTCGGGTCTCCCTCAGCCTTTCCCTGTGCTTTGCTCTGGCTCGGTGACCACCCAGCAACCATTTCAGCCCAGTCACTTCTACACTCAGTCTTTTGGGGCTGGGATGGAGATTGACGGTGGGTGGGGGAGGCTGTTACTTTGGACCTGATTTTCTAGGAGTTGCTGAAGATGCAACGGGGTGTCACAAGATCCATCCACCCACCACCCACCCACCCACCTATTCATCCACCCACCCATTCATTCATCCATACACCCACCCACCCATCCTTCCACCCATCCACTGTTCACCATCCACCCATCCATCTATCCACCCATTCATTCACCACCGACCATCCACCTACCCACCCACCCATCTATTCATCCACTCACCCACCCACCCATCCACCTACCCACCATCCACTATTCACCATCTACCCATCCATCCATCCACCCATTCATTCACCACCTAACATCCACCCACCCATCTGTTCATCCATCCACCCACCTACCCATCCATCCACTATTCACCATCCACCCATCCATCCATCTACCCATTCATTCACCCATCCATCCACCACCCATCATCCACCCATCCATCCACCCACCGACCCACTCATCCATCCACCCACCCACCCATCCATCCACCCATCCACTATTCACCATCCACCCATCCATCCATCTACCTATTCACTCATCACTCTCCATCCACCCCCCCACCCACTCACCCATCTGTCCACCCACCATTCATCTATCCACCCATCCACCTATTCACCATCCACTATCCACCCATACAAAATCCACCACCTACCCATCCATCATGCAGTATCCATCAGTCACCATCCACCTACCCATCTACTATCCACCCATCCACCACCCACCACTTACCATTCACCCATTCACTTATCCACCCATCCATCCAATCATCCATCCCATCCACCCATTCACTATCCACCATCCACCTCAACTGCCACTCACCTATCTACCATCCACCACCCACTCACCACCCACCATGACCCACCATTTGCCATCTACCCATCCATCCATTCTATAAATAATTAGTAAGCACTTAATGCATGCTAGGTATTATTTTAGGCACCAGTAAGACAATCATGGGAAAAAAAGACAGACAACCCCCGCCCCTCCCATCCTCAGGGAGCTCTATTCCAGTGAGAACAATTAATGTGCTAGATTGTGAGGTCATCAGTGCTGCTGCCCGTGTAAGACTGAGGTTCCCAGGCCCGAGACCAGCCTGGCCAGGGCTCCCAGGGTCTCCTGGTGGGGACTCTCAGGAGTCCAGCTGCTGCCCCTCAGCTGAGCACCTGGCATGGACAATGCCTGGTAAATGCTTGCTATGTGAGGGCACCTGCCCACGTTGAATCCACACAGCCTCTGGGCCACAGGGGTCCTGCTCCTTAGCAAGCCTCTCTGTGCCCTCCATGCTGGCCCTGCATCCCCTGGCACACCCCCCACCATTGTCAATGTCCTTCTTGTGCAGCTGGCCTCGGTCCCTCCTCTCTCCCTCCTGCTCCCCGCAGGCCCACGCAGCCTCCGCGCACTGTGGGTGGTGAGAATATGTGGTTAACAGGTTGACTAACCCAATCCCCGCAAGGCAGGGGAAGGCTGCTCCAGTAAATTTCCAAATGTGTCCGGGCTGACAATTTTGGTTTCCTCTCAAGCAGTGAGTGCATGGAGCCCGGCCGGGAGGGAAGTGTTCAGGGGCCCGAAGCCACCTTGGAGGGCTGGTCCTGACTGTGGTCTTGCCTCCCTCCTGGGCAGCCGGGAAGTGTGGGCCCTGGTGTTTCTGCTTTGGAAGATCCTCCCCATCCGCCAGCACCCTGGGGCCCTCAGCCCCGCCCCTCAGCTGCCCCCAGCCGGTCTCTGCGCCTGGACCCTCCGGACGGTTCCCTGCTGTCTGCCAGTCACCAGACACTGGGTTGGCTCTCATGCACACAGGGCGGGAGATCCTGGCTCTCACTCTCTCTGTGTTAGCAAATATTTTTCTGAACTCCAATTTTCCTTCCTGCTCCTGCGCCAGGCCCCTCAGAGCAAAGGCGGCCACCCAGGTAGATCCCTGGGCCTGGGCCACGTGGCCCTCTCAGCTCCTCTGAGGGTATGTCTTTCCTGCCCCCAAACAGTGAACAAAACACAAATCACCCTCCCCGTGTGACATCACAAGCTGGTCTGCGATGGACCTCGTGATGATCTGAGTCTGTCCCCTCTCCCTGCTTCCTGGGTTTCCTCGGCTCAGAAAATAGCAGTTTCAGGCTGCTTTTTTCTCCTCTTAGATTTGAGTGTTTGTAATTTTTCTTCAAGCTGAATCTCAATTTACTTGGGAGCTACTTATCTTCCCTCCAGGTCTCCTCTGTCTCCCGGCCGTCCCCTTGCCCCAGCAAACAACCGCAGCGCCACCCCCTGCGTCCTCGGCAGGTTTTGCTCGTGACCTGTCTGTTGTCTTCCAGATCATTAGCTTGGATATTAAACAAAACTGGGGCCTTGCAGTGGCCCAGGAGGCCTCCCACGAGATGCCCCCGCCTGCCCGATACGCTGACATCTGCCGTTAGCCTTTGTTTATGGCTGTCCAGCCTCCCTCAGCCTGTGCCTGTGTTGATACCAGAGCCAATCTAGTCCAATTTCACACAGAACATTTCTTCAGACTCGTTTCTTCGGCCTCACCAACAGCCGCTAATTTGGTGGCACCTATGAAAATGGGCTGGGGATCCGCAGCTGTCACTTGGTCCTTGCCACTCTTCCCCCCTTTCCCCCCACCACCGCCGGGCTCCCACGGCCCCAGACGTGGTCTCTTTGGAAATGTTCCATCATCTCAGAGACTGCAGCTGTGGGATGGGGGCTTGGCTGTGAGTAGACTGGACTTGGGTTTTCTCGGGGTTTGGAGGGTGGCCCTTGTTGGCTTCTCCATGGCTGGGTGGGTGGGCAGGGGTAACAGACCAGATAGAGACTAACAGTCCAGGGCCTGGGGCCACACTGCCTGGATTGGAATTCCAGGCTACCTGCTCATTCTCTGGGCAATTTCTTTCCTTTCCTTTCCTTTTTTTTTTTTTTTTTTTTTTTTGAGACAGTGTCTCACTCTGTCACCCAGGCTGGAGTGCAGTGGTGCGACCTCGGCTCATTGCAACCTCTGCCTCCTGCTTCAGCCTCCCGAGTAGCTGGGATTACAGGTGTCCACCACCATGCCTGGCTAATTTTTATATTTTTTGGTAAAGATGGAGTTTCACCATGTTGCCCAGGCTGGTCTTGAACTCCTGACCTCAAATGATCCACCATCCTCGGCCTCCCAAAGTGCTGGAATTATAGGCATGAGCCACCATGACTAGCCTTGTCAGTTTCTCAGTAGAGTTCTTTGGGGACCATGGAGACAGACGTGGAAAGCCCTGAGCACCAGCTGGACACAGGGTGAACCCCTGGGCAGCAGCAACCCCTGCTAGTGAGGAGTCCTTGATTCTGTCCCCTTCCCCACGCTCCCCTTCGGTGGACTCTGTGCCTCCAGAAAGTCCCTCCCTTCCTAGGAATTTTGCCATCTCAAGACGTTGATAGATGTGCTGCCTTCTCAGATATTTGCTTATTTTGCCTTTTGCCAGTAAATATTTTGCCCGTCTTTTCTTCCTAGTTCATATATTTTCATTACTGACAAAGTTATTAAATTAGTTCGAGTCTTTTAAGTAGCCGTTAATTTCACATCAGCCCTAATTTGTGTACTTGATTTCCTCTCCCCACCCACTCTGGATGTGGTTACAGCTCCTCCTCCTGTCGCTCATTTGTGTTAAAATCAACACTTCCTCCCCAACAGCTCCCTGTAAGCCTTCCTGTGGGCGGCCTGGGCAGAGCTACCTCCATCAACCCTGTTTCCAGCATGGTCTGTCCCCTCCTCGGCCCTTCAAATGCTTTACGGAGCCACACGGGCACTCCTCCTCCTGCCACCGAATGGAACTGCTGTCTATTTTGCCTTATGTCCTGACGTCCCCTTCCTGTATTCATTTCTTTGGGTTCCCAGGACCTAAGCCAGTGCCCTGCCCAGAGTAAGTGCTCACTGGTGTTTGAGGGGTCAGCAGGGAGGGAGGAGTGGAGACCAGCTTGGTTTGGAAAACTTGGTCTTCTCTAGGCCTGGCTGGTAGCAGGTGTGAGACCTTGGGTAAACTGCTCTCCTGATCCTGGTCTTTGCTTCCCCGTCTGTAAAGTGGAGGAATTGCGTCTGGATGATTGCAAGTATGCTTTCCCGCTCTGACATTCTAGAATCTTCCATTTCTTTTGCTCTGTGGGCATTGATTCATCTTTCCAATGGGGCCTGTCTTCACTGTATGGTATTGGGTTTTGGTGACATTGTTGTAGTTGGAGTTCTGGGATAATGTAATTGTTGTCATTGTTGCCAACACCATTGCTGCTGCCACTGCCTTCTACCACCACCATCACCACTATCATCATCATCACCACCGTTACCATCACCACCATCATTACTATCATCATCGTCACCATCACCACCGTCATCACCATCACTGCCATTATCACCATTACCATCGCCATCACCACCACCACTACTATCATAATCACCATCACTGCCATCATCACCATTGCCACCACTATCACCACCATCACCACCATCATGACTATCATCACCATCACCACCACCACCACCACCATCACTGACATAATCACCATTACCACCACCACCGCCATCACCACCATTATCATTGTCATCATCATCATCACTACCACCACAACTACCATCATCACCACCATCACCACCACCACAACTACCATCACCACCACCATCACCACCACCACCACCACTGTCATCACCACCATTATCATTGTCATCATCATCATCACTACCACCACAACTACCATCATCACCACCATCACCACCACCACAACTACCATCATCACCACCATCACCACCACCACAACTACCATCATCACCACCATCACCACCACCACAACTACCATCATCACCACCATCACCACCACCACAACTACCATCATCACCACCATCACCACCACTACCACCACCACCATGGCCATCACTATCACCACTTCCCGAGTGCTTACCATGGGCCAGGCATTGTGCTGGGTATGTGATAGCTATCACCCATGTGATTTTTACAGTCATCCATTGGGGATATGGATACTCTTCTCCCTATTTCACAGGTGAAACATCTGAGGCACAGAGAAACTATTTGCCTTGGGTCCCACAGCTAGTGGTGGCAGATCTGATTCCAACTCAAGTCTGCCTGACACTCAAGCCTGTGTTCTGGCTGCCCTGCCCTGTGGACCCTCTTTGTTCCCCTCAGGCTGGTTTCCTTTGCTTTTTGTGACTGTACATTTTAGCTGTTCATGAGGCTGAGTTCTGTCCGTTGATGTTCTATGGTTTGGAGAAGTCTTTAGCTTCTCTAAGCCCGGGTCTTCTATTCCATAAAAGAGGGAGAGGAAACCCCACCTCATGGTGGTGTCTGAGGATTAAAAAAGTTATGCTCATCAGAACCTAACACAGAGCCTGGAATAGAATTAATATTCAAATATTGGTTTTAGAGTTATAATGATTGTATATTACATCAAAATTACTATCCACCCTGTAATTTTTCCCACAAATGTATATTGAAAACCTTCCATGTGTGAGACCCTGTGTTAGGTGCTAGACATCCAGAACTGAGCAGGACGTGGTCCCCACCTCCTAGGAGCCCAGCCTGCTGGGGAAGGCAAAGTGGAAACAGCACAGCACAATGAAGTCAGGCTCACAGCGGGGTGCGAAGCACCCACGAAGAAAGGGCCAGCAGGGCCAGGTCGGGGGTGACTGTGAGTGAAGATGGAGAGGGCCAGGTGAGGGGTGACTGTGAGTGAAGATGGAGAGGGCCAGGTGAGGGGTGACTGTGAGTGAGGATGGAGAGGGCCAGGTGAGGGGTGACTGTGAGTGAGGATGGAGAGGGCCAGGTGAGGGGTGACTGTGAGTGAGGATGGAGAGGGCCAGGTGAGGGGTGACTGTGAGTGAGGATGGAGAGGATGCACAGCCTTAAATTCACAGCCAATAAAAATGAGAGAACAAAAGTAACTCAGTTAAGCTTATGATTCAAAAAAGTTAGAAAAAGGACAAAAAATAATGCACTGAAGAAAAGTAGAAGGAAGCCATTAATGAACTAATATAATAATAATGGGCCACAAAATAGAAAAATGGGACTAGTAAATAAAAGCTGTTTTCTGGAAAAAGTTAGATGAACCACTAACAAACATAGTCAAGGTTAGAAGTCAAGAAAGCAGCCAGGCACAGTGGCTCACGCCTGTAATCCCAGCATTTTGGGAGGCCGAGGCGGGTGGATTGCCTGAGGTTGGGAATTTGAGACCAATCTGGCCAACGTGGTGAAACCCTATCTCTACTAAAAATACAAAAATTAGCCAGGATGTGGTGGTGGGTGCCTATAATCCCAGCTACTTGGGAGGCTGAGGCAGGAGAATCGCTTGCACCCAGGAGGCAGAGGTTGTGGTGAGCCAAGATCGCACCACTGCACTCCAGCCTGGGCAACAGAGAGAGAGAGAGAGAGACTCTGTCTCAAAAACGAAAACAAACAAACAAAAAAACCCCAAGAAAACCCAAGGAACACATAATGAGGAATAATAAGGGAGAAATATAATTTACCAAACTGATCAATTTGTATGGAAGATAGAAAGTTTCTAAGCTACTCTCACACAAAGCTTGTGGTCTGAATGGTTCCACAGGGGAATTTGAACAAAACCTTTAAAGAGCAGGTGCTTCCAATGCTAATTAAAGTGTTCCACAGCAAAGATAAAGAAGAAAAAGTCTAAGTAATTTTCCTAAAGTGAGAATAAAATTTTTTTTACCTGACAAATATTGTACAAAAATAAAACTACAGGCCAGTCTCACTTATAAATATCAATGCAAAAATTTAAATAACAGATTACCAAATAGGATCCAAGCATCATCTTAAAATAATAATACCCTGTGTTTACTTGGAGTTTATTCTAGCAATGCAAGAATGGTTTAATAGGAAGAAATCTGTTTATATAATGCATCATATTAATATAAAGAGAATTAACACACGATTATCTTTTTTAACACTGAAAAAGCATTAACAAAATTCAGCATCCATTCTTGATAAACATTCAGCAAAACATAAATTGATACTTTCTTAACGTGACTGTAATCATATTCAAAACTCATTTTTTTCTTAATGTGGAAACACTGAAGTTAAGAAAAAAGCAAGGATGCCTACTCTTGCTACTACTATTTCATATTGTAGCAGAAGCATTAGCCAATGCAATCAGACAAGAAAAGAAATGAGAAGAATAAATATTGGAAAGGAGGGGCTAAAAGTATTACCCTTTTTTAGATGATATAATTGTATACTTGGAAAATCCTAGAGAATCCATGAAAAACTACTACAACCAACAAGGTAATCCTATGTATGCATGTATGCATGTCCATATGTATATATGTATCTGTCTTACAACAGTAATATAATGGGAGAAAAGGCCCCTATTTATGATAACAAAAATAAAATATCTAGGAATAAACTTAACAAGAAATGTGCAAAATGCATGTGCAAAAAACTTAAGAATCCTGAAGAACATTTTTTACACCTCGATAAACTCCAAATGGAGCCAAGCCTTAAAGTCAGCAAATATTTCTTGAATTACAATGGAATCATTATAATTCAAGAAATATTTGCTGACTTGAGCGCTTTCCATACACCAGGCCCTGTTCAGGCCCTGGTGATACAACAGTGAACAAAACAGATAGAAATTCCTTCCCCACTGGAGCTTGCATTCTAGGTGGGAAACGAATAAGAAAATTGTGTTGTAACTTAGATAATGATATTCTTATGGCAAATTATGCTGCTGGGAGAGGAGTCAGGGTGAGGTTGCAGTGTGAAGAGTGGGGGCCATGAAAGGCTTTGCTGATGTGTGATGTTTAAGCCATTATTTTAAGTCATTTATTGTTTAACTTTTCATGTGTTTATTTTGCAACCTAAACTAGCTCAGAAGCTCCCTGCATTTTCCATAGCATACAGGCCTATAGTAAGGTTTCAATACATTAATTTGTTTAAATTATCAAATTTTGAAGATTTGAATTTTTCTTTTACTATGCCATATTCTCTGTATTTAATCTTGGTCTTCTAGGGTCTTTCCATTCTGCTACCCACAAAACCTTGTTTTTCTGGAATGGAAAGCCTCCAAAACTCTTATTGTTCAAAATATTGTCCTTGGACCAACGTCAGCATCATGTAAGGGCTTATTAGAAATACAAATGTTTGAGTCCTCCCCTATGCCTACTGAATTTTAGGATCTGCATTTTAAACAAAATTTTTGGGTGCTTTGTATGCATATTATATTAGTCCATTTGCATTGCTCTAAAGGAATACTCGAGGCTGAGTAATTTATAAAGAACAGAGGTTTATTTGGCCATGAGCAGGCTGTACATGAAGCGTAGTGTTGGCATCTGTTTCTAGTGAGGGCTGCAAGAAGCTTACAATCACAGCGGAAGGTGAAGGGGAGCCAGAGTGTCACATGGTGAGAGAGGAAGCAAGACCATGAGGAGAAAGTTCCAGGCTCTTTTAAACAGCCACATCTCATGTGAACTCACAGAGCAAGAACTCACTTGTTACCAGGAGGTTGGCACCAAGCCATTCATGAGGGATCCGCCCCCATGACCCAAATGGAGGATGGCACCAAGACGTTCATGAGGGATCCACCTACCTATCTATCCACCTTCCATCTGCCCATCCATCCACCCACCCACCCGTCCATCCATCCACCCATCCACCTACCCGTCCATCCACCCACCCGTCCATCCACCCATCTTTTCATCCATCTACCTATTCAACCAGGCATCCATCCACCGACCCATCTATCCACCCATCCATCCACTTATTCCACCAGGCCCCACCTCCAACATTGGGGATTGCATTTCAACATGAGATTTGGAGGGGACAAATATCCAAATTATACTACATGTTAAAGTTGAAAAGCATTTTCCTAGCCCCTGGCTTTGCAAGTTCCCTTCTTGTTCAGCAGAAACCAGGGGCTGGGGGAGAGGGGAATCGCCCTGCTCATGTTGGTGTCAGCTTCTCACAGAGTCATCTCTTCTAACTGGCCTTGCATAGCCTGGATTCCCAAGGGCCTCCCAGGAAGTACCAGCAAGGTGTGTTGAAAAACTCTAGAACTGTTCTGTTCAATGCAGCAACTACTAGTTGCATGCGACTATTTAAATAAAATTTCTTTTGTTCAGATATACTAGTTACATTTCAAGTGTTCAGTAGCCACATGGGGCTAGCGGCTACCACACTGGACAGTGCAGGTATAAAGCATTCTTGTCCTCACAGAAAGTTCTATTGGATGGCACTGATGTAGAATATACCAAGTCCTAGATTTTGAGAATTTTTGAATTGCAAAGTCAAATTATTTCTGTCCATTTGCTTCCATTTATTTCAACAGAGTATCATCCAGCTGTCTGTCCATAAATCAACCCACTCACTGACCATCCATCCATCCACCCACCCACGCATTCATCCACACAGCCACCTATCCGCTTATCCATTCTTCCATCCACTCATCCATCCTTCCATCCACTCATCCATCTACCCATCCACCTACCTATCCATCCGTCTTTTAATCCATCTATTCTTCCATCTGCCCACCCATCTATCCACCCATCATCTGTCCACTCATCCATCTATTCATCCACTTAGTCATTTTGTCATTCCGTCATTCCGTAAATGATTATAGCATGTAGTGGTACTTTGAAAAATACTTATTAAATAAACCATAGAATGGTCTATGTGTCCTCCATCCCAGGCTTGGGTACTAGACGTGTGTGTGTGATGTACTTCCTTACCATGAGCTTGTGGACCTGCATCTGGACTTTCTCCCTGATGTCTGGGCCCCCTTTTACTGTACCAGTTTAGCCTTCCTTGCACCGTAATCTCTCAATTCCATGATTTCTCCTGCCTGAGCTGGTTAATACACTGGCTCCCATGGAACAGGTCTGGCTTCATGGAGCTGCCCCTTTTACATCAAAGCTACATAAGCTTTGAGGGTGATGCCCCTGGGAGCTGGGATGCCCTCGGGCCCTCTTGTTTCCCTGGGCTCAGTGCTCTTTTTCCCCAAGTCCCTGTGTTCCTGCCTGACCTCTCCTATTTGTGTTCAGGTTCACAGGCCTGACAGGGCCCTGGCTGGGGAAGTTGTCCCGGTGTAGACCTCAGAAAATGGAGGAAGATGGTCCCAACAGGGAGCAATTGACTCAGGGATGCGTGAGAGCTCTGGATGGTGCCCGGCACGGCTGGTCAGCATGCCCACGTCCTGCCCTACAAGTTAGCTGTCCACGTTTTTTTTTGGTGTGTGTGGTCTTCCCAGAACATGAAGGTTTTTTAGGTAAACTGCTTCATCCATCATATCACTAAAGCCTGGAGTTTTCTCACTTTTTATGACGATTCGACATTCTTGATTGAACGTTAGCTCTGACCAGGCTGAGGCCTGTGACCACAGCTGCTGAGCCCTCTCCATTGTGATATTTGGCCCCATGGTGACAGTCAGATTCCTTTCCCAGAGGGACAGGGCATGAGGCTCACACTGGGGAGCAGCACCTGCTGTGCCTTCCTTTGTCTCCTTCCCCAGTGCCCACAGGAAGGCCTCAGGCCTGCCCCACTGAGGGCCCCCATCATCCTGGGTGTCCCCAGAGCCCCGCTTTGGGTGGGAGGCTGGAATCACCACCCCACTTTGACACAGACACAAATCATTGTTATGATCCTTAAAGATGTTTTTGGTTCTCTAACCCTGGTATCAGATTCACTTGCTCTCACGTCTCTGCAGAAACATTAGCTTTGCCGCCTCAAAGCTGCAGTTGGCTCTAATTACTATGGAGCTGCATCCCTCTCCCTGTCTCTAGTGGAAAAAGGGAGGCCATCTGCTCATTCCTGGGGTTGTGCCGGACGGATGAGCCCCAGAGGAGTGGGCTGGGACCAGCCAGGGGGCGGAGCTTCTCTGCTGTAGGCTCCTACCTGCAGGCTGAGCCCCGCCAACCTCCCTTAGGACTTCAAAGTAAGGCCAGCTTGTGCCTGGCAGAGCCCAGAGAGACTCATGAAAATCTTGAGGCTGTGTGGCTGTCACTTGCTGGCAAGGCTTTCCCTAGCCTTCCTGGAAGGGCAGACAAAGCCTGGCCTGGTTATAACTGGTGTTTGCTCTGCCCTGGGGACAAGGGACCTTGGTCAGTGCATCTGCCCATCCCGAGCCTCAGTTTCTTCATCTGCAAACTAGTGACCACAATTCCACCACCTCACAGCCTGGAGAAGAGGAAGGCATGAGATTATGCCAGCAAAGTGCCTTACAGTCAATATGGATTTGTTACTGCAACAATTACCATGGTATCTAGCGAGGGAGTGATGGCACTTGCTAGCTTGCAGGCTTTTTATGAGGATAAAATAAAATGCCACAAGGTAGCTGTCATATATTCATTCTGCAGGTATTTTTCGAGCACTTGTATGCCGGGTCCTGAAGCAGGCACTGGGGCTACAGCAGTACATGCAACGCATGCCCAAGGACACGCACACCCCTGTAGAGATGGTAGCAGGCTGTTCTCCACTTAGTGAGTGTCTTGTGGCAGTGGGCTGCATTGCCTGGACAGGCTGGAATGTCCCCTGATTTACAGCTGGAGAAACTGAGGCCTGAGCTGGGCCCCTCTCCAGCATCTGATGCTGCCTCAAGAGCTGCACTTCTCGGACCTCCTGAGACAGCCTCTTAGTTCATACCACCATCCTGGGCACAGCTGCGCTTCCTGCAGAAATAAAGTGCACAGGCTTTGGGGGTGGTGGCAGCCGTGCCACGGGGCTGCCAGGCCCTTTGGAGAAGATGGGGGCTGCTGTCCTCCCCACAGGCAGGACGCTGACTTGGACCTCCGAGCCTCGGGAGTCACAGATGCAAGCCAGCCCTTCTGTTCCAGGAGCACATGGGTGAGGTGGGGGTGTGTCCAGAGAGGGCAGCCTCAGGCCCGAGACCCCAGTGCTCTGGTGGCCTCTGAAACTCTGCTGTGAGCCAGGCTGGGCCCTCCTGGGTGGACTCCGGGAGCGGAGCAGGAGCTGGGGGCACCAGGAGCTGTGCCCGCCCCTACCTGCCGCCCTTTCTTTAAGGGAGGCACAGCCCGTGCCGCACTGGGCGAGGTTCCCAGGTAGAAGACACTAGACCTGAGTGGAAACTCTGCCTGGGAACTTGATTTTTCCATAATATTTGAGGAAATGGGTGGAGACAGGAAAAGAAATGTTCAGAGTAGTCCAGGATAGGGTGAGGAGGGAAGCTGGTCCTCTCCCAGGAGGTCAGGGGATGGCCAGCCCTCGGCAGGGCCTCCATCAGATGAACCCACTGGCTGCTCAGCCCACTGAAGGGCTGGAGGTCCGAGTCCTTCACTGGGGTGCCGGGATGTTGGCTAAGGCTGTGAATCGGTGTGGGTGCGAGTACAGCCCAGGTACCCAACCCAAGCCTTGTCCAGGGAGAGGGGCTGTGGTGTGGCCCCTGCCTGCTGCCCCCTAAAGTCCCGCGTCCTCCCCCAGCCTGCTCCACTGGTCTCCGCAGGTGCTGGACGGCAGCCCCTGGACTGGGTGTGGTACATGCTGTGGTCTCTTCTCCCCAGTGGATGTTCCCCGAAAGTGAAGCACACACAATTCTCATGTGTGCTGGGGGTGTGTGTTTGTTTGGGTGAGTGGACTCAGCTCCAGTTCTGAGGAGAGAGGGTTCAGGAGGGCTTGTCTGGGGATTTGGCTCCTGAAGTTCCTATTCTTGGTCTCTTTGTCCCTTCCACAAGCAACAGTTTTTTTGTTTTTGTTTTTGTTTCGAGATGGAGTCTTGCTCAGTCACCCAGGCTGGAGTGCTGTGGTGCAATCTTGGCTCACTGCAACCTCCGCCTCTGGGATTCAAGCAATTCTCCTGCCTCGGCCTCCCGAGTAGCTGGGATTACAGGCGTGCGCCACCATGCCACCACGCCTGGCTAATTTTTGTAGTTTTAGTAGAGACGGAGTTTCACCGTGTTGGTCAGGCTGGTCTCAAACTCTTGACCTCGTGATCCACCTGCCTCGGCCTCCAAAAGTGGCGTGAGTGATTTTTTAATAGAAAAGTGAACGCTTGGGAGTTGGCTTGAAAGATGCTTTTATCTCTGAACCCCAGGGCAGACTCAGGTGCCCCAAGGTAATTGTTCACCTGCCAGGCTCCCTAGGGCTCCTTGTCCAGCCCTGGATGGAAGGGTCAGGCTCAGACCCACCTTCCCTTTTCGTCCCTGAGCAGAGCCCCTGCTGAGTAGTGGGTCTAAAGAATGAGGAAGGGACTGGGGTGCACTGGCTCACACCTGTAATCCCAGCACTTTGGGAGGCTGAGGCGGGTGGATCACCTGAAGTTGGGAGCTTGAGACCAGCCTGACCAACATGGAGAAACCCCGCCTCTACTAAAAATACAAAAATTAGCCGGGTGTGGTGGTGTATAACTGTAATCCCAGCTACTCGGGAGGCTAAGGCAGGAGAATCACTTCAACCTGGGAGTCGGAGGTTGCAGTGAGCAGAGATAGCACCACTGCACTCCAGCCTGGGCAACAGGGTGAGACCGTGTCTCAAAAAAAAAAAAAAAAAATAGAATGAGGAAGGTACTGCTGGGAATGCCGGCGGATGGGAATGGGAGGGAACCAAGCCATGTGCTGCTTCTGGTGCAGCTGGGAAGCCGTCAGATGGATGGGCGTGGAGCGGGCTACAGACAGGCCATTGGGAAGCCGTCAGATGGATGGGCATGGAGGGGGCTACAGACAAGCCATCGATCAACCCTGTTTAGGGAGTCGTCTTGCTCTTTGGGGTGCTGGAAATCAAGGGCTTAGAGCAGATAGGGCTCTGTGCTTATTCAGAGCCACACTTCAGCAGTGGGGCACTGGTGATGACGTTCATCTGATGGCCGTTTGTGTGGATGAAAAGGGAGACTGTCTGTAGACACTTGGCTGGTGCTCCATAAACCTGTGCTTCCTTTCTGGGGTGTCAAGCTGGATCCTCTGTGTTGGTGGGAGAGCGTCCTGGGGTTTGGGCTCTCGGCTGAGGTCCTGAATGGGTCTACATGGTTGTCGTTCATCAGTGGTGGCAGGTGGAATATAGATCAGGGAGATGGAAAACTACTGGGGTCCAGACTGTGGCTATGACCTTTCTGGATCTACCTATAGCCATTGAAGATTATTTGCTTTAAATTTGTCATTATGCAAATCTGCGAGAGGTATCCACATATCTGAGATTTGTCCAAGTGGTAGCATGATGGCTTGTGCAGTAGTATACATGCATGTATGTGCACACACACGTGCACACGCACACACGTGCACACACACACAGTCTTTCCAATTAGCTATATAGGAATGATCAAAGGAGAACCTTCCATGCCCCATGAGAACTGCCAAAGAAATGGAGTGAGCCGAGTGAGCTGGCGGGGTTGAGTGTGCACGGGTGTGTCTGAGTGTGCATGTCTGGAACCGTCCTGGTGGCTGTGAGAACCTGGAGCAGGGTGGTGAAGGCTCAGGACAGCTGGGAACACACTGTTAAGGGGAACTGCAGTCTCAGCTGGGAGGCGGAATTGGATAACAGGAGGTGGGTTGGACAGCGTCCCCTGGGGAAAGAAGTAAGGCCTCCCCTCTTGTTTTCTTGGAAGTGTTTGGAAGGGAAGGCAGACATTGAACCAATCGGCTGCCTGGAAGGAAGCGACCTGGGAAGCCTGGGACACCAAGTCAGGCCTGGGAGACCTCCGCTCCCTCTGGGCCCCTGGAGGCTGAGTGTTGCCAAGGTGGCCGAAGTGGGGAGAGGCCAGGCAGGGGCAAGGGCAGAGGGCATGGGGTGGTCGCCGGTGGGACCCTGTGGCCGGCTCCTCAGCCAGGCTGTTTTCTCTTCTTCCCCATGTTGCTGTGGAGCCTTCCAATCAGGCTAATCCTGGCCTCTTGATCCAAAACCCAAACACGGCTGGCCCCTTCCTTCTTTCCTGGTAGACGTGCTCCTCTAGCAGGGGCGAGGGAGAGGGCGGGAATGGGGACCCTCGACGCCCTTCCCAGAGCGGGATTCTGATACCTTCTCTTAGCGTGCATGCAAGCACAAGGATCTACGTGGACTTCTTTCTTTTTACAAAATAAGCCATATCAAAGATGCTCTCAGCAATGAAGATGAAAAGGTAGAGCGGCCCCGTCTGCCCCCTTCCTGTGCTCCTTCCCCCCAGGATTCATTCTTGTTTTTCTAGAACAAGAAGGAAAGAGTTTTATTTGTAGGAGCGAGCTTTCTCTTTCTTTCTCTTTTTTTTTTTTTTTTTTTGCCCTTAATGATGTGGTGGGTGGTGGTGGTAGCATGTTTTTATTTTATGTTATTTTTTATCCCTTGCTGCTTTGGGGAGGGTGGCGGTGTTTGAGTTTGGGGTGCGGGTGTTGGGGAGGGAGTTCTCTTGGAGAGGAGTGAGGACAGCAGATGTTACTCCCCCATGTCTAGAAGGTGGGGGGAGGGCGGTGCTGCTCAGGAGGTGAGGAAGGACCCGAGTTATGTAAGAGCTTCGAGGAGGCGGCTCCAGGGACTAGACAGAGCCTGAGGATGCAGGCTTGCTCCCTGAGCCCTGGGGAAGGCAGCCAGGTGTGTCTGCAGGGAGCCTGGTGGTTGTGGTGGGGCAGGTGTGGTGGGGCAGGTGGATGGCAGGTGTCAGGGTTGGCAGGGCAGGGAGGTATGGAGGGTCGGGGTACTCCGACGGGAGGAGTGGACTTCTCCAAGCCTTGATGGGGGCTCCTGATCCTTCTGCGCTTTGTTTCTCTTCTCTCCTCTTCATTCTGTGCTTCTCTGTCACCTCCTTCTCCAAATCAGTGCCCCAGCGACTGGGGAGACAGCTTCCCAGTTTTCTGTATTTCCTCGATGCCTCCTTCCACCAACACCAGCAATCACCGTGTTGAATAGAGTCAGCCCACAGCGAGTGCCCAACGTGCCAGCGCGCCTGAGCTCATGGCATCCTTGGGGGCTGATTCTGGTACTTTTCCGTTGTATAGATCTCAGGGTTTCTTCCACAAGGCTGGAAGAAAACACACACAAGTGATACTGAGACAGTGACCGGCCAGTGTCAGTCCAGGGACCACACCAACCAGCCCTCTGGGCTCAGTTTCCTCTCTTGCAACACAGAAGTGCCTGACTCATAGGGTCACTGTGAGGATGGCAGCAGGACTATCTGTGGGCCTTACCTCCTCCTTAGCACAGGGGAAAGGAGCTCTCAATGCCCAGGGACGGGCTGAGGGTTGTTTAAGCCCCTCTGTTCCTAGGCACGAGTTTCCCTTACTTGGTGGTATGGCTGCTCTGACTTCCCCTCTCTCAGGCTGCTTGTGGGCACCCTGGCTCTGGGGGGTAGGGGGCTCACCCTGCATCCCACCCTTGCCCCATTCGGCCCACCCTGCATCCCACCCTTGCCCCATTCGGCCCACCCTGGCTGTGTCTTTCCTGGTTGACCAGTAGCTCTGAATTATTGCTGGACGGTAGCCAAGAATCACACGGTGCTGTGGAATTCAAACTCCATCCGCACTAATGAGTTAATGGGCTTTGTACCTAAGACCGCGGGGTTGGAACGTGCCCAGCATGCTTCATCTTCGCCGCGTGTTTCATCTACCTCGCTCGCTGTTTGTTTATCAGCTTGTTTGTTTATTCCTTTTCCTCGGAGGCCCTGATCAAGGAGGAGCTGATGAAGGGGGGAGTGTGAAGTTGGCAGGAAGGCCTTGGTTTCGCTCTGTGCCGAGTAGCTGAGTAGCCGAAGCCTGCCCCACGAGAGACGTAGGGGTGTTGAGTACCTGTTTGGTTCCAAGGGGGTCCTGCTTGTCAGGAGGGGAAATTCTACCCTCAGAGGGTGATGAACATTGGCATTTCAGGCGTCCTTTCACTGTGCACCACTGATGCAATTCTGGGCGGCCCTATCTGAGCCTCCGTTTATCAGGGAGTCACAGTGAAGGCAGCATTGGCCTCGCAGAGCTCTGAAGATGTAGCAAACTCGCACCTGTAACGTCCTTTGCTCCTGGCACAGAGAAGATGCTCAGTAAGGCGTGGAGGAGGTGATTTTCTGCTGGTCTCCTGGTGGTTTTGGAAAATCACTCATTACTTGCAAAGATACGGTTCTGAGTGTTGGACATATTCCCCTTTACCGTTCAGCTGCCGTATGCCGGGTTACATGTGGCCAAATGGTTGTCTTTTAGGCTTGGGGTTGTGGTTGTGAGGGAGGCAGCTGTGATATATAGGGGTCTGTGCCTGCCTGGACCTGGATGGCAGCCACCGGCCACGGGAGAGAGCTGGGCAGTTGACGTGTGTAGAGTGAAAAGTGTACGCCAACTCCAAGACCCAGCACATGGACAAAGCATGTAAAACACGTGACTGATAATCCCTTATACAATTTACATATTGACCCAAAAATATTTAGAATATATTAGGTTAAATAAAATATGTGATTACAATTAATTTCTTTTGTTTTGTAAAAAAAAATCCTTTTATTTTGAGATGGAGTCCCGCTCTGTTGCCCAGGCTGGAGTGCAGTGGTGTGATCTCATCTCACTGCAGCCTCCGCCGCCTGGGTTCAAGCGATTCTCTTGCCTCAGCCTCCGAGTAGCTGGAATTACAGATATGCACCACTATGCCCAGCTAATTTTTGTATTTTTAGTAGAGACGGGGTTTTGCCATGTTGGCCAGGCTGATCTCGAACTCCTGATCTCAGGTGATCCACCTGCCTTGGCCTCCCAGAGTGCTGGGATTACAGGCGTCAGCCACCTAGAAAACTGAAAATTGCCCGTGGGACTGCCATGCTATTTCTATCAGACAGACTGGTCTAAGCCCAGCTTCTTCGCTGATTCATTGGGATCCCTCCTAATCTCTTCCTGATTTCCTCATCTAGGGACTAGGGAGCCGCCCCACTAGCGCTCACACTGCATAGTTTCGTTACCTTCTCCTTGGCCCTTGCTGACAGCATTGGGGAGCCCCTTGTGAGTCTGCAGAGGGCAGCCAGGGAGGGTGAAGCCGCTGCCTTTTGGGAGAGACCCCTGAGCTGTCTGAATTCGAGTCTGCCCCAGTTAGACACCGCCAGGGTTTTCAGGAAACAATTTCCAGCTTTGTAAATATCCATTGAAAAAATAAAAAGGAATCTATTATTTTGTCAACCTTCACAACAACCTGAACTTATAAAACGCCTCTCACATAGAGGTCTCGGAGTGTTGCACGATAAACAATACATGAAAAAAAAAAAAGGTCGACGCTCTCAAGGTGTTTAAAGGCAGCAGAGAACATGGTTTTGTTCTGTAAAAAGAAACACTCGAGGGAAGGCCCCGGCAGCCAGTGCGTGGGGACCCTGGAGGAGCCCCGTGCTCCGTGGCCCACCTGGTGACATCGGCAGGAGGTGTCACTCTGCCCTCGAAACTGGTGCCATCAAACGTGAGGGCCCTGAGACAAGCAAAAGAGAGAACCAAGAGGGACTCTGTCAGTGAGATGAAGAAAGGTTACTGATCAGCACGGAAAGGGCTGAGACAAAGCCAGAGTTTCCACTGAAATCCTGCTCCGGGGTGAGCGGTCTCTTGCCAGGAGCCGGGGTGGGCCTGAAGAACTGACTTGAGGCCTAGCGGTTTGATGGTAACAGTGTAACTGACCAGGGTGCAGAGAGAGCCTTGGTGGATTTGCCATCACATGGGCTCGTGTGTCAAGGGGAGAAGCCGTGTCCCTTCCGCTGTTCTTGGCTTTAGGTCCCTGGAGTGCTGAGGACAGAGCTGCTTCCTCCGGAGGGACAGGCGGACCCGCTGCCGGCCACAGACTCCAGGCGCCTCTAGTACTTTGTACACCAAGTATGGTGGTACATTGTAAGCTTCTCTTATTTTTATTTTCTCATTTTTGACATTGTCCTTCAGCTCCTCTTCCACGCTCCCTGTTAAGCTGTTATATCACTCCATTTATTTAGTGTGAGTGTTTCTGAGAGCTCATTTTTATCTTGGTGAAAACCAGGCTTGCTCATGGGCACATAATGAAATTGCATAAATATACCCTTAGCTTGGAATCTAATTTATTTTTCCTGTTCATTATGGGGTAGAAGGCCATTATGAAATGTATAGCTTTTTTTTTTTCCAGTGCTGGAATTGAAAGGCTGTGGCTTGGGCTCTTTTTATTCTGATGATTTTGTCCTGATTCAATTTAAAGCTGGTTAGAGCTCAAATACTGGAGCGTAATTGACAAAGATCAGTGTGGGTTGTAACGCTAATGTCTCGTCTGTGGCTGCTGAGGCTCGACAAGCACTCGGGTTAAGCAGCAGTTCCTCGGAGGATACTTGGGCCTGCAGATCCCCCCAGGCCTCAAGAAGAGGGGCGAGAAGGAACTTTCTTGCAGCTAGTGGCCCCGTGTCTCTGGCTGAGATGCTCTGAAGTGTCCGGTTGAAGTAGAACTGGTACTAAATGGATTAGGACAGCTGAGGACACCACTGACCCTAAACTCTCAGAAATGCTTAGAAACCCCTTCAAGAATATTTCATCGACCTCCACTTTTACAGATGGGGGCACTGAAGCTCCAGGAGGTCGAGCAACCCACAACCTGGCGGAGGCCACACCGGCTCCAGGCCCGAGTGTAGCTCCCCGCTCTCAGCCCACGTCTGTGCACCACGGCGGTATGTGAATGACATGGAGTCTGCTTTTGGAAGCAGGGCCCGGGCCCTTCTGTGTGGAGGAGTGTGCATTGCGTGGGAGGAGAGAACAGCAGGAGCACCTGGCAGTGGGAGGACCATCCAGGATGCTGGCCTTGGCACAGATGTGGGGCAGCCCTGCCTGACACGCTGAGGAGGATTCTGGGGCTGGGGCCTGGACGCCATGCACCTTAAGGAGGTGGATGCCAGCCCCTCCACTGTGTGCCGGGGCCTCCGCCGTTCATTTGTCTCCCTGCATTTGCCGACTCCCTTCCGTGCACCGGGCACTGTCAGGCTGGAACACAGCATTGGAGAGTCCCGGACCCTGCTCTAGAGACTCAGGTCTCTCAGCAGGATGAGTTTGAAGTGACATCCTGGCTCTCAGATCGGAGCCACGCTGAATATCAGCATCTGCTGAAATGCTCACTCCGAGTCAGAATGTTCTTGGAGGGTGACGAATGGTCAGCACCTGTGAGTGTGTGTGCATGCGTGTGATTACCGGGAGAAAGAAATATCACCCTGGACACAGCAGGTTTTCATGAGGAAGGAGAGGAAACGGATCCATTAAAATGGCAGAGATTTGTGAAGCTGTTTCTTCCTTTTCCTCCTGCTGTCCCCAGGGTTGCCAGATAAGACACAGGACATGCAATGAAATCCGGATTTCAGATGAATGACAAAGGTTTTTTTGTATAGGTATGTGTTACACATCGCGTGGGACCTACTTACACTAAAAACCCAAACAAAACCGTGTTCATCTGAGATTCAAAGTTAACCATGCGCCATGTTCTTATTCCCTAAATCTAGGACCCTACCTGTAATAGCATAGAGAGTTGAAAGGCTTTACTTTGAAATGACGTTCTTAGTCATTTAAAAATTCAGTTGCATGAGCTATAAAAATATTTGCTTCTTTGTTCTTACAACACAGAAGTGTATAAAGTGAAATGAATAGTCTGGGACCTCCTTCCCCAAATCCAACTCTCCTGGGGCGACCTCTGACCTCCAACTGTTAACCACTGTTAGCAATGGGAAATGTCTCCTCCCAAACCAATGCACAGACACCACCATGCACTATGTGTTTTCCTGGCACTCGTAGCTTTCCTGGAGAAAACCCCAACAGTAGACTTATTGGGGCAAAGGTTATGTGTATCTTAAATTTTAACTTAAAACTACACCTGGGTTACTTTATAAAAAGTCAAAAGTATTGACAGATGCCTCCACACTATGTGATTATTTTATTCCCACACCAACATCAGTTATTATTTTTATTTTTATCTTTGAGACAAGGTCTCACTCTGTTGCCCATGCTTGGGTGCAGTGGTACGATCATGGCTCACTGCAGCCGTGACCCCCTGGGCTCAAGTGATCTTCCCACCTCAGCCTCCCAAGTAGCTGGGACTACAGGTATGTGCCACCATGCCCTGCTAATTTTTCTATTTTTTGTAGAAACAGGTTTTTGCTATGTTGCCCAGGCTGGTCTCGGACTCCTGAGCTCAAGCAATCCTCCTGCCTCAGCCTCCCAAAGTGCTGGGGTTACAGGCATGAGCCACCACACCTGACCACGTATTAGTCCTTATTTTTCAGTCTAAGCATATAAAACATCTCAGCATTTTAATTGCATTTCCCCAACTTGAGGAAGGTGGAGTATTTTTCGTGTGTTTACTGGTTGTTTGCATGCGTATTTATGTGAACAGCCTGTTCTCATGCTTTGTCCGTGTTTCCATGGGGTGGTTTTCTTATTAATTTCAGGGCACTCTTTACATATGGGCCATACCCATGCTTTGACTTTACATACAGTGTTGAGGTTGCTTCTGGGCCAGTGTGATCAGACCCTCCCCTGATCTCTGGGACTTAGACCTGAGCTCACAATGGTGGCCTCCTGGGTCTCCTGGGAATAACAGACATCCAGCCCCCACATGGGCACCTGTTTCCTGCCGATCTCATCCTGATTCTTGGGTCTGAAGGAACCACACAGTGGTTGAGTTCCTCCGTGAATGTGTCACTGCCCTACTGCTGCCCTAAAGGCAGGGGCTGGCGAGGATGATTCTCAAAGCCCACCCGCCTTTACTGTCCTGCTCTTACTGTGCCTAGGGAAAGCTCAGCTCCAGAGCAGGGAACCAGGCCTTGGCAGGGAGGTGGCATCGAGGCTTCCTGCCCTGACTGTGGTTGTCCCTGCCTCCCGCAAGGCCAAACTTGCCCTTCACTCCAGGGCGGTGCCTCATGGACTGCAAGGTGGGAGGAAAGGGGCATAGAAGGGAAAACTCCAGCTCTCTCTCTCCACTGTAGCCAGATCACCTGTGCATTCATTCATTTATTCCTCCATTCATCCCACTGGCTTAGTTAAGTTCCTGCTGTGTGCCAGGCACACACAGATGCTCCTGATGCCATAGGGCCATCAGCCTGTGGGAGAGAAGACTCATCATGAGATTACATGTATTCACAACAGCCTGGGAAGGGGCAGCTCCTCTTCTGTCGGTTTTAAGTTTTGGGGGTTTGTGTTTGCAAAATAGCTGAATAGCAGAAGGATAGCCTGGCTCAGGGGAAGAGCTGCCTGGCATCTCTGCCCCAACCCCTGTGCTGGGCTCCAGAGTCCTGAGTACGGAGGCCTTGCCTGGTGTTGCCCTCACCAGCACCCCTGCCCCCAACCCCACCACAGCACCCAGTGCACGTTTGAGGGGAAGCATCTCCTCGGGGGGTGTGGACATGCCTTGGGCCTCCAGGTGTGTTCATCTCCCCCACCCCCATCAGCTCATCCTCCTGGGACACTTGGGGTCCACTCTGTGACTTGGTGTAGGAGAGACAGTGACCACCTGGGGCTGGCCTGGCCCAAGAGCTGGGCACAAAGGGACTCACCTCCTCAATTTGAGGTGGGGAGATGGGGGTCATAATTGGAGCTGGGAGCCTTGGGGGACTGGGGAGAGGGTAGGCCTGTCACGATGCTCCACAGTTTCAAAGTCTGTCATGGGCAGGAGGAAGTAGATTTGTCCGTTTTTGTTCAAAGGCAGAAACAGGACCTGTGGGCGGGGGTTCTAGGGAAAGAGAATTTGGCTAGTCCAAGGGAATTGTGTGTCTAGCATGGCCCAGGAGGAGTGAGGACACTGTCCCCCCTTGGCATTGCAGGGGACACCCACTGTTGCAGGCTGGCTGTGTATCCCTCAGGTCCAAATCCTAACCTCCCAAACATGTGAATGGGACTTTATTTGGAAATAGGGTCTTTACAGATTTCATCAAGTTAAGATGAGGGTGGGCCCTAAATCCAATGACTGGTGCCCTTCTAAGAAAAGAGGAGAACGGATGCACAGGGAGAGGGCCACATGATGATGGAGGCAGAGCCAGGAGTGATGTTGGCAACAAGTCAAGTGCACTGAGCACCGCCGGCAATGCCAGAAGCCGGAAGGGGCGAGGGAGGAGCCTTAGAATCTGGAGGGAGCGCAAACCTCCCAGCACCTTGATTTCAGACTCTGAACTGTAAGAGGATAAATGTGTGTTGCTTTTTTGGTTTTTTTTTTTTTTGTTTTTTGTTTGTTTGTTTTGTTTTGTTTTGTTTGAGACGGAGTCTCATTCTGTCACCAGGCTGGAGTGCAGTGGTGTGATCTCAGCTCATTGCAACCTCCGACTCCTGGGTTCAAGTGATTCTCCTGCCTCAGCCTCCCAAGTAGCTGGGATTACAGGTGCTCGCCACCATGCCCAGCTAATTTTTTGTATTTTTAGTAGAGACGGGGTTTTACCATGTTGGCCAGGATGGTCTCGATCTCCTGACCTTGTGATCTGCCCGCCTCGGCCTCCCAAAGCGCTGGGATTACAGTGTTAGCCTCCGCACCCGGCCAAATGTCTGTTGCTTTAAGCCGGTGAGTTTGTGGTGATTTGTTACGGCAGCCACAAGTCACACACACACACCTGCCAAACAGGTCACTGTCCTGCCTCTGTTAGAGGACGGATGATACAGTGTGGGACTCTGCAAAGTGCTACGCTGGGGCGGGGCAAGCATGCCCTGTGGCCGGCTCCTTCAGGGGAAAACACCCGTGGCCAAGGAGGCCCGAGGGTGATGAGCTTGCCCATCAGGGCAATGGATCACCGTTGACGGGGCTGATGCCACCACAGTGGGTGTTTTGGGAGCTGTAATTAAGCAGGGCCACTCAGCTGGCAGATTTACAGATGTTCAGGCTTCCATGGTGCTGTATTTTACTGGAACACACATAACCAGGCCTGTGCAGGGCAAGACAAGGGCACATCTGATGGTGATTAGAATAATGGGGGTGGGCTGTGTGCCACGTCTCACATCTGTATTCCCAGTAACTTGGGAGGCCGAGGCAGGTGGATCATTTGAGGTCAAAAGTTCAGCCTGGCCCACATGGTGAAACCCTGTCTCCACTGAAAATATAAAAATTAGCTGGGTGGTAGTGGTGCACACCTGTAATCCCAGCTACTTGGGAGGCTGAGGCAGGAGAATCGCTTGAGCCTGGAAGGCAGAGGTTGCAGTAAGCTGAGATCACGCCACTGCACTCCAGTCTGGGTGACAGAGTGAGGGTGTCTGGGGCCGAACTGCCTGGCCATGGGGATTGCAGCTCTCCCTCCCCAGCCCCCTGTGAGACCAGCTTAAATCTAGCCAGGAATGAAAGTGGGGAGAGGGAGGACAGAGAGGGCCTGTCAGTGCTTAGGAAGCTGTGGAGGGAGGGAGGGGCCTGTGGAGATGACCCTGCCGCTACTGGTCACGGGCAGGGGTGCAGTGGCTGGGGGAGGTGCAGGGAAACCAGGAGTGGGTTTGTGACTGAGGGGGAGCAGAGATCAACCCACGGCCCCTCTCCGTGTGGACTCTTCCCACCCTGTTCCTTGGAGTAAGTGGCAGCTGGTGGCCCTAGCAAATGCAGACGGCTCAGTGCTGCAGGCTTCCTGGGTGCAGAGGACACGTTATTCCTATGTCCGATTGACTGTCCCCAACACAGGCAACCTTGCCTGGCTGCGCATACTGTGTCTTTGTGGGCTGGCTATCCTGCCTTGTCCGCCCAGAATGTGGTCTGGCCAGGACCGCAGCCATGCAGCAGACCTGCAAGCCCAGGAAACTTTGAGGGGTAGCCGGGCCCCTTCCAGCCTGTGGATCATCTGAGGGCCTCATTCGTTTGGGGTGACTCACTTGGGTAACAGGGGAGAGTAAAGGAATCGGGAGATTGGAGGCCGCTGTCCCCTTGTGACACTCTCCGGAGGACAGGTAGGAATGAGCTTTGCTGGAGAGAGGCCTTGCTGGTGGGCTGACTTCTGGGAGCCTCTGTCACCCTCCCTCTTCTCCTTACCTATAGGTGATCCCCAGATCTGGCCAATGAGTCAAAGAGAGTGTCTTTCAGGAAAGGGAGGACGGGAGTCAGCCTCTGTGAACAGCCCTTGGAGAGGGGCCTTGGGATGTTGCCGTGGAGCTGCTGCTTCTAGCCCAAGGGGGAGGCCTACATTGAGGGTAGCAGAGCAGGCAGGAGACAGGACCTGTGTCCTTGTGGCATAGAGAGGGGCTGAATCGCCCAACCCCGCAGCTGCCACAGCCTGGACTTCCCGTCATGTGACTGGCACGCTTCCTCGTGGCTTCAGCCAGTTTGGGTCAGGTTTCTGTTGGGTGCAGCTGAAAGCATCCTAACCGATTCAGCTGGGATCCCTCTGGGCATGAGAGCTGCCCACATGGCAGTCCCCCAGAGCAGACTCTCCCGTATTTCTCCCCCTGGTCTTTGTCTCTGTGGGCCCAGTCTCTGGGGCACTTGTCAAACCGACTTCCGAGGGGGCGACGATCTCCCTCTGTCTTTGTTTTGCACATGGCAGGTGGGCGTTTTCCTGAAGGGGCTTCCCTAAAGCACATTGAGAAAAGAAACCTGAATAAACTGGGGAGACACAGATGCTTGGCCATGGTGATGTTTTACAAGCCTGATTTCTTCTCCAGACACCGCTGTTAGGTCACGGTGGGTCTTGGGGCTGGCACGGCAATGGCCATTCATCATTGGTTCTACCCCCAGGAACACCTTTTTTCTTGGATTTGCTACCAAGCTTCAGGGACCAGTGGTGTGGAACAGCCTCTGGCTGGTTCCGAGCCTGGACTGGAAAGGATGTCAGCCCCTCCAGGACCTGGGGAGCGTCTGGCAGACCCCACAGAGCTCCCATTTCATATGTGACGACATACCCTGCTCTTGGCACAGCTGATGTGAGTCCTGTGGGATCCCCTTGGATTCGGATTCTAACCTCTCCCACCTCCCTCTGAGCCACTCCTGAGCATCTCGCCGGGGAATGGCTTGACAATGTTCCGATGACTGCAATCCTACAGCCTCAGAAATATCTAGACAACTTCCCACCTGCAGGGAGAGTTGGTCAGCCCTTCTGAACGGTGATGCCGGCTCCTCCTGAAGCCGTCACCAGCTATGGGTGATGAGGTCTCCTGTCTCAAGTTGGATGACATTTTCGTTTTTCACTATTGTAGAATTTGGACTAAAGAGAGAAAATACGTTTGTTTACAAAGGGCGTTTTCTTATTTAATGCTTAATTGCAAGTTTCTGTGTTGTAAAATTTCCTCTCCTGCCCTCAACTGTCCCTTTAGTATTTTTTGGCTAATTCAGCCATTTAAAAATGCTGTTGTGGAAGAATAGTTAATGATTTGGTATGACATAGAGTTAAATGGAAAAAAGTTACAAAATGGAATGTACAGTATGATCCCACTTAGAACCCAAAATATATATTCTATGCATAGGAAAGTCTGGGAGTGTATATATGCTCAAAATGTTAACAGGAGTTATTTCGGGTTAGTGGGATTATGGGTTATTTTTATTTTCTTCTTTTTGCATATGTGTAGTTTCTAAATTTTCTACAGTGAATATGTATAACTTTTATAATAAGGAAAAAGTGATACCACGGATCTTTCTAGAGGCTGCTCAGACTCTCTGACCAGAGATGACCCAGGCTGCCCTCCTATGCTGCAAAGCACCCATGACCAGCCCCTGGGCTCTTCCCAAGGGGGCCACACCCTGAGAGCTTCCCCTTCCCCATCGCGGGGTATCTATGCCTCATGCTCGGGGCACCCTGGGCTGGGCAGAACTGATGCTGGTTTCTGTGAGGGTTGAAGTAATGGAAATGCTTTTCAGAAAACTCCCCCAGTCGGCCAGGAGAGAAAGAAACAGTCATGCCAGAACCTGGAGGCCCCTCCCTGACAGGTGCAGACCATGTTGAGCATGGAGCTGTGGCTTTTATGTTGAGCACGGAGGGGTGGGTTTATCGCCACCCTCGCTGACAATGTCACTATTCCTCTGTTCTGCCGCCGCCAGCCAATGGGCATGGCCAGGTGTAGGCTTGGGAGGATTTTCGATGCCTGGACTCGACTCTCTGCCTCCAGTTGGGGAGGACAAAGAGCGCAGCTTGTCCCGGCCCTGGGACCGTCCTACCAGGGAAACACAGGGCAGAGGCCATGAAGTAGACATGAAATGGCCGGGTTCAAGTCCCAGCTGCCCACCAGCTGGTTCTTAGGAACTTCTCCAAGCTTAGTCTCCTTCATCTAGAAAATGGGGGCAACGCCTCTTTCACAGGGATGTGAAAACTAAAAGGAATCACGGGAGTCAAGACCTTGCCTGGCACTTGAGACAGGACAAGCGCTGCGTCTTTCTGTCATTGGAGGAATGCTGAGTCCAGCTGGGGACAGCCCCTTCCCTTGGTACAAACCAGTAAAGTCTGCTGCCAGAGCTTCCGTCTGTCAGCTGACATCAAACTCCTACCTGCTGAGAGCAGTTTCGACAGGGGCCACCCCTTCCCTGACAGGCGGCGTGCATGCGTGCACACACACACACGTGTTCAATAGTCACCTGATGAAAGAGAGCCATAGGGCAGGAATCGGTCCCTGTGGCCTTTGCTTGTGTCCCAGGATTCTAGTACTATGCTGGCGATGTGAGGGCAGCAAGGCCAAGACTCTGTCCCCACAACCCCTTTCCACCCTTATCAAGAGTAGGGACAGAGGCAGGGGCCCCTGGCCGCTCCTTCCTGGAGAGCGAGCTCTGTGTGGTGGCCTCAGTGGCTCCTAGCCTGGAGTGTGGGCCTCTGGAGTGTGGGCCTCCATCGCTGATCTCGGTTACTTCCACTCCTCCAGCCTCCCACGTGTGGCCCCCTGCCCAGTCCACTCACCTTGGATCTGACCCTTTCTGTCCATCTCTGCAGCCCCTGCAACCTCATCAGCTCTGGCTGAGCCTCCCTGCATGCAACCTGGTTCCTCCTCTGTCCCAATCCAGAGGCTTCTCTCTGCAGTGCAAATGGGCTCACCTGGGCCCCACCTCAATCCCCTCTGTGCCACCCTAGGCTCCACATGGAGTCCCAGCCTGGAGCTGGCTGGCCTTGGGCCAATCCTATTCTGCCTTTAGGAGCTGCAGGGGATAACGTGTACAAAGGGGGAACTGAGCCTCATTCTTCCTCCTCCCCTCCCCCCTCCAGTGCAGTTATTCACATTCAGATCATTTGCCCCGAGGACAACTTTGTGAGAGGTTCCAGGGTAATTCTGGCGCTGCCACCTGAGAAGGAATGAGGCCAAGGTCTAAAAGAATCCACGGCAGGGTCATCTGCATTCAGGCCTGCCTCACTTTGTGGGAACCTGACCTCCCAACATGCACAGCAGAATCTGGGTTCAAGGGTCCACATCCCTTGAGGACCCTCCCCTGCAGCAGCTGGCCCCTCTTGCAGGGTTTGCTGCAGGCCGGCACTGTCCAGCCTGCTGTGTGCGGAGCGGGTGGTCAGCGGCCTGGCGGTCAGCTGTGAGGGACGCATCCCAGATGAAGGTGAGTCACGGAGAACGTGATTGATTTGCACAAATTGCCTGGACACAGATTTTCAGGAATCCATCTGGGTTTGATAAGAGGTAGAGCTCTTTCGTTTCTAGATTCCCGGGGAGCTTATGTTCTGGGGAAACTGGGTGCGTTTGCTGCCAAAAAGGGCTTTATTTTTAGCTAAATGTGAGAAGGAGAGGAGGGTCCCCTTGGGAGGCGGCCAAGGCTGGTGTTGGGACCGGCCTTAGAGGGGCCCATCACCTTTTTACTTTTGGGAAAGGTTTTCCCTTCTGCAGGCAGCGACGTGGGCTGGGATGTAAGGGCATGACCATGGGTGGATTATTCCGTCTCCCCCGTGCACTCAGATGAATACCAAAAGCAGCCAGCCATCACGCGTTCTAAATTTACAGGGTGCTTGTCCTTCACTGGCTGCCGAAAAGTGAAGCCGCCTCAGATGCCGAGAACACTTAGCCGCCAAGCTGCCTGGGCCCACCTGCTCGCCTGGGCCGCCCTCCTCCGCACACGCAGGCAGCCTCCTCATGCCCACCTGGGGCCTCTGGGCGGCAATAGATGCTGGCAGGGCAGGTGGGCACCTGTGCTGCAGACCCTCCTGGGCCGGCAGCAGGAGACCCCACCCCCATGGGCAAGCACAGTCTGTGGGGACTGAGAAGTGGGGTCTGGGGGCTTGGGAGTGACAATGGGGCTTTTCCGTGTAGCACCTTCTGGGAAGGAATCTGCCCGTTCTTCCAAGGAGAAAGTGGGCAGGCTCTGCGCAAACGATTGCTAAGTCCTGGCGGGGAGGAGCCCCTGGACTGGGGCACAAAGCCCCAGCGACCTTAGGGTAGAGGGCCAAGAATACCAGCAGCCCACAATATGACTCCACCACGTCCATCCACGGCGGCCTTCCTGCCGCACGGCACAGCCACGTGGCTCTGACTGGCCGAGACCGTCTAACCCGCCAGGCCTGGAATATTTACAACGTGAGTTACTTAGAATCCGCTGCTGCAAACAGACCCCCTTTCCCAGTATAGACGGCCTTGGAGTAGCTGCTCTGGAAGCTCCCGGAGGCTCCGTCCTCTGTGGTCCCGCGGCATGTGGGCACCTCCCCAGAACATCACACTGTGGTGATTGTCCCGTCTGGGCTTCTTCATGGTTTCTGCAGCCCTATTGCAGGCACCCGAGGGCTGGAGCAGAGTCTCATTCATCTTTGAAGCTCCAGGGCCTACACAGGCTGGCGCTGATCAAGGGAACTGCTGGGGCGGCCATCCTCCCCTCTGGTCTCTGTGGTCTGGCTTGCAGGGCTGGGCTGCCTCTTGGTGCTGAATTTTTGTGGATGGATTCCATCACGGCCTCAAAGTAAACTACCATCAGTTGGCCCCGGGTGAGCTGTCGCTGAGCCCAGGGCTGCGGCACAAAGGCGGAGGAGGCACGGCTCTGGGCCTTACGCATTTCATACTCTTTGGCAGATTTGGGCAAGAACGCTCTGTTGGTGGATGGTGCCATGCGTGGGGGATTTATTCGCAGAGGGACGAGGGCCAGGGTGATCAGGACAATTCTGCCACAGCATGACAACATCCCTGCTTTGAAAATACAACTTTAAATTGATAACAGGGCAGGTGCCTCACCCCAGCTTGGCCCCCGCAAAGTCCACTCTCTCCGTGGTGCACAGCTGGAGGTTTTCTCCAGGGTGAGAACGAAGAAAACTCACTTTGCCGATTCCTCCTCTCTGTGGGCTGTGCTCGATGCTGCCTCATCTCATTAAAAAGCCCCTTCCATCCAGGCTTTGTGGAAGTTCACGCTGGCTCCTCCATGGCGGAGATGATTTGAAGCAGGGGTCGGCGAACTTCTTCTGTCAAGGGCCAGGTTGTAAATATTCCAGGCCTGGCAGGCCAGATGGTCTCAGCCTCTCAGAGCCACGTGGCTGTGCCATGCAGCAGGAAGGCAGCCATGGATGAACGTGAAGGAGCGTGCTGGGTCCCAGCAACATGTTGTTCACAAGCACAGGTGGTGAGCTGGGGGAACTGGGGGAGCTGGGTTTGGCCCTGGCCGGAGTTTGCCAGCCCCTCTTCTAGAGCCTCAGGGGACGGGGGCAGGATGAGCAGTGCCCTCGACCCTTCCTTCCTCACTCTCCCTCCTTCCTCTGCCTTGGAGCATGCCCAGACCTCAGCATCATCTCAGCGGTGTCCCCAGGGCTAGTGGTACCAGTTCTCCCTCTGCCACAGACTGTGTCCTCTACCCCTTGACCTCACACAAGCATCCTCTTCCCTCTTGGGGCCTCGGCAGGGCCCCTCATGCCTCCTCACTGCAGGATCAGCCACCTCCCTCCCGGGGTGCCATGCTGCTGGCCAGCCACCCCGCCCCCACTTTAGCTAGCCGCTTCTTTGCACGCATCCCACTCCTGCACCCCAGTCTCCCTCTGTCTGCTGTGAGCCATGCAACTGGTTCCGTGGAGGATTGAAAACATAGGACTAGAAGGGACAGTTCTCCCTAAATGCTTTCCTTCCTGGGAATTCAAACCCTGTCTTCTGGACTTTCAGGATCAGGTGATGCGGTGGGGTGATGGGTGATGCGGTGGGGGGATGGGTCAACCTTTGCTGGGCTTTACAGCCTCTTGTCAAAACAAAAAGAAAATGCACCCCCATCCCCCAGGCTTTTGTTTTGCGATAACTATAGGCTCATAGAAAGTTGCAAAAGTGCGTGGAATCCTGGGTACCCTTCACCAGGGGAATGCAGCTTCAGACTGGAATGTAAGTAGTGTCCTTCCGGTGTTAAATGAGATCTCACAAGAGATAGCATCCATTCACATGGAGGTGTGTTTCCATGTCCCCACCTCTACCTGAGGCTGCTGTGCTGTTATGTGGGAACAGTTACTTAACACTCTGCCTTCATTCTGCCAAATATGTTTTGAGCACATACCCTGAGGCCCTGAAGCAGGAACTGAGGGGCGGTGCAGAGTGAAGACAGACACTGTCCCAGTCACAACAGCACCTGTGAGATGGGAGGGGCTGCTGGGCGGTCATCCCCTGCGAGGGGAGGGTGTCGCAGGGCCGTGCTCCCTCTGAAAACTCTAGGGGAGAGTCCTCCCTCCCCTCTTCCTGGCTTTGGTGGCTCCCAGCAGCCCGCAGTGCTCCGTGACGGTGGCTGCCTTACTCCAGCCTCTGCCTCCATCTTCACACGGCCTTCCCCGATACATGTGTCTCTGCATCCCCTCCTCTCCTTGGGACAACACCAGTTATATTGGATGTAGGGCCCACCCTACTCCAAAATGTCCTCATCTTAACTTCCAACTTAATTACATCTGCAAAGACCCGGTCTCCAACTAAGATCCTCTTCAGAGTTACTCAGAGGTTCAATTAAGATCCCCCTCAGAGGTACCTCAGAGGTTCAACTAAGATCCTCCTCAGAGACACCTCAGAGGTTCAACTAAGATCCTCCTCAGAGGTACCTCAGGGTTTCAACTAAGATCCTCCTCAGAGATACCTCAGAGGTTCAACTAAGATCCTCCTCAGAGTTTCAACTAAGATCCTCCTCAGAGGTACCTCAGGGTTTCAACTAAGATCCTCCTCAGAGACACCTCAGAGGTTCAACTAAGATCCTACTCAGAGGTACCTCAGAGTTTCAACTAAGATCCTCCTCAGAGACACCTCAGAGGTTCAACTAAGATCCTCCTCAGAGATACCTCAGAGGTTCAACTAAGATTCTCCTCAGAGATACCTCAGAGGTTCAACTAAGATCCTCCTCAGAGATACCTCAGAGGTTCAACTAAGATTCTCCTCAGAGATACCTCAGGGTTTCAACTAAGATCCTCCTCAGAGGTACTCAGTGGTTCAACTAAGATTCTCCTCAGAGGTACTCAGAGGTTAGGGCTTTGACGTGTCTTTTGTTTGGTGGTGGGCACAATTCAATCCACAGCAAGCCCTGACTCGGCAGAAAGAGGAAGGTGTTAAGGAGCGGAGAGGGCAAGGACTCCATCGGCCTCTTTGCTGAGACCCCGAACCGCCCCTTCCCTTTTGCCCCAGGAGGCCCTCCTGGCTGGTTTCTCACTGAGAGGCAGCAACAGGCATGCTCTCCTATTATTGTGGCTGCCAGCACTCCAGGACCAACTGGGTTTACAAAAATAAAGTTGCATCATCTGCTGCCTGTACCGCATCCCCTCAAACAGGTTATGAAGGGGAAGTGGGGGATATCGGAAGCAGATGGAGGAGCCCTTGATTTGCATAAGGAGCCATTTTCATGGCTCAGAAGCCTCCGTGGAGGGAATAATGTATAGAAATACACATGCGTAAGCCCTGGGTTGGGAAACAGAGGCACACTGATCAGCCACTAAAATAGACACGAGAGAGACAAAGCTGGTGGGGGAGGGAGTTGGCCAGGAGAGGGCACAAAGCCCATCGAGTAGCTGAGCACAGAAGTACCAGGCACAGCTGCGGAACCGTGCTCCCCCAGGTTCTTTTTTAGTGTTGAGATTTCAACGCTGGTGGATCTTCTATATGCAGTGGCAGGATGGGCGTTTCCAAAAAGACCTGGCTTTTCTTCTCTCTCCTAGAAGGGCAATTGGAGAAAGAAAAGAGAGAAAAGAAAGAAAAGGAAGGGCTTAGCTTCCAGCCAACTGAATTGAAGCTCCTGGCAGGGAAGAGGTGGCAGGCGTGCTCTGCATCCGCAGGTGCAGACAGGAGACCAAGCCGAGCTAAAGGATTCTCCTTTGTCTGGGCGGGTGACAGGGAGGTACTTCTGTGCCTAGAGGCACGAGTAGCTCAGAGTGGCGGGAAGAGAAGATAGGATCCAGCCAGGAGGACAGAGGTGGAGCTCAGGCTGCCCAGGGTGGGGGCAGAGGCAGATGCCTGACCTGGGGGATTGGCCACTGGTCATGGGGCTGACAGGTGACTTGTGAGTCTTCCAGCTGTAGGGTCCTTCTGTGTCTGGTTACCTTGAAGCCTCCAGCGTGGCTGGCTGCAGAGCTAAGAGCAGGAGGGGGCTGACCTGGTGTCACACGATGGTTTTTTTCCAAACCCTCTCATACACTCAGTTCCCTCACCCAAAGTGGGTATAACGGGAAGGTGCAAGGTGAATCACTGTCTATACAAAACTCTCTGCAGAGAATGAGGCCTGCCTGGTTCATCTGAGCCATGCCATGACCCTTCAAACTCCATGTGCCAGGGCAACGGAATTGAGTGCTCATGTCCATTTCACATCCAGCCAGCAGGACTTGGTTTGTCTGGGACGGTGGTGCCCTTCCCCTATTGCCTTTGTGGTTTTTCCCTTTGCCAACCCCACCGTCCTCTGCTCTGACCCCTTGCTACCGATCAGGATACTTCCTATCTCATGACCTGGTCCAAGAGTGCGTCCGGGGACCACTCGGGGCATTCAGGCCACTGTCCTGACCTCGCTGTTTGTCAGTGGCGGAGGCACAGCCTTGCAGAAATTCCCTAGGATTTAGGATCGTGTGATAGGTGACAAAATGCATGATGACTATCCTGGGTTCTCTTCTCTTTTGGGAAGGAAGCCACTTGGCTCAACGCCTGGTCCCGTTTCGTAGATGAGGCTGGCTTCCTCATGATCATGTGGGGGCTGCCTCTGGGTGGCTCCTCCAGGCAGGGTTCAGGGCCGCTCTGGCTGAGCCTCTGTGGGTGACCACCTGAGAGTCACACTCCCCTCATGGTGCTGCCTCCATTGCTCCTAAGTGGGGCCACACAACTTGCTAGCTCTCCCTGAGGGATTGTGACTGGCAGTGTTGGCGTCACCTCCAGGTAAGATGGCTGAGTGCTGGCTGCATGGACTTCCTTTCCTGGCTCAGTCTCCTGCACTGTGGCTGGGTGGTGTCAGTGCCCCTGGTGTACCCCAACCTGGAAGCAGCCTGGAGGCAAACCTTTGAGCCGCAGCAGAGCCAATGGCCGTCGGGGGTGGCGGTGGCTTGTCTCCACAGCCAGCTCGTCCTACTGAATCCAGCCACTTTTCTCGGGCTTTCCTCGCAGGCTGTAGGTCAGCGATTCCCATCCTGGCTGGGGGATTCCAGCATTTTTCCAGTTATCACAAGAGACAGGTTGAAATTCTAAAGAAAAAATGTTTTGATCCCTTTTGAATTAAAATGTACTCATAGAATATATACTCAAACAAGGAAACAACTTTCCTCTACAAAAACCCAAGCTTAGAAAAAATAGATGATGGTGATTGGAATTCTAATATACTACCCAAGGAATTCCAGCAATGTTCCTTTAGACATCGAGCTCCTGGCAAGCCTAATAGCTTTGATTTGATTACACGTATGTGATTATAGAAACTTTACAGAGGTGCAGATAATTCTAGAATGGGGGTGAGAGAGAGTGCAGTGTTATAGAAATCCAGCTGATTTTGGCAGCTGGCCCCTCCGGGAAGACTGGGAAGCATTTCCAGGGAATTGAAGACCAGTCTTTCTCACTTTTTGGCAAACTCACCTGTAACTTGGTGACTCCATGTAATGAGTACAAGAGGCCCTGGTCTCTGGCTTACTCTTTTTTAGGAGAATGGTGATTCTTGCCCCATGATGTGCCTGTGGTGCTTTAGTTTATGGCAGGGTTGTCAACTAGGGGGTGATTTTGCCCCGGGGGGACATTTGGCAATGTCTGGAGACATCTTGCATTTTCTCCGTTGGAGGTGGGGTGCTCCTGGTGTCCAGTGGGAGGGGCCCAGAGACGCCGCTCCACACCTCACAATGCACAGGACGGCCCCACAACTAGGAATGAACTCTCCCACCCCAAATGTCAACAGTGCCGAACTCTGGTTTACAGGGCACCCCGAAAGGTTGGGAGACATGGTTGGTCTCTTTCTATGCCAGAGCCCTTGAGGGCAATATGCTTAGAGGAACATGGCAGGGTGTTGCTCTCTGACAGTGAATAATATGCAAGAATCCTTGTTAGCCAATTATGGAATCATGGAGATCTTAAGCACTCGGTGGGACAGAACCAAACAGGGCCTGGGGAGATTCAGCTTGAACCCACCCATGATGCTGTGTTTGAGGCACTATGCAAACTGGGGCTCCCTTTACACCTGCTGTGGGGCGGAGGCATATTCATTCGGCTTGAACCCACCCATGATGCCATGTTCGAGGTGCTCTGCAAACTAGGGCTCCATTTACAAACCTGCTGCACGGCAGAGCCATGTGCTGGAAGATGCAGTGCCCGTGTCTGCTCCACGCTCCCAGCCCGGCCGGGGGCAGCAGGATCTAACCCCCAGTGCCCGTGCCTGCTCCACACTCCCAGCACAGCCAGGGGCAGCAGAATCCAGCCCCCAGTTCTGCACGTTGTTGGTAGAGGGAGGAAAGAGCTTCCACAACCTGAGGTTGGCCTCCTAGGAGGGGGATGCTGCCACAGATTCAAGGTAGTCATCTGGCAGTGAAATCCCAGAGCTAGCCTAAATGCCCGCCGTGAGAGTGAAGGTGTGTTTTGGTGTGGGTGTTTTTCCTCTTTAAAACCATTGGGAGGTTGCCGAAGAGAGAGCGGGCTGCCTCCATTAAGCTGGGGGAGGAGAGGTCTCCGTTAAACTCCTGTGAAGCTGTTTGCCTGCTTGAATGCTGAGACAGTGTTTGTAAATATTGGTTCCAGGGAAATGGCTCTGAACCTGCAGCATGTCTACTGTGTGTTGGTAAGCCTGCCCAAACATTGTTGTCTGCAGTACCCTTTTGCCAAACTCATTGTTTTATCCAAATGGGGAGCAGGATTATTTTATTTTCAGAATGCTCTGTGATCCTGGAATCCTCTCTCAGGAGGAAAACTCAAAGGTCCTCAATCATAGAATGCGGGACTTCAAAGGGATCTTAAGGACCATTTAACCCAACTCCCTGGCTTTAATGATGGGAAAACTGACTGCCAGAAGGGAAGAACAACAAGAGGGTCATGAGGGCAGGACAGAAACCCGAACCTCCACTTGAGGCTGTGAAAGTCTGGCCCCGTTTTCCAGTGCCACCGAGGTGGCCAGGGGAGACTGAGATACACGGTGTGGAGAGGCTGTGGGGGATAAGGTATTAGGACACCGAACTCTTATCTACCTTCTGAAATCAAGGACCACTCAAAATGTGCTGGCTAGTTTACAAGGTTCGCCTTTTATTCGTTTTGCGTTTTATCACCTTGTGTTTAATTTGTGTTTGCCCATCTCCTTCTACCCCACGGGGTTGTGAGTCCCGAGGGCAGGCAGCTTGCCTTATCCCTCACCGGAATCCTGGCAGCTGCGTGTTCACCTGAAGCTCCACCAGGCTCAGTAACTCTCTGTCCATGAACCAATGGGGCCGTTGATCACATCCTCTCTTTGGTGGCTCACCAGGGACAACAGAACTCAAAATAGAAAGTCACCACTGAGGACCTGGGTCTCCTCACCATGAGGAACGCAAGAAGAGTCACGGAAGCTTCCTCGTCAACATTTCAGGGATGTGTCTAAGAGCACAGAAGGACCTCTCCTCCCTCCAGCCCGTTTCCCGCCCTCTGAACACTTGAAACACAGTGGGGTTTGGTGGTGACTGGTGACATTTAGGCAAGTTCAGTTCCACACTTGAGACATTTAAACTTTGCTTTTTAGATTGTGATAAAATATACATCACATAAAATTTGCCGTCGTAACCGTTTAGAAGTCAGTGGTATGTAGAGCATTCACCTTGTTGTGCAGCTGTCACCACCAACCACCCATCTCCAGAGCTTTTTCCTCCTCCCAGATGGAAAGTCTGTCCCCCAGAAACAATTCCACATTCTCCCAAACCACCCGCCCCCCCACCACAAGCCCCTGGCAACCTCCATTCTTCCTTCTGTCCCTATGGATTTGGCTATTCTGGGAACCTCATAATCAGTGGAATCTACGGGATTTGTCCTTTTCTGCCTGGTTGATTTCACTCAGCATAATGTCCCCAAAGTCCATCCTGTTCTGGCCTGCGTCAGAGCTTCCTTGCATTTTTTTTTTTTTTTTTTTTTTTTTTTGAGACGGAGTCTTGCTCTGTCACCCAGGCTGGAGTGCAGTGGCGTGATCTTGGCTCACTGCAGCCTCCACCTCCCAGGTTCAAGCGATTCTCCTGCCTCAGCCTCCCTAGTAGCTGGGATTACAGGCATCAACCACCATGCCTGGCTAATTTTTGTATTTTTAGTAGATACAGGGTTTTACCATGTTGGCCAGGTTGGTCTCAAACTCCTGACCTCAGGTAATCTGCCTGCTTTGGCATCCCAAAGTGCTGGGTTTACAGGCGTGAGCCACCACGCCCAGCCCTCTTCTTTACTTTGGATGAGATCTGACATTCCTGAGGTGAATCTCGTATCCTCTCAGTGGGGAGAGGTGGTGTGTGTGTCGGGTGAGAGGACTTTAAATGTGATGCCGTCTTAATACAACTAAGGATCTCTCAAAACACCCAAATGTACCCTGAAAATAGTTGGAGTTGGGTAAAAGTTAGCTCAGGGGTGGTGTGCGGTGGGGATGGCCCCTCAGGCCTCCAGCCCTGGTGCCAGCAGGAGAGTTTGTGTCTGGACGTGAAGTTTGGGGGCCTCTAGCTCCTGAGGATGGTTTTTGAGGAGGGAGAGAATCTCTAGAGACTGGTGGACTTAAGGCTCAGGGCTGCCTTTAGGAAGACAGCATGACACAGGGCCTCTGGGTTAGAGCAATTTCTAGAAAAATAATGGCAGGGAACATTCCAGAAAAACAGCACCAGAGAACCAGCTCCTCAAAGGTGGAGACTTGGAGAGTGGGGAGCTGCTCAGGAGCTCACACAGTGCTGTGAAAACAGTTTTTCAGCATTAGAGGCAACCACACATTTTAGGAGCAATTCCAGTTGCCCGAGTTTTTCCAGGGTCTCCCCTCCAGTGTGGCCTGCACTGGTCCAAGATTCCGTCGGGTGAAGGTCAGCCTGTCACCAGCAGCGGGAGCAGCAGCAGAGCCCTCCTTTGCCGCTCACTCTGGCCCTGAGTCCTGAGCCACCGACTTCACTGAAAAACTCCCATGTCCACTTCACTGGCAATGGACATTAGTTAGGCTACACAGTTATCTAGGACTTTGAATGAGCCGAGATAAAATTTATTTAGCAAAAAAGTGTCTTAAGGATATGTATGTGCATGTGTGACTGTGTGTTTTTGTGTGTCCACACTTGTCTGTGTGTGCGTCTATGTATTTGTGTATGTATATGTGTGTGTGTGTGCCTGTGTGAATGTATAAGTGTGTCTCCGTGTGTGAGTATGAGTGTGTCTGTGAGTTCATATGTCTATGCATGAATGTATCTGTGTGTGAGTGTATATGAGTATGTCTGTGTGTGTGTCTACACGTGTCTGCATGTGAATGTGTATGTCTGTGGAGTATGTTTCTGTGCATGAGTGTGTGTGTGAATGTGTGTCTGTCAATGTATCCGTATGTGTCTGTGAGTATATATCTGCGTGTGTGTGTGAATGTGTCTGAATGTGTGTATCTCTGTGTATGTGTCTGTGCCTATGTGTGTATGAGAGTGTGAGTCTGTGAGGGTATGTGTGTGTCTGTGTATGTGAGTTTGTGCCTGAGTGTGTTTGCATCTGTGTCTGAGTGTGAGTGTGTGAATGTGTGTATGAATGTGTGTGTCTGAGCATGTGTGTGTATCTGTGAGTGTGTCTGTGCATGTGTCTGTGCGTGTGTCTGTGAGTGTGTGTGTGCCTGGGCATGAGAATGTGTGTGTGTGTGTCTGAGCGTGAGTGTGTATCTGTGTGTGTCTGTGCATGCCTGTATGTACTGGTGCATTGCTGTGGTCACTGTGGTAAAGCAGGTGCCTGGCTTTACCTGGTGTAAGGGGGACAAGCTGTGTCTCTCATGCCCCCCATCCTCTTTGCGTGTCTTCCGGCCCCTCCCAGACAGCCAGGAGTGGCGCTGGCAGCAGAGCCAAGCTGGCTTCACCCGTGTGCTCCCTGCTCGGGAGGGCTTGTGCTTGGCTCAGTGCTCTGCCGTCACCATTGTGAGATTCAAACAAGGGCCTCCCAGTTGCATTTTGCTCTGAGGACTATAATTCGTGTAGCTGGATCTGGTGGGGACCTCTTGCAGCATGGGGCGACTTCAAATAGAAGCCAGTCTGGAAGCTGTGTGCGAGTGTGTCTGCCGGGGGAGGCTGTGTGGCACCCGGCCAGCCGGGAGGGCCCGACTCTTTCCCTGCCGCCCTGGAGGGGAGTCCAACACGAACCCCACCCTTGTGCTCTGCCAGCCTGAGGCCCCGTGGCAGGTGCTGGCCTCTTTGCAGGGTGGCGCCGGCTGTCCCCAGGCCGAGATGTCAGGCTCAGGTGGCCGAGGACATTAATCACTTCTAGGCCTCTGGCCCTGTGCATGAGGCAGAGCAGAGGGAGACGGCTGGTGGGCTGGTGGCAGGGGGCAGGCGGTGTGGGAACGTGTGTGTCTGGGTGCGGGAGTATGGGCTGGGGTTTTAATGCGCATCCTGTGTTCCTGGCACCTGACCCCTGGACCCTGGCACGTGCGCACAGGAGGGCAGCTCGCTCAGCTGCAGCTCCAGGCTGCTCCCTGCCTTGGCCCGACATGCTCCTTCTAGTCCTCACTGCTGTCCCCGGAGATGCAGGTTGGCAGCTGCCCTGCACGTCCCCAGTCTCCGGCTGACGGGGAGCAGCCTGCGTCCCACCCCTGCTGTCTCCTGCCCTGCTGCCTCGTCACCTGCTTTGCCCGCCTGGGGCGTTGTCACACTGCCACTGGCTGACACATTGCCCGGTGAGCCCCACTCCACAGGGGAGGAGGCGGGGCAAGGCTGGGAGGGACACTGGTCCCAGCCCCCTCACCCATGGAGCTGCATGACTTGGGCAATTCACTCAAGCCTGGGCCTCGGTGTCCTCGACTGCACAGGGGAGACCTGGCTTGGTGACTTTCAACGGGCTTTGTGGACCACTGAGGTTGAGGGTTGCTAGGACTCAGAACTCGGCACAGCCACCATCCTCGAGGTGACAGCTTATTCTAGTGAACGGATGCAGAGGAAAACCAGCCATGGGGAGCAGCGCAGAGGCAGGGCAGGGTCCCGGGGACCAGCCAGGAGCTCTGCTGGTCCTCTCGCAGCAGCCATGCGGGACAGCACATATGGGTGTTGCCAGCCAGGGACGCTCACCCCCGCCCTGGTGTCCAGAGTTTTACTGGGTCTCAGTCATGGAGACGTGACTGACCACCCAGGTGCTGACCTCAATCTCCAGCCACTCCAAGGGTCAAGCTGACATGGTGGGGCCCGAGGTAAACAGGGATGCTCTTTCAGGCAGGCTACTCCAAGGGCTTAGGGGTGACCTCCCAGGAGCCAGGGTCAAGGGCCAAACCTTCCAGGTAAGACTGACGCTTGACAGTGTGATGATGGATGCTGTGATCCTGACAGCATGGACAGGACAGGTAAAGGGGAGGGGATGGGTGGGGAGCCGTCTCCTCTCAGCAGGGAAGCAGGGCTGTGGCCTCCTCCCTCTTGAGGGGCTCTGTTCCCCGTACCCACCCTGGTCCTGGCTAGCTCGGTCCCACCTCTGAGCTGGGTGGGCTGCAAAGCCGGGGCCATTCCAGGGCCAGAGGGCTTAGGACTTGCAGGACACACCTTTGCTTGCCGTCACTGGCAGGTCTCTTGCTCTGCTTCCTTGAGAGCATGGCAGGAGCACTCTGTGGGGAGTGTGAGCCCTGGGGGTGGGGGCGTGGGGTGTGCAGGCTCCCAGGGATGGCCCCATCTGCCGAGAGGGCTGCCTGCCCTTCAAGAGAGAAGCAGAATAGAAACTGGCCTTTGTTTCTTCCGATTTTTATGCTGAGTTCAAAGCTCGGGCTTCCCCAGCTCCTTGGTTTACCTCCGGAGCATCTGTTTCGGGGGCCCGGTGTCCCCAGGCCTTAGGGGGAGCTGCCAGCCCCGGGCTTCTCTTGGTGCTTCCCGGGTACAGCATCCTGAAGACGCGTCTCCCGCGATGGCTGGCTTTCTCCTTCTGGCCGTTCCTGGCCGTGGCCGCCTCGGCCCTCCCTTCATTTGGAGGAAATGTTCTATTTATGCCATCTCCACCCTCCCTACGACGGGAAAACAATTTTCCAAATTGTTTCTCTTGAAAGCAGGAAAGCTGGAGCGAGCCTCTGTGGGCCCAGAGCTAGACACCACTCTGCGGCTTTCCTTCCTCAATGCCTTCCTGTGGGTTTGCTCATTTGACCCCTACTCTGCACCGTGTTGCTTCTGTTAGGGAAGGCACGGCAAGGGGGCCTCAACCCCGGTTTTGCACGGGGAGCCTGAGGCCTGGCTTGTTCTTGCAGGTCCTCCTCCCAGGGGCTGTTCCGCCAGGCCTGCCCTTCCAGTGGTGGGAGAAAAATCCAGTAGGCTTCCCCACAGCCGTCCAGGCCCCAGCTCCCCCAGCCTTCAGGGATTACAGTGTTTCCCCCACGTGGGTATGAGCCAGGCTTTGGAGACACCTAAGCAAGCCCAGGGAAACTCGTGTACAAGGCACTTTCCAGCACCATCCGACCCGGAGGACTTGGGGCCCCGGCCAGGCCATCACAGGGGCTTCCGTGAGGCGCCCCCATCCCCGCCTGCCCGCTTCTCCCAAACAGTGTCACTCGCACATTTGTAGCTGCTGTCATAGATCGTATATAGTGGGTCTGTGCGCTTGAAAGAGTGATAGATCACTTTCACTGCCATGTCTCGTGATTAATTTCCCATAATAGTCCTCTCTAACACCAAGGCGAAAAGAGGAGAGAGAGAGAAAAAAACCTACATTATCCACTTGTGCTCAGAGTATAAATGAATTAGATTTAATTTCTGTTTAATTGTTTCCATAGCTCAGCCTCTGCTGACTTCACAGGATAATTTATTTTGCAGTCCTGGGGAAAAGGAGGAGGAGGGAGGGGAGAGACGGAGGATGTAGCCAAGTGGTCTGCCTGTGGATACTGTTTAATTACACCTGATAGTCTTATCTCCATGTAATTATGGGAGTCTCGTTCGGTTTCTCCGGCTGCCTCCTGTCTGCACTTCAGGATCAATACCGGGTCAGACCTCGGGCTAGCTGCTTTCAAGAAGGTGAGGGATCTGCCGGGAGCTTTGGTGTTGAGTCAGGAACAGGCGAGGCGGCTCCTGAAGTTGCCAGAGGGAAGGAAGGATGGAGATCATGTGTCTCAGAAGCGGAAATTTCCTGATGTTTCCGTCGATGTTACCGAAATGATAACTTTCCCCCAACACAATCTATTTAATGACCGTGGGGTTTTTCCCTGGCCTTCCCTCTTTGAAGCTGTGGGTGAGAGGCCAGTGGTGGGCTGGGTGGGGTTTTCACTGCACCTTGGAGTTTTTGAGTTGTCCTGACAATCTCTCTCCCTGCTGAGTAATTGAAGCACTGAGCAAGAGCTCAGCCATAGGAATGGGGGCCCCTGAACCCCACTCCCGCTTCCAAAGTTCAGAACTCTTCCTTTCGTCTCATCCTCCATCATTTTCCTCCTTCCTTTCTTTTGTTTTTGTTTGTTTTTTTTTTTTTTTTTGAGACAGACTCTCACTGTATAGTCCAGGCTGATGTGCAGTGGCATGATCTTGGCTCCCTGCAACCTCCGCCCCCTGGGTTCAAGCGATTCTCCTGCCTCAGCCTCCCAAGTAGCTGGGATTATAGGCACCTGCCACCATGCCCGGCTAATTTTTTATTTTTAGTAGAGGCAGGGTTTTACCATGTCGGTCAGGCTGGTCTTAAACTCCTGACCTTAAGTAATCCACCTGCCTCAGCTTCCTAAAGTGCTGGGATTACAGACGTAAGCCACTGCGCCCGGCCCTCCTTTTTCTTATTGTGATAAAATACACATGACATAACACTTACCACACGAACCATTTTGAGGGCACAGTTCAGCCAGTGGCATTCGGCACCTTCACATTGCCGTGCAATCGTGACCATCCACCTCCAGAACGTTCTCATCTTCCCCAACCAAAGCTCGGCCCCTATGAAACACCGGCTCCCCATTCCCATCCCCAGCCCAGCAACCCCCATTCTACCTTCTGTGTCTACGAGTATGACTCCCCGAGGGGTGGACTGTGGATTGTACGACATCCGACCTTTTGTGTCTGGCTTGTCTCGGCGTCACGTTTTCGAGGTCCATCCATATTGCAGCGTGTGTCAGAGCTTCCTTTCTTCCTGGGGCAGGGATCGTTCCAGCGCATCGCGTCCATCCGTCTGTCCGTCCATCCATCCATGCACAGTGTGTTGCTCCAGCGTGCTTTCGGAGGGCACACCTGGGGAGGCCCCAAGTCTGTGGCTCCATCTCGCTGCTCCTAGCTTCTCATCTGAGTTACCTGAGACTTTCCATCCCGTCTCTACCATCTGGGCCAGGCTCTCAGGAGTAATTAGAGGAATGAGGGTCCCAGGACCTCCTCTGGGGATGAACTCTGACCTCGGGGCGTGAACAGAGCTCTGGCTCTTTCTAAGGCCTGGAGCCCCTCTGGGCTGGACGTGAATATTTATGAAGCAGCTCTTTTGAGTTAGCCTCATTTAATCCTACATGGGGTGAGAGCCTGTGTCTCTCTGCCCAGGAGCTGGGTATCCTGGTTCTCCAGGGCAGGGGGCAGGCCCGGGCATGCTGGTAGAAAGGCAGGGGTGCCCAGGGAGGGGAGTGTGGCCACACGTGGGCATTTCATAGAACTCATGGCCACCTGCGTTCTCTTCAATTCAATGTCTGTCCCTTCTTACTTTTATCTTAAGCCCCGTGGGGATGGGAGTATTTTAGGCAATGGAAATGGTTCATTTTTCTTCGTTTGTTGTGTTGAACATTTGTCATGCCCAGAGAATGCAGACTGATACAGCAGCAGCTGGTGCTCCTGGCCAGGCTGTGCGTGCTCTCTCTGCCTCTCTCTCTCGGACTCTCTGCTCTCTCTCTCTGACTCTCTCCTCTCTCTCTGTTGGCCTGGTGAAATGTTCTTGGCTGTAGGCACACAGAGCCTTGGACTCAAGGCTGTTGGAGTCGAGGACACCTTGACTTCGGTCCTGGAGGTGAGCGCCTCGATTAAAGCTAGGTTTCTGGAAGGAAGAAGATAAACTATGTTCCTTGCTGGAGAAGGCCTGTAGCCAATCCACCCAGCAGCAGTTTAGTCCCTGTGATGTGCTAGTAGCGTGTGGGGCTCGGTGCAGGGGTGAAGGGTGGCGACGGACTCTGAAGCGGTGCAACCTCAGCCGGGAGCCTCGAATGCCTGCCCACCACACTAACATGGTGTGTGGTTGCCACAGCAAGGACCCAGAGAAGGGGCAGATACCTCCTTGAGGAGGGTGGGTACTTAGGGGCAATGTGGGAGGTGGCATTGGGTTGAAACTGAAAGGCAAACAGGTTTTCTGATGGAGGGAAGAGAAAACATCCTCAAGGAAAGAGCAGAGCAGAGACTCTGAGAAGGAACTGTGCTGCCAGCGGCCAGCATTTCTCGTTTTTTCTATGTGCTGGTGGCTCTTCTCCGATTGCGGTTCTCTTGTAACCCTGTCGATGAGCTCCTGCAAGTCTCAGGGAAGGGGATCAGTGTAACACAGGAGATGGGAGAGACCTGGGGTACAAGTGGCTTGACACATGGCCGGGAGCTGCGTGGGGGTCAGATGGGGGAGTGGCTGGATCACTGGGCCCTGGGCCATGTGCTGTCTCCCAGCTGTAGGCTGGGCACTGCACACCCCCAGGGGCCCCAGCTATGAGGTGACCTGGCCTGGGGAGCAGTGGGAGGCTTGCCACAGGGCTTCACCAGAGCAGGGCTCTGCTGATCCAGATGGAAGCTCAGCACTTGGCTTGAGTGTTGCTCCTCCGGAAAGGGTCTTCTGCCCTTCTGCCAAGTTCTACCTTCCCGTAGATGTGTGGGTGGGGCCAGATGTTACCAGGTGCACCCAGGCTGAGGGACCCAGGCAGAGGCCAACTTCTGCCTCAGGACACCCGAAGGTGTGTTGGAGAGTCGGGAGAATTCCCTCACCCCAGGCAGCAAAGAGGTGACGGCTCTAGGGAAGTGGGGATTAGGAATGGGGCAGCGCCGAGCCCCAGCCTCCTGTCTGGTCTTTCTGGAAAGCTCCCCATCCTGTCCCACCAAGTCCCAAGAGAACAGCTCCACATCAACCACAGCTTCTGCACGGTTCCATTTCACAGTGCACAGAGGACGTTCACATGCACTGGGCCATCTTTGTCCTTCCCAAGCTGTGGCCTTAACCAAATAGAAATGCTCCAGGGTCCAGTGGATCCACATGGCCTGGGGGGATGCAGATGCCACCCAGAGGCTTGTGCTAGATGCTGTGGGTTAGGGCCAGGGTTACTAGGGGTGGCTGTGGTGTTGCTGAGGGACACTAGGGGTGTGGTGGCAGCCAGGGAAACTTGCCTGTGGCCCCAGAGCCTGTCGGGCAGTGGCCACAAAAGGGCAGGATATCGCTGTGTGGTTGCCGAGATCCAGGAGACAGCGGTGCTTTGTCAAGATCACAACAACGAGGCGTGACTCAGGCCACCTGGGTGTGTGAGGCCACGCACCCGTGACCTCATCTGTGAATGTGGTGGTTCTAGAACCTACCTGGCAGGTGTGAGAGGACTCAGTGAGGCAATAGTGGCCCACTGCTTGGACCAGTGCTGGGCCCAGGGAGTGCATGTCTGCGTGACCGCCGAGTGTGTACCCGTGTGTCGGATACCCAGGTGCATGTTCTGAATGTAGCCCACTGCAGAGGTGCATGCTGTTGGGAAGGGTGGGGTGAGGGGGTGCCTGGCTGTGTGGACGCTGGGAGGTGAGCAGAATCCCAGGAGTGTTGGCCGCGTTTTCTGCTGCTTCCAGTGGCTTCCTCTGTCCAGCACAGGGTGGAGATGGTAGGAGGCTGTCATAGGCAAGTCTGATACACATGGTCCCCACCCAGCAACTCCAGAGGGGTAAATACCAGGAAAGTACACCGATTGGCCTGGCTGAGGTCACGTGCCTGCCCCTGGACCAATCACAGTGCTTCAAGGATTGGCAGGTCTGGTCACATGCCCATGGTGGGCAGGGCATCTTGATTGGCAGCCCTAGCCAAATTCCAAGTTAGACTAGGGGAAGCAGGGGTGAGCTGGCTACCAGATGTGCAGGGGCAGGCCCAGAAGGCCAACCACAGAGGCCCACTAGGGCACGCGGGCCCCCATAGACCCAGGAACCACACTCGGGAGAAATGGCTCTGTGTGCTGGCCCCAGGAGGCTGTGTGAAGTGCCCAGCGCCTGTACCGCCTCACTGACGGTTCTTTCTGGTAGGCAAGCTTGTGCGGCTCCCACTGTGGAGTGGAGGACACTGGAGCTCAGAGAGATCATGCAGCCTGCCCGAGGCCACGTGGCTGGTAAGAGGCAGAGCTGTGATTCAAACTCAAGCAGTCTGGTTCCAAGGAGGCCCTTTCACCACCCTGCTGTGCCATTTCACCAAGAAAGGCCCCCACTGTGGGGATGGGGGTCCACAGGAGGATGGGGGTATGGTCAGGGCAGCTGTGCCTGATGGTGAATGCTTCCAGGTATGTGCCACCTGGCCATGGCACAGCCATGCCCAATGGTGAATGTATTCAGATGTGTACCACTTGGCCACGGGGCCATGTTTGATGATGACATGCATCCTGGTGTGGGCCACCTGGCCGTGGGGCCATGCCTGGTGGTAACATGTATCTGGGTGTGTGTCACCTGGCCATGGGACCGTGCCCAATGGTGACATGCATTCGGGTGTGTGTCCCCTGGCCATGGGGCTGTACCTGATGGTAACATGTATCCAGGTATGTGTCCCCTGGCCATGGGGCTGTACCTGATGGTAACATGTATCCAGGTGTATGTCCCCTGGCTATAGGACTGTACTTGATGGTAACATGTATCTGGGTGTGTGTCCCCTGGTTATGGGGCTGTACCCGATGGTAACATGTATCTGCATGTGTGTCCCCTGGCCATGGGGCCGTACCCGATGGTAACACGTATCCGGGTGGGTGTCCCCTGGCCATGGGGCTGTACCCGATGGTAACATGTATCTGGGTGGGTGTCCCCTGGCCATGGGGCTGTACCCGATGGTAACATGTATCTGCATGTGCGTCCCCTGGCCATGGGGCCGTAGCCGATGGTAATACGTATCCGGGTGTGCGTCCCCTGGCCATGGGGCCGTAGCCGATGGTAACACGTATCCGGGTGTGCGTCCCCTGGCCATGGGGCCGTACCCGATGGTAACACGTATCCGGGTGGGTGTCCCCTGGCCATGGGGCCGTACCCGATGGTAACACGTATCCGGGTGGGTGTCCCTTGGCCATGGGGCTGTACCCGATGGTAACACGTATCCGGGTGGGTGTCCCCTGGCCATGGGGCCGTACCCGATGGTAACATGTATCCGGGTGTGCGTCCCCTGGCCATGGGGCTGTACCCGATGGTAACATGTATCTGGGTGGGTGTCCCCTGGCCATGGGGCTGTACCCGATGGTAACATGTATCTGGGTGGGTGTCCCCTGGCCATGGGGCTGTACTCGATGGTAATATGTATCCGGGTGTATATCCCCTGGCTATAGGACTGTACTCGATGGTAACATGTATCCAGGTGTGCGTCCCCTGGCTATGGGGCTGTACCCGATGGTAACATGTATCCGGGTGGGTGTCCCCTGGCCATGGGGCTGTATCCGATGGTAACACGTATCCGGGTGGGTGTTCCCTGGCCATGGGGCTGTACCCGATGGTAATATGTATCCGGGTGTATATCCCCTGGCTATAGGACTGTACTCGATGGTAACATGTATCCGGGTGTGCGTCCCCTGGCCATGGGGCTATATCCGATGGTAACATGTATCCGGGTGGGTGTCCCCTGGCCATGGGGCTGTACCCAATGGTAACATGTATCTGGGTGGGTGTCCCCTGGCCATGGGGCTGTACTCGATGGTAATATGTATCCGGGTGTATATCCCCTGGCTATAGGACTGTACTCGATGGTAACATGTATCCAGGTGTGCGTCCCCTGGCTATGGGGCTGTACCCGATGGTAACATGTATCCGGGTGGGTGTCCCCTGGCCATGGGGCTGTATCCGATGGTAACACGTATCCGGGTGGGTGTCCCCTGGCCATGGGGCTGTACCCGATGGTAATATGTATCTGCACGTGTGTCCCCTGGCCATGGGGCTGTACCCGATGGTAACGTGTATCCGGATGTGTGTCTCCTGGCCATGGGGCTGTACCCGATGGTAACATGTATCTGGGTGTGTGTCCCCTGGCCATGGGGCTGTACCCGATGGTAACATGTATCCGGGTGTGCGTCCCCTGGTCATGGGGCTGTACCCGATGGTAACATGTATCCGGGTGGGTGTCCCCTGGCCATGGGGCTGTGCTAGATGGTAACATGCATCTGGCCCATGTTGCCTGACAGATAAATTCTCACCTGACATCACGGTTCACTGCAGGGTTACCTCCTCTATTAAGCCCTTCCTGCTGCTGCCCTCACCCCACACGGGCAGAACTGCTGCATCCCCTTTGCTTTTGCTGTGCAGCTCTTGCTCACAGAGCCCTCCAGCAATTATCCCATTTCCACGACTCCTCCTCTGCAAGACCAAGAGCCTCATGGGCAGGACGATCATCCCTAAACTGTCTTTGTGTCCCCAGCCCCGACACATATTAGGCACTGAAAAGGGGGTAGTTTAAAACCTAAATGCATAGGTAACATGTCATACTGCATGACACCCCACGACACTGCACACACACAGAGTTTCGTCTAAGCGGATATCTGGACATCACAACCCTGCAAACACCTCCTGGCCCAGGGAGAGTCCCTTCCCGTTTCTTCCCTGACCCTCAGGAGGACACAGCCCAGGTGGAGGCTCCCGTGAGCCCTCTGCCAGCCAAGCAGTTGTTCTGCTTGACCTTGGTGCCCCTGCGTGGATGAGGACAGTCCTGGCAGAGCCTTTCCCTGTTAGCACAGCCCTGAATGTTGCCTGGGGCTGGAGGAGGTTCTGGGGGGCAGCCTCAGATTTTCTATTTGGACAAAGGAGGCCGAGGTTCTTGGCTCCTGGGATGCATTCGGCCCTGTGGGCTTTGCTTCCATCTCCCTCTCCTTCTCCCTAGGATGCTGCTGCTTGGGGGTACACTTTGGCCCAGGGGAAGGTAGAGCGAGGCCCCTGGTGGAAGCCCCAGGTGCTCGCCCCGAGTCCTGGCTGCCCTCCCCTGCCCTCCACTGTGCCTGGCCAGCAAGGGAGGCGCCCAAAGGAAAAAGTTTGGTGACGGATGCCAGGGAAACGTCCTCCGTCCTCATCCCCTCCATTAATCACCCGCTCGTAGGGGCGCTGGGCCCTGTTTAAGATGCACTGGTGGTTCTGAGGTGAGCGCAGGCATTCCCAAGCTCTGCTGTTAATCTGCTCCCTCCCAGACAGGCTACCTCAGGCCTGTTAATCACTTGCTGTAATTACAGCCCCAACTTTACACGGGGAATGTTAATGGATGCCTGGGATGGAGGGGCTGCGCAGGCACGGTGCCCCTCTCCCTGTGGCCCCGAACATGAAGGTTATGGGATTTGGTGCGGCTGAGGGTGCACAGAAATGAGTGTGTCGTCTGAGGGTAGGGTGGCTGGGTGCCAGCAGCAGGGGCAGCTTGCCTTGGCCCCTTGTCGTGTCCTGCGTGCTTGTCAGACCTGGCGGTGGGTGCGCAGCGGGTCAGGTACAAAGTATTTAAAGTGGGGGCTTGGCGGGACAGGGCTTGCTGGTTACAGGGAGCCGAGAGTCCCGGGGCCTGGCCGGGAGGATGGAACTTGTTGCCGATGGGAAGGGCTGGTGGCTTTTCCGTGGCACCTCTGTCGACACCAGACAATTCCACCACCCGTCCACTGCAGGAGACTTGGCTGCTGACCTGCAGGGCCAACTTCTGGTGGGTGGGCCGGGCTGTTGGCAGAGTTGCGTGAGGCCATTCACGCCGCCACTTGAGGACCAGAGGTAATGCTGTGGATGCTCCTTCTGCATTGACTCCTGTTGTAAAATTGATTTTTCTTGGGTTATGAAGGTAATATGTGCATATTAGAAAATATTTGGTTGTGCCTCCTCTCCCAGGCGTCATGCCCAAGTAAGTAGGATTGGAAGGATCTTTGCTGATGACATAGTGCAGTGCCTGCTCTTGGCAACTGGGGAAGCTGAGGCTCAGGGAGGGGTGGAGAGTCCTTGAGTCCATGGAAGCACAGGGCAAGGCCCTGGGCTCCTGGCTTCTCCCTCCATGCACAGCCCGGAGCTCCCAGCCCTCACCCTAACCCTGGGCTCTACCCCAGCTGTCACCGAGGGCCTGGGGTGCGACGGCTGATGGATGACGGAGGGAAAGGAAGGGACGGGTCCCTGAGGCCTCATAGCTCTCCCAGGCGCCGACCCTGCCATGGAACCGTTAGTATAAGGGAAGGAGGGGTTGGGGTGGGGAATGGTATGGCCATTTAGACCAGCCGGAGAACCAGCTAGAACGCTGTTACGATACAAGTGCCTGCCTGCCCTGGACTCAGACTCCGTCGGCCTGAGCATCGGTCAGTTTCCAAGCTCCCCAAGTGTTTCTGGACCTGCAGGTGAGGTCACAGTGAACAAATATACCCGCAGAGTGGGAGCCTGGGCCCCTGGCTTTGCTGAGCTATGTGCTCTGGGGCTGGAGGGGGTGTGGGGAGGACCAGGGCCCTTCTCTTCTTGTCCGTTTGTGTAGCCTCCGTAGCTCCAGCGTCCTAGAGAGAGACAGCCACCCACGCTGAAACACCGGCTCTGGCGCTCCTATCGACCAGGCCGCCTTGGGGACCCCGCTGTCCTCCTGCTGTGTCCCGGCTCTGCAGCCCCTTGCCCGGATCCCTCCACAACCTCATGGGGGCAGTGGTTGATTTAGACCCCAGGGCCGGGGCCCTGGGGCTGGGTCATTCAGACCGGCCAAAGAACCAGCTGGAACGCTGTTACAATACTAGTGTCTGCCTGCCCTGGGCTCTGACTTCGTCAGCCTTCGGGGGGCCCGGACGTGGGTCAGGCTCCAAGCCCCCCAGGTGTTTCTGACCTGCAGGTGAGGTTGAGAGCCTGATGTGGACTGGGGGTGTGGTCTGAGGCTGCAGGAGAAGTTTTAAAATCTGTGATGCAAGAAGTCCTTGGCTTTGGTGTGCCCTGTAGAAGCCGAGGGATGCAGCCAGGGGCACCTCGCATGGACGCCTGCCGCCCGCCTCAGCCCTCTGCCCTGGGGACACATGGCTGTGCTGGCAGCAGCAGGTGTGTGGGGTGTGCGGGGTGTGTGGGGTGTGCGGAGTGTGGGGTGTGCACGGTATACCGGGTGGGCTCTCCAAATCTCCCAGCGAGGGGGCTGTGCACAGCCCGAAGCTTCCCTTGCTGGGGCAGAGGACGCTGGCTGGCAAGGATCCAGCAGGTGGACCTGGGGCCGGAGCGCCCACCCCAACCCCAGATGAGTCATTAAAACTCCAGTCAGCTTCGGCCGAGCCAGCGCGGTGCTGCAGAGGCCTGTGGGGGTGCGGGGAGCAGAGAGAGGAGGGAGGCACTGAGAAGAATAACAACAAGGGAGGCAGTGGGCGGCCTCGGGCGGTCAGGGAGGCGGTGGGCGGCGGCCCAGCCTCGGGCAGGCAGGCGGAGGAGGTCGGGCTGGGCTGGCGGCTCAGGACGCCCCCAATGTTGGCAAACCTCCAGGGAGCAATGTGGCTGGGGTGGCAGCACTGGGTCACCAGCCACTAAGCCTCCCTCCGGAAGGCCCCTGTGCTGGAGGAACCCCCTCTCGGGGAGCTGACGCTGGCCTCCATGGCACCTGCTCTTCCCAGCGGCCCACCGGGTGGGCTTTTCTAGAAGGCCAGCGAGCGCAGGGGCTGCCGTCATTTTCATGCAGGGATTTCCTTTCTGCCCCGGTTTCACCGTGGCCTCTGGAGTCTGCTGGTGTTTTCCATGTTACCAGGCAGTTTACAAATCGGTCCCATTGAGGCTCCTAAATCCACGGGCCAGACCCTGACTTGTGTCCTCAACAGCATCCATGTTCCTAAGCCCCATTCAGGTCTTTGGTGGGAAGAGCTAGAGAAAAGCTGTCTGGTGAAGGATTCTGGTGGCAGATGCTGGAGTGTGTGGCCCCCTCACTGGCCCTGTCACTGTGATGGGCTGCCCAGGCCCAGGAAGGCTCAGCTTCCCCAGGGTGGGTTTTCCTGGCCTGCTCTGTGCAACCTCATTGGTGCGTGCCTTGGTTCTCTCACCTGTAAAGGAGAGAGGAGACTCTCCCTTTGGGGTGGTCATTAGAGAAGTCTCTGGAAACTTCTAGAAGGGTCTCATTATCAGTGAAGAGACCTCATGGACATCTCCTGAGGATGCAAGATGTGGCCAATGTCTCTGAGTGGCAGTACCAGCTGTGGCTTGTCTGACATGGGGGCTCTTGTCTGAGGAGAGGGGAGGGCTTCTGTTTCTTCTGAATCTCTTTTGACCTGGGATATGGACTGGACAATGGCAGGGGAGTAGGACTGCCCACCCTTCCCCGTCTCCACCCTGGGGCTGAGAATGGAGTTGACGAGAACCCACCCAGCATCCCGCGGGCACCTGACATGTGGGGCGGGGACTGCCAAGCAGGAGCCCCATTGTGGCGCCCCCATGGACGCCAAATTTAGGCCCTCCAACCTCAGAATTATAAGTCTCGGGCCCTGCTTAGGCCTATACTGCTGAGAGGAGACAGGGGTCTTCAGGGGGTGACTGCCCCATTTAAAACACCTGAGTGGCAGGTGGTGTGGGCGCAGCCAGTGCTCTGAGGCCCTGGCGGTTGTGTCTGATGGGATGGCAGAGGTACCCAGTGGTGTCTGATAAGAAGCAGGCGGGATGGAGCACCGCTTGGTCTGCTGCAGGGTGTGGAGAATGGGGCTGTGTCTCCAGCCTCCCCCGGGGGTCTGCCATCACCACCAGGCCCTCCGGCCAGGCTCCTCCGCTCTCCTGCCCCCAGGGCTCCCAGGCAGCATCAGATTCCACCAACGGGCTCCAGCTGCCTCCTGAGGGTGGATCCCGATTTCTCAGGCAGATGCTTGCCAGCCCGCAACAACCCAGAGTACCCATCCTAGGCCACATCTGCGCAGGCCTCCTGTGGTGACTGGGTTAGAGGCTTTGTCTCTAGAACTTCCCATCCTCTGGATCGTGGGGGCACTGGAGAAGGGTTCCAGCTTCCCAGCTGGGCTGCGTCAGGATTCCATGTTCTGCCGGAAGCGGCCGCCGCTCCTCTGCGGCCCCCATCCTGATTCGTTTCTCCTCGGTGCTTTGGTCCTGTCTCCCATCCAGACTCACTGAGCCCACCTTGGCCCCAGCTTCCAACCTCTGACAAACAGAACAGGGTGAAGGGGCTGGCCCGCTCAGCACTCCAGTCCCCAGGCCTGGCCGCGGCAATTGGCTTCCTTGGCTCTTTCCTCGCCATCTGGGGTCCAGCTCCCCGGTCATGGCCTGAGAGGCTCTGTGGCCCGGGGCAGTGCTGCAGGAAGGTAGGGGGCCACTGGAGCACTCCTCTTGGGACATCTGACAATATTTAGAATCTAAGAGGGGGCTGGGAGTGTGGAGGTCACCCAGCGCAGCCTCTGGCCCAGCTCCCCACAACAGACAGATGGCCGCTCGGCATCGCCTTGAATTTCCCCATGCGTGATGCAGTGATCGTGGGAGCCAAGGATGAGCCGAGTCCGTGTACCTTTGCTGCTTCTCAAGAAGAGCCACACAGCCAAGCCAGGCAGGAAACTGGCCCCCTCAAGTCCCTCCCCACCCCTTCTGGACCCTCCTCCTGGCACTCCCTCCTCCCTTTTCTGGCTCTGATGGAGGAAAGTCTAGAAGTGGAGATGTCCGGGGGCATTCCCTTTGCGAAGCAAGGTCCACAGGGATGTGGTATCAATTTCCTCATCTCTCTTCTGGCTTTCCCTTACTCTTCCTCAAACGCTTACTTCTCTGTTATTCTTAGCCTGGGAACTTTAAAACGTTTGCCATAAGCATCTATGTGTTTGGTGCATATGGGAGTAAGGGAAGGGGGAGGCGTCCAGGCTTGAATCCACCTGTAGCCACTTAGGAGGGCTGTGACCTTGGGCCAGTTATGCTCTTAGCCTTTGCTTCCTCAGCTATAACATAGGGGCCATGCCAGACCCCACCTTGGTTGCCTGGATTCAGTGAAATATGCAGGCTATGCATTCAGCATCGTGCCTAGTGTTTACAGCATCAAGCACTTAATAGCAGCGATAGAGATCAATATCATGGTCAAAATGTCTGCCCTTAGAGGCGTGCGGTGTGGGGACCATCAGAGCAGTGCAGCACTGTCTCACCAGCTACCTCTTCACTTCCCCTTTGACCTTCATCCCAGACACCTCCAGGCTCATACACCTCTGCTTTTGCTCCCATTCCTGAGCTGGTGGTGGTACCTCCTTGGTGCTCTGACAGTGCCCATGTCTCAGTTTGGCTTTTCCCAGAAGCAGACTCCGCCATCAGTATCTAAGGGCAAGCACTGGGGGAGGTGAAGGAGACAGAAGAGGAGCTGGGGAGGTGGGACAGGGAAGAGAGGCAGCCCAGGGTCTGCTGCGGGCAAGTGAAGCTGAATCCCACTGGGGACCCTGAAGGCAAGTGTAGGACACACAGCTTAGGGGTCTCCAGCCCAGGGGAGAGGGAGCTGGGGTATTTATACACCCACCTCTGTTGTTCGTGGACTGAGGCTGCTCCAGGGGTACTCTGGACCCCAGGCAGGTGCTGGCAGTGGGATGGGGCTGCGTACACTGAAATGTTTAAAGCGGGGGTGTGGTGGGCCTGGGCGGGGTCTTCTGTAGATCCTCTTCTGAAGCGATCATGATGGTGGTGCTAATAGCTGATAGAGTTCCTTTGTGGTGCCAGAGTCTAATCCTCCCACTGTTCCACTTAAGCAGCTTCTGGGTGGCATCTCCTTGTGAACTTCTCTGCCTGCCCTGGGCCTCAGATGCCTGAGCTTTGGGGATGCTCAGAGCAGCTGGCCGGCCAGTGGGTGCTTTACCTTATTGGGTGCCAGCTCTCACTAGGCAATGCTAGAATCTCCCCAAGAACCATTTTCTTGTGGCAAATGGCCACATCACCAGGCCTCATCACCAGGGAGTGAACCGATCTCATCTCACCATCTCATCCCTCACGCACGTCCGCATCTGTATATGTTTTTAGTGCATATCTGTGGTTGGCTGAATAAGGGCCCCCAAAAGATAGTCATGCCCTAATCTGCAGAGCCGATGGATGTTACTTTATATGTCAAAGGCAGACTTTGTAGGTGTGATGAAGTGAAGGATCTTGAGCTGGGGAGATGGTGCTGGATTATCCAGGCGGGCCCTAAATGTAATCACCAATGTCCTTATAAAGGAGAGGCAGAAGGAGATTTGACACAGACAAAAGAGAAGGCCATGTGACCACAGAAGCAGAGACTGGAGCGATGCAGCCACAAGCCAGAGAGTTGCTGCAGCCCCAGAGGCTGGAAGAGGCAGGCAACGCTTCTCTCCTGGAGCCTCTGGAGGGAGCTCGGCCATGCTCACATCTTGACTTCAACTAGGGAACTGGCTTTGGACATCTGGTCTCCCTCAGTGAGAGAAGAAGCTTCTGTTGCTTTGAGCGACTCTATTTGTGGTCATTTGTTGCAGGAACAGGAGGAAACTAATGCTGTGTTGTAAAGAAATGTGCCACATTGCTAGTGAGCGAGCTACTCTGGGTGGGAGGGAAGCGTCCCATGGCCGATCTCTGACTCGGCGAGGGAGAAGCTAGGAGTTTTAAATATCTGCTGCCAACGGCTTTGTTACGGCGGCTCCTGCTATGCCAGGTTTTGATTGGGGTACATGCCAATGTCACAAACGCTTACGCGACTGAACGGTTGCATGTGGGCAAGCCCTGATTGGGGTGGCTGCTCCCTCTGCCTAAGCAGGTGATGTCTTTGGTCACAGGAACTCTCTCAGGGGACGGTGCTCAGGAGCTCGAGGTGAGCACCCTGCCACCTGGAGCACCCTGCCACCTGGAGCACCCTGCCACCTGGAGCACCCTGCCACCCCGCCCACCCACCTTCCCATTTCCTTGACTGGAGTCTGGAAGGTGGGTGTGCACAAGCTCCGCTGGAGTCTAAGTCGGGAGGAAGGGTTTTGCATCCCCGTCCTGGTCCAGGAGCCCCTGTGAGCTCTGCACCCCTCTGGATTCCATCAGGCAAACACCCTCCTTCAGATGGTGGCTGGTGTGGAGGAGCTGTGGCTTTAGAGCCTGTGTAGGAGAGCCGGGCAGAAGACAATCAGCTCCTGGGAACCGGCTTCTCTTCCCCTCCCAGTGGACCCCTACAACCATAGTGGGGCCCCATGTCCCTTGGTTGTGGGGCTGCAGGACACGGAGGGATCCCTCACCTGCACCGTGCAGTGTGGCAGCCCCGAGCCACACGCAGCCGTGGAGCTGGAGATGTGGGAGTTTGGGTGGAGACAGGCTGGCCGAGTGTCTAAAACACACATGGGGTACCAAAGACCACGTGCGAGGCAGAGGATGAGCAATCTCCCATTGATAGTCCCTGTATTGATTACATGTCAAAATGATAATAGTGTGAATATATTACGTTAAATACACATATCATGAAAATTACTTTTGCTTGTTTTCAATTTTTTAAAATATGGCTCCTAGAACATGTAAAATCCCATGTGTTAGCAGACGCTTTTGGGTGGCTGTGCCAGCTCCGGGGCAGAGGGAGACTGGCTTGTTTGCTGCAGATCTAATCTGAAGGGTCTGCTGCCTGAATTGGGCGCCCCATGCATATGGTGAACCCCTAAGCCCCTGTGGAATGGTATCTGTAGACAAAGCCTTGTGAGGTGATCAGGGTCAAGTGAGGTCAGGAGGTGGGGCCGTTGTGATGGGATCAGTGCCCTTATAGCAGGAGACACCAGGGAGCCTGTTCTCTCCCCTCTCTCTTCCACATGAGGATGCAGGGAACAGGCATCTGTCTGTAAGCACGGAAAAGCCCTCCACAAAACCCGACCACGCTGCTCCCTGATCTCGGACTCCCAGCCTGCAGAACTGTGGGAAATACCTGTCTCTTGTTTAAGGTCCCCAGTCTGTGATATTGTTATGGGGTCCTGAGCTGATCGGGACAGGACTTTGAAAGGGTTCTCTGTGAAAGGCTGGAGGAGGTTGGCCAGGGTGGTGGCGGCAGGGTCCCCCTCCTTGCAAGCCTGCTGGAACCCCGTGGACAGGGAGTGGGGAGGCCGGGCCTCCTCTCTCAAACTCTGGATCTGTGCCGAGGAACAGAATCCATGCTTTTCCACGGCATGAGTGAGTCGTGGTAAAGGCCGAAGAGGCAACAGCAAGGAATGGAACCCCGTTTTTCTCCAGTTCAAAGGCAAGATTGGAGCTGCTCCCTCTGCCCAAGCAGGGTTCCAGTTCCAGGCTGGGGGCATGAGATAAATGTTCCTGAAAGACACAGGAACTGACATCACATCACTGCACAGTTGTATCATGGTGAAACATTACATTTTTTACTGTGGTAAAATATGCATAACATAAAATTTACCATCTTGATGATTTTAAAGTGGCCCGTTCAGTGACATTAAGTGAACACACCTTGTGGTGTGGCCATCACCACCTTCCATCTGTAGAACTTTGTCATTTTTCCCCATGGAAACTGTCTCCATTAAACACCAACTCCCCTTCCCCCTCCCTGCCATCCCTGGCACCCCACCACCCTATTTTCCTTCTCTATGAATTTGGCTATTCTAGGTTCTTCCCATGAGTGGAGTATTAGTCCTTTTGTGTCTGGCTTATTTCATTTAGCCTAATGTTTTCAAGGTTCACTCATGTATCAGAATATAGTTTAATGTTTTCAAAGCCCTTTCATTTAACTAATCTCACTCCACTCTCTCCAGACCCTGTAAATAGGTTATATTAGCCCCATTTTTCAGATGAGCACATTGAGGCTTATATCAAGGCTCAGTGGGACCTGCTTAGTGGTCACGTGGCCTGTGAGTGTGGCAATGACCAGGGTTCTCAGATATTTCTCCAGGATCTGTCCACTTCACCCTGGCCGGGTGCTGCCAGCGTGTCCCCAGCTTTGCCAACATGCCCCATCCACCATTTTAATAAATGGCTGTCACATAATTTAGAGAACAAAATCAATTCTGGAGGGATACTTCTGGCTTTAAATATCTCCCCCGTTTTCCCTCTTCTCTTTCTCTTGAGATAAGGCAGGGCAGTTTCTAAGAATAACTCCAAGTTGTGGGACAGGTCAGTTGTTAAATACTGTATAAACTGAGATGATGGGTCTAATTTGAAGCCTATTGACAGTGAGGCTTTGAAGGATGGGTTCCAGGCGGGGCATGTGTGTGCATGGAATGCAAATCAATAATGTATAAGGAGAAGGGCACATTATGCAAATTCCAGGTATTGGCATGGCGTCTGCCACAGTGAGAGGCCAGGATTCCTCAGAGGGAGGGGCCCAGCTGGAACAAATCCTTAGCCCCTCGGCTCTTGCAGGTTCAAACCTGTGGCTGTCATAATGACAAGGAGGAGGCAGAGGGTGGGACTCGGGAACAAAAGTGGCCTCCCCCACCAACCCCAGTGACTCAGGTTTCCTGGAGCTGTTGGACATCTCTTCTTTGGTAGCTGTGAGGCTTTTACAGGCAGGAAGAAGGGCCTGAGGGCTGCAGACAACCAGCCTCTCTGGCCAGCGAGATGAAGGGTCTGGGACCTTCCGCTGGACATGTGGAGGTGTGGCAGGGCGGCTGAGCCCGCCCAGTGAATGGGCCTGTCTGTCTTCCCCGCAGCCTGCAAGCAGGCTGGAGCGTATTGCTCAACCAACCTCATTACTCTTGAGCATTTAGCGGCTCGGAGGAAGATAATAGCTTTCGGGTTTGACCCAATTTTAGTTTTTGTTGTCATAACCATGGAAAATCGACCTTTGAGCCCCTCATCAGCAGGCCTGAATAGGAAGTGATTTACGCCACGTGCGCTGTGCGGAATCCCTAATGGTCTTGCAGGAAAGAGCTCCGCACCCTTCACGGAAGCCCTAATCTCCCCTCGGCAGTGATTTCCACAGCAAATTCTCATACTTCCCACGTCTGAGAGCCCACTCCCTGGAGATGCTGAAAATTGGGTTACCTTGAATTAAAAGTACTTAAGTAGACAGGCACACAAGCAAACGTGTCCCTAGCACGGGTGTCTGCATCTCCAAGCCTGGCCCACCTGCCCTCAACGTCATTCTTCCTGGGCTTCACTGTCACTTCCTGTTTCCAGGGAACAGGCAGGGGCTGCAGGCAGGGAAGTTGAGGCTTCACAGGATCTCTTGCAGAAGTCTTTCCTTTTCTGGTTTGTAAGGGAGACAGAACTAGACGTTTCATAATCAATGTCTTTTGATACGGGAAAAGGAGAAGGGGGATGGGGAAATTGAAGGGGGAAGGTATACCAGTTAGCTATTACTGCACGACAAACTATGAAAACCCATTGCTTAAAACAACAATCAATGACTGGGCATGGTGGCTCATGCCTCTAATCCCAGCACTTTGGGAGGCCAAGGCGGGAGGATCACCTGAGGTCAGGAGTTCGAGACCAGCCTGGCCAACATGGAGAAACCCTGTCTCTACTAAAAATGCAAAATTAGCCAGGCGTGGTGGTGCATGCCTGTAATCCCAGCTACTCAGGAGGCTGAGGCAGGAGAATTACTTGAACCCCGGAGGCGGAGGTTGCAGTGAGCCGAGATTGCACCCTTGCACTCCAGCCTGGGCAACAAGAGTGAAACTCCATCTCAAAAAAAAAAAAAAAAAAAAAAAAGTCATTTCTCTTTATGGTTCACAAGTCTGTGTCGTTGGGAGTTGGCTGACCCTGGCTGGTCTCCCTTATGGGTCTGTGGGTTGATTCAGTTGCCCTGCTCCTGGCTTGGTCTAGCTGGGGCAGCTGTGCTCTATGGATCTTTCATCCCCGTCCTGGGACCAGGGAGCCAACCATGGCAATGACAGAACAAGTGGAAACATACAAGGCTTCTTCTCGCCTAGGCTTGGAAATGGCTCACCATCTCTTCCACCTCATTCTGAACAAGTCCCACGGCAGGCCCAGATTCATAGAGGGTAGGGAAGGAGGCTCCACCTCTTTTGCAGGAAAAACTGCAAAATCGCATGGCAAAGGGCATGAAGTAGGAAAGAATAGAGAGCCCCATTAATGCATACTCTTTTGTTGGTGTGGAGGGTGGCCAATTCTGATGATGATGCGGATAATGGCCACCACTGTATATCAAATGCTAACTATGTACCTGCCACCAGAGCAAGCATTCTGGATACACGGTCTCATCTGTTTCTTATGGTAACCCAATGAGAAAGTTATTATTGCCCCATTTTATAGGTGATTAAACTGAAGTTGAGAAAGGTTAAGTAACTTGCCCGAAGATAGTGACAAGGGAGCCAGGATTTTGATCCAGGATTATCTGATACCCAAGCCCAGACTTGTAGGTACCTCACATTTCAGGCTTTGTAGTACTGACCTCCAAACCCTGCCCCTGTTGTGGGCCTTCTCACCCCCTCTCATTGGGGTTTCTTTGTGGATGAATGAATGGATGGTGGATGGGTGAGTGGGTAGATGGATGGATGGATGAATATATAGATGGATGGAAGGTTGGATGCATGGATGGATGAGTGAATGAATGAATAGTGGATGGATGGATGGATGGATGAATATATAGATGGATGGAAGGTTGGATGCGTGGATGGATGAGTGCATGAATGAATAGTGGATGAATAAATGGATGGTAGATGGGTGGGTGGTTGGATGGGCAGGTGAATGGATATGTGAATGGATGGATGAATGGATATATGAGTAGGTATATGTATGATTGGATGAATAGATGAGTGAATGGGTAGATGGATGGGTGGGTGGGTGGATGAGTGAATGGATGGGTGGGTGGATGGATGGATGGATAAGTGGATAGATGAGTGAGTAGATGGATGAGTGAGTACATGGATGGGTAGGAATGTGGATGGATGGATGGGTAGATGAGGGTATGAGTGGATGGATGGGTATATGAGTGGACATATGAGTAAGTGGATGGGTAGGTGGAAGGATGAGTGCATGAGTGGATGCATGGGTGGGTGAGTGGATGGATGAGTGGATGGATGGGTAGCCATATGGATGGATGGATGGATGGATGGATGGATGGATGGATGAGCGAATGGGTAGATGTGGTGGGTGGAAGGATGGGTGCATGAGTGGATGGATGGGTAAGTGGATGGAAGGGTGGGTGAGTGGATGGATGAGTGTATGGATGGGTAGGCAGATGGATGGCTGGATGGCTGAATGGGTAGATGGGGTGGGTGGAAGGATGGCTGCATGAGTAGGTGGATGGGTAAGTGGATGGATGGGTGAGTGAGTGGATGGATGAGTGGATGGATGGGTAGGCTTATGGATGGATGGATGGATAGATGCATGGATGGATGGGCGAATGGGTAGATGGGGTGGGGGGAAGGATAGGTGCATGAGTAGACGGATGGGTAAGTGGATGGATGGGTGAGTGAGTGGATGGATGAGTGGATGGATGGGTAGGCTTATGGATGGATGGATGGATGAGTGAATGGGTAGATGGATGGGTGGGTGGAAGGATGGCTGTGTGAGTAGATGGATGGGTGAGTGGTTGGGTAGGTATGTAGATGGGTGGATGGATGAGTGGGCAGGTGGCGCTTTGTTGAGCCATACTGGTTTTGGGAGGTCTTCCCCCTTCATGAAGCTCCACAAGAGCCAGAATTCTTCTGTTGGATTGTAAGAATGCTGCCCAAAGGAGCGCAAAAGGAAAACGAGTTCCTATGAAGGCAGATGTCATGGCGGGATCCCTGAGGGAGAGCATACTGAAGGCCAAAACTGGCCCTGAGTCAACCTGGGCTTACATAGCAAGGCCTTCTCTCTGCCAGGCCTCAGTCTGTGTTCTCAGCCAAAAGGCAGGGCAAGCGGTGGTCAGAAGAGCCTCTTGCCAAAGAGGTAAATCTCCATTCTGCTCCTCTCCTGTCTGCTTTTGTCTGCTCCTCAGCACCCACAGCTGTTCCCACCATAACCTTCTGGAGCCTCCTGCACATCTGCCTAACATCTGCTCTTCTAGGGGTCTGGTCCAAGGCCAGGGCCTTGTTGCTGTCAGAGGGAGTGGGGAAGCTCCTGGAGTCCTGCAGTAGCCTCTCTTAACCTGGGGAGGTCTTGGGCAGACTCTAAGCTTTGGCTTAGTCCCTGCTGGGGTGGCCATTGGCTCCAGAGGGGAGGGGAGCAGCTTTGGCCGTGCCCATCTGTGTTGCTGTAAGGTGCACACCTTCAGAGATGGCCCCTCAGTACCACCAGCCTTGTGTATGTAATGTCCATCCCTACCTGGCACCTTACCCAGGCAGCCAGCTGGGGGGCTGGGAAGAGGACATTGTTCTAGAGCTTCGTGTTTACTCCTGCCCTCTCCTCACTGCCAGAGAACTGATGAGGAAAGAGCCAGGCTTTGTGTGGACACCGGTGGCTTCTGGCCTTCCTGCCACTGCTGGTAGAAACTCACCGAGGCAGGTCTCCTAGTACTACGTATGAGACACTTTCCTTATCATTACATTGATGATTGCTTTTTTTCCCAAACGTATTGCTTGGGCTCCATTGGCTGACTTTGGCTGAATAAAAGACTCTGCGGTCCATTGGAAGCCTTAGGGGTCTGAGGCAGTGGCTTTTGCTCAAATCTGTTTTCGGTCCAGGAGTTAACTTTTTTAAATTAAAAAACTGAGGGTAATTTACATACTATGAAATGCGTAGGTCTTAGTATGGTCCAGTGAGTTTTGACAAATATCTGTACCATTATAGCCATGACCTAAATTGAGATATTTCCCAGCTTTCCCAGCTCCCAGGAAAGTTCCTTGAGTCATGGGGCCAGGGGGAGGAGTGGCAGTGCACCTGGGTGGGGGCTGCCATGCAGGGGGTGGACCCAGGACTTCCGCTTCCACCTTAGGAGGGCTCTCATGATGGCCTCAGCCAGTGCAGGCTCATGACAGCCCCGCTTCTTTGAGGTGATGGGCTGGCTGGGAGGGATAGCATGGGGACAGCCTGACAGAACAGGGGTCCCGAGGCAGGCAAGGACCGTGAAAGGTCATCGGCTCCACACAGGTAACACCCAAATCACTCAGGAAGATTTCCATGCCCTGCTACGTGGCAGACATTGTCCTCAAGAGCTCCCAGCTCCGTGGGAGGCAGGCAGGCTTTCGGCATTCACGTGACAATCTCGTGAACACCTAAGATAACGCATGGGAGGCTCAGAGGTGGGCATCACTGTGTCCTAGGCTGTCAAGGAAAGGGTGGGGTAAGGGCCGTCTCTAGGAGAGCTCTAATGACACATCCTGCCAGGAAATTCTGTATGCTGTTGTGGCCTCAAACCCCTCTGCTGCTGTCTGTCCCTGTTTGCCTCCTGTCCTCAAGGTGGCCAGGGACCGCTGGGAAGCCAAGCCCCGCCAGGGCCTGGGCAGCTTTCTCCTGGTGGCTAGAATTCCCCCACAGCAAGACTATCTGGGGAATTCTCTTGAAATGTTTGTGCAAAGCAAATGTTGTTGCAGTTGCTGGCTAGTGTATTTTTTAAAGCGTGTTATGGTTTTGAGTTATTTCCCTGATGCCCAGGCTGGAAGTGTGTGCTAGGCCTAGAGAGAGGAAGAGCCCCAGGACAGGAGCATTAAAAAACAAAACCTTCCAGGAGATGCAGCCAGACCGTGGGCAGAGATGGAGGTCTCAGGGCCAGGTGGGGGGCCTTTAGGAGCGCTGGTCATTCCTGTTGCTGTAACAGGACGCCAAGGAATGAGTCCCATCCAGGCCCACCGGCTTTTAGGATCCAGAAGTGAAAATGCCCCACTCTGAACTCCCGGAAGCCCTCAGGTCACCAGTAGCCCTGGCCTCCAGCCCGAGAGGGGGACTCTCAGTCCCCAACTCTGACTCTCTCCATTTTGCTCCACTTTCCAAAAGTTCAGCATTCTATTAAGGTCGCAGTCCCCTCCATTTGTGGCATACAGCCAGTCTCGGAGAACATGTCGGCCGTTCAACATCCTAATCTTATTAACCAGGGGCCATGCTTCTGCATGTTTCTGCACGTTCCCATCTGCCACGCTGCCACTGCTCAGGCTGTGCCGAGGCTGGAGGCCTGCAGGGTCCCGGCCTGCAGGGTCCCTGCCCACAGGGGCCTCTGCCTTAACCTCCACCCCGTCCACCGCCTACACCCCCAACCACCTTCTGCCACCCTACACCTGCACCCAGACTGTGGATGTCTGCACCCCTCCCCTGCCCCGTGCCCTACCCTGTCATACCCTCTCCCCCACCTCCCTCCATCTGCACCCCTGTGCCCCCAACCACCTTTATGTACCTGTGCCTGTCCCATGCATTCCATTCCCACCTTCCTGCACCCCCATCCCTGCCCCAGTACCCTTTCCCCCACCTCCCCACCCTCTGTACCCCTCCCCCACCTTCCCACATCCCCATCCCTGCCCCCAGTACCCCTGCCCCCACCTCCCCACCCTCTGCACCCCTCCCCCACCTCCCCACCCTCTGCACCCCTCCCCCACCTTCTTGCCTTTTTGCACCCCTGTCCCAGTCCCCTCTCCCTCTCCCCACACCTCCACCCCCTGTTCCCCCTTCCTACCTCCTTGTGCCCTTGTACCCCACCCCATCGTGGCTTCTACACTAGTGCCCCTCCCTTGTCCCCCGGAAGCCCCCTGCACCCCCCAACTCCCCGCCCTTCTCTGCTTCCCCCATGGTGTTCACGACCCGTGCCAGCCGTCCCTCCCTTCCCCCCTTCAGGAGGCTTCTCCAAGGCCTCACTTCCAAGCTGGAGAAAAGCAACTAGAAAGTTCCTCTCTTCACCTCCCACCCGACGTAAGCCAGGTAACTCACCTGTGGAGATCCTCGAGGGGACCGGGAAACAGGATGGGCTGTGAGGAGGGGGCTTCGACCCTTAACGGGGCACAACACCTGGGGAAGCACGCATGGGGATGAACCTGAACTGTGGCAAACGTGCCACCCTCCATATCCCAGATGGCCACTGCGTGGACAGACAGCCACCCCCAAAGATGGGGCAGACTTGGGTGGTTCCAAGTCCTCCTCGGGGCCCAGCTCCCTGTTCAGATGAAAATCATCGACCTCCAGCTCTGCATGGCTCCTGCGTGGGTCCTCTTGTGCCTCTGTTGGGTGTGGCTATCTCAGGCTGTGGCCCTGGACCGGATGCTGGTGTTGGTGACTGTGCCGCTGGCCACAGATACTCCTCTGTAGGCAGGGTTGGGTTCAGTCCTTGACGGGCCTCACTTCCAGCCTGGGTCCTGCTGCTGAAGCCCTCAGCTGTTCAGGCCCTCTGGCCTCCTTGCCTGGGCATGGGAGGGTTTATGTCTCTGAGCTGCTTCTCTGCTCCACGCCTCCCGCTCCTTCAAGCCTCCACTGTTACCTCCTTCAGAAAGCTGCTCATTCCCCAGCCCACTCCAACCCTCCCTGTGTCCACAGTGCTCTGTGTGTCTTCTCTGCAGTGTATTGTAATTACCAGTTGAAATCATGGCAATGTGGACCTATGCTCTGGCCCAGGCCCAAGTGCTTTGTTGGTGAGGAACAAGAGGGGGTGCCAGCCTGTGCGGTGGGAGCAGTCCTGCTTACAGGCAAGCTGTGGAAGTTTAAGACGTTATGCTACTTGCCCAGGGCCTCACAGCTCGGGGAGGAAGGGTGGAGGGGGACAGTCAGCCTTCAGGCCTCACCCCTTACACTGCATCTTCTCCTGCCCTGCCTGGCTGCCAGCTTCCCCACCAAGACTCTGAACTGCTGAGGGGACAGGTTCCCACCACCTAGCCCAGTTGTACAGCCTCAGCCTGTTGATGTTTGTTGAATGCTTGAAGGAAATACGGTGGCCACTTGGAATTCCTAAAGAAGCCCTCATTTTAATTACTATTTATTTATTTATGAGATATGAGATGGGGTCTTGCTATGTTGCCCAGGCTAGCCTCAAACTCCTCAGCTCAAGTGATCCTCCTGCCTCAGCCTCCTAAGTAGCTGGGATTACAGGCATGCACCACCGTATCCAGCTTCCCCACTTTTAGAATGATGGAAGAGCTGGTCTGGGTCAACTTCAGAGTCTCCTGTCCTTCTCCACCTCCTCCCCCAGCCCAGCTATGTTTTCCTCCAGAGCCAAGGAGCCCTACTGCCGCGGCGGGTGTGTGACTTGGGGAGGGAAGTGGTTTTTCCACCAGTTGAACTGGGCCTCCAGGTGAAACTCAGGGTTTTTATCTTTCTTTCTTTCCATCCATTTATCCAACAAATATAGAGAAACTAGGATATATCATGCACTTGGTTTATGGTAGTGAATGAAACAGATATTTCCCAGCCTTCATAGGTCATGGCTGAGACAGAAACAAATGAAAATATAATTACAACTTGCAACAAATGCCAGGCAGCTATGACAGAGTGACCGGGAAACTGGGGTTGGGGACTCCTTTAGCATGGGTGGTCAGGGAAGGCCTCTCATTGAAGACCGAAGACCCTGGGAGTGGGATCTGAGAGATGTGATGGGGCCAGCAGCCAGGCAGGGAGGTGGCAGGTAAGAAGGTCTGGACTGAGACAGGGTAGGGGGAGAACTTGGTCCCTGGGAAGCCGGGGTCCTGCTGTGCCTTTGTAGCATCTGACGCTCTCCTTCTGGAAATGCTCTTGATACGGTTTGGATGTGTGTCCCCCTCCAACTCTCGTGTTGAAATCATTTGCCAGTGTTAGAGGTGGGGCCTGGTGGGAGGTGATTGGATCATGGGGGCGGATCCCTCATGGATGGCTTAGTACCACCCCCTTGGTGATGAGTGAGTTGTCCCTCAATTAGTTCATGTGAGATCTGGTTGTTTAAAAGAGTGTGGTGCCTCCCTCATCTCCCCTCTTGCCGTGTGATACGCCTCCTCCCTCTTCAGCTTCCACCATGAGTGGAAGCTTCCTGAGACCTCACCAGGAGCAGATGCCAACACGGTGCTTCCTGTACAGCCTGCAGAACCAGGAGCCAATTAAACCTCTTCTCTTGATAAATGACCCAGCCTCAGGCATCTCTGTATAGCAATGCAAGAACAGCCTAATAGACCTCTCATCCTTGGGATTTTGTTGTGTTTCTCAGCCTTGTCTTCCTCCTTTTGAGGGCTCTTCCTCCTCCCTCCTCACGGGCCTTTCTCTCCCACCACTGCCTCCTGGCGTGTCCCAGTGTGACCTTCCTCACCTCTGTAATCTGCTCTCATCCTGTCTTCTCACTTCGCGTTCTTCTCCATGCCTGTGGCTCCAGCCACCATTCATATTTTTTTGTAATCCCTATGTTATCTATTGCTGTGTAATAGATTATCCCCAAATTTAATGGCTTTAGACAACAATCATTTATTAGCTCATGGTTTCTGAGGTTCAGGAATCTGGGAGGGGCTCAGCTGAGTGCCTGGCTCAGCGTCCCTTCGAGGTTGCGTTGATATGTTGGCCGGGGCCGCAGGCATGGGAAGGCTCAACTGGGGCTGGAGGATCTGCTTGTAAGCTGGTCTCTCTCGTGGCTGCTGGCTGTGGCCCCAGTTCCTCTCCAGGTGGCCTCTCTGTAGGGCTGCCTGAGTGTCCTCATGACAGGGCGGCTGACTTCCTCCAGAGTGAGAGAAAGATGGAGCTCTTTTAAGACCTAATCTTAGAATTGATGAACCTTCACTTCTGCTGAATTCTATTGGTCACACAGACCAGTGCTGGTATGACAGGGGAGGTGACACCAGGGGGTGTCTGGGCACCAGGAGGTGAAGACACAGGGGCTGTCTTAGAGCCTGGACTGCCACAGTCCCCAGTGCAGGCAGGATTCTCTCCAGCTTGGATGCTAGCACCACCACTGACCAACCCTCCTCCCCGACATTCCAGGGGCTCTTCAAACTCAGCATGTCCAGTGTGAGCTCAGCCCCATCGGCCTTGAAACATCATACTGTGCCATTTCTTTTTTGTTTTGTTTTTGAGACAGAGTCTTGCTCTGTCATCCAGGCTGGAGTGCAATGGCATGATCTTGGCTCACCGCAATTTCCACCTCCCAGGTTCATGCAATTCTCCTGCCTCTCGAGTAGCTGGGATTTCAGGTATGCACCACCATACTTGACTAATTTTTGTAGTTTTTTAGTAGAGACAGGGTTTCACCATGTTGGCCAGGCTGGTCTTGAACTCCTGACCTCAAGTGATCTGCCCACCTTGGCCTCCCAAAGTGCTGGGATTACAGGTATGAACCACCATGCCCGGCCTTGTGCCATTTTTAACATAGGAAAAGGTGTAAGGAATAGCAGAGTAGACTGTGGGTAATAATGCGATAAATGACACCATCACCAAGCTGAAGGCCCCTGCACTGCAATTTCCTGATGTCCTGGTCTCCCAAGCCCAACTTCTTCCTCCTCACCTTATCACAAACTGGCCCCCTATTTATGTAGTTGGACAAACCCGAAACCCGGGAGGTGGCTTGCGTCTTCCTCATCTCCCATGTGGGTGGGACTGGTCACCGAGTCCTGGTGTTCACAGTCACTAACTCCATCCGCCCTTCCGTAGGCCATTGGATCACCTGGGCCACCTCCCTACTGAGATTCCTGCCTTGGTTTTTCCCCTCTACCCAGCCCACATCGGCACCAGAGCGTGCTTCCGAATACCCAAATCTTCATCATGTCCTACTTAAAATTCCTCAAATGGCTTTTTAAAGTCCTTGGCATGGTGTTCAAGGTACTTCCTGATCTGGTTTCTAACTTATATGTCTGGTCTCATCTCCTGCTACCCCTAGTCCTAAACTTCCTCTATTATTTGCATTCCCTAGATGACATTTCCCCTACCCCTTCTGTCCAAGGCTCTGCACCTGCCCTCCTCTCTCCTCCCCTCCCCTCTCCTCCCCTCCCCTCCCCTCCCCTCCCCTCCCCTCCCCTCCCTTCCCCTCCCCTCCCCTCCCCTCTCCTCCCCTCCCCTCCCCTCGCCTCCCCTCGCCTCCCCTCCCCTCCCCTCCCCTCTCCTTTCCTCCCCTCCCCTCTCCTCTCCGATTCACTCCAGGGTTGGTCACCTGCCCTAGGAAGCCAGAACACCTCCCATGAATGCAGTACCTCTGCTTAGGTTCCTAGACACCCGTCACCCATGTCTCTCTATTGGCTCTTCACTCTTTCATGCACTCACTCAAGCATGTTTGCTTAGCACCTGGGGTGTGCCAGGCACCATTCTCGATGGCTTAGCTGTGGTGCTGAGAAAAATAAGGCCCCAACCTTCTAGAGCTTGCCATCTTGTAGGAGCCCATACCCTGCCTCTGGGGTTGTGGTTTACCTGTTCTCTCTCTCTCTCTCTCTCTCTCTACACTGCAGGCCCCTCAACAGGTGCCTGTGGTGTTCCCAGCTGTGCCCCAGTATCCATGCAGGAGGGACTCATGGATGTTTAGCACAGCAGTGATGCTCTCTGGAAGGGCCAGAAACTGGAAACTAAATGAGTTGCTTGAAACCCAAGTGGCCCAGCAAGCCAGCCATAGCCAGGCTGAGGATTTGTTGTTGTTGCTGTATTTTGGGGAACATTTCTGATTTTGAGCCCACGGTACTCCCTACCACTAGGATCAGCCTCATGGCCAGGGTTCTGGGCCCCCAGCCCCACTGAACCCGGGTCAGGCAGTCTCCAGCCTCTCCTCCAGAAACCATTCTCCCGACCTTGGGGAAAATTGCTTCCCAAATTACAGCCCTCCACTTTGCAAGCTTTAAACACAGCACTGAGGACACATAAATTACAAAAGGCCTTTCCCTTTCCCGTTGGATACGTTGAATAATGTAACATTTCAACAATACCAAAAGGTACACTGTATTATTAAAACACACTGGTATTAAAAAAGAAGAAGTATAGCTACAGTAAAATTGTCACCGACTCCCACCAGATGCCAGAAGAATAAAACCCAAATTATTTTTGCCAGAGACAGGATTCAGAAGGCATGAGGGGAGCCAGGAATTAAGCTGGTTTCACAAGAGTGGTTTAAAAACAGGGGGAGGAGGTTCATTTATTCTGAATATTGTATATTCCCTATAATCTTTACTACTAAAATGAGGTGCTCTGTGTTGTTTTTCTCTTGGTTAAAGAAAGAGCAAATTTTGCTTTCTTAGTTTGAGTCCTATTTTAAACTCTGATTTTGGTTAGGAGCTTATGTTTTGCGGGGTACAGAGGCTGAGGAGGAATTGGGGTGATGGAAAATGGAAGAGAGCAAAGCCAGCAGCCCTGAAAGGTATGAGAGGGATTAACCAGAAAAGATGGCAGAAGTAGAACCACTGGCACCCAGGGAGAAGCTAGTGTAAGAAAAACAGAAGGAAAGAGAACAGTGCCTTGAGGAACTGCACCCCGGGCAAGCTCCAGAGGGCTGCATACCCTGAGGAAATGCTGCAGTTGGGAGGGTGCACAGCTCTAGTACCTTTGGAGAATTCCATGGTTTTAAAAAAATGAATGTTGGACCAGGTGCAGTGCCTCACACCTGTAATCCCAGCACTCTGGGAGGCCAAGGTGGGTGGATCGCTTGAGCTCAGGAGTCCGAGACCAGGTTGGGCACCATGGTGAAAGCCCATCTCTACAAAAAATGCAAAAATTAGCCAGGCATGGTGGCGCACACCTGTAGTCCCAGCTACTTGGGGGACTGAGGCAGGAGGATTGCTTGAGCCTGGGCGGTGGAGGCTGCAGTGAGCTGTGTTCAAGTTACTGCACTCCAGCCTGGGTGACAGAGTGAGACCCTGTCTCAAAAAATAAAATAAATGAAGAATGTTAAATCCTTGCCATTACTCTGATTCTTTTTTTTTTTTTTTTTTTTTTAACTTTCTGGCAGGACTAGAAGGCTAAAATGTTCCGCTCTCTGCAATAAAATGAACCAGCAAAGGCGTAGTTTGGGGAGAAAAGTAAAATCTAAAATGTGCGAGTGGAGTCCTCTGAGATTTTGCAAATGCCATTTTCTGAGTCCCTCCAGGAAGCCAAATAAGAATGCAAGCATATTTCTGGTGATATTGCTATCTTTGTTAAAAAACAAAACAAAACAAAACAAAAGATAAGCAAAATGCTATAAAAACCCAAACTTGATTTCTGGTGATTTTAGGGTCCTTCCTTTGGAGCCCCTGGTCTCAGAGTCCCCTATGCTATGTCCCTAAATGGCTCTTTCACAAGCCCATGTGTGACCATCACAAAGAGGCCTGTGGCTCTGGTGGCCTTCAGAGGTCATTTGACTCCTCGGAGTATTAGGAGAAAGCGCAGCTGTGATTTAGTGCAAAGCCCTTTCTGTCTTCTTTCTGTGTGCCTCATACAGGGGGCAGGGAAGGTGACATCCAAGACACTTTGGGCAGGGATGGGGTTGCTAGTGTACCTTGTTGAATGTCCGGAACCTGGGTCTGCATCTGCCACATAGTAGACACTTCCTGTGAGTTGATGCGGAAAGGATCAGGGATGTTCAGATGTCCCAGGTCACACAGTGATGGGCTGGGAGGAGAACCCAGGCCTGCGGGTCCTGCTCCAAGCTTTTCCCTTGCCATGGCCTGGAATGTTCCAAGGCATGCCAATCAGGCTGTTGCAGAGAATGGAGTGTAGCATGCTCTGAGAAGACGAACAGCCTCAGAATTCAAGTCCTGCACTGGCAAGGCTGCATCTGCCCAGAGGGGGACCATTGTCTCATTCCCCCATGTGCTGCTGTCAGTAGGCCCCGGGGAGGGGGTAGTGAAATGGGGGGCTCCGCCTCAACTCACCGGCCACTTCTGCCTCTCTGTGATGCCTCATCTTAAATCCTATAAATGAAGCCATGTCCTCAGATGAGCCTTAATTTATAAGGGACTGGTGATGTCCCCAGCCTGTCCTTGCATGCTGAAGTCCAAGTGTGGCCTTCTATTTGGAGATGTGCGGAAAAAAATCCAGGATGTATGCTTGGCTGTTTGTCCTCTCTCTGCACAGGAGGCTGTGAGTGTGAGGGTCTTGGGGTGCCTGTGTTTTAGGTGGGCTGAGTTCATTTGCTTTGCCATGTAGAATGGGAAGTTCATTCCACCTCACCCCCACCTCTAGGAGCCTGAAGACCATCCCGTCGTCAGATGCAAATCAGTGACAACTTCTTGATCCCATTTGTTGGTGTTCAGGTCACCCAGGAATTTTTTTTTTTTTTTTTCTGAGATGGGGTCTTGCTCTGTCACCCAGGCTGGAGTGCAGTGGAGCGATCTCGGCTCACTGCAAGCTCCGCCTCCTGGGTTCACACCATTCTCCTGCCTCAGCCTCTCCAAGCAGCTGGGACTACAGGCGCCTGCCACCACACCTGGCTAATTTTTTGTATTTTTAGTAAAGACAGGGTTTCACAGTGCTAGCCAGGATGGTCTCAAACTCCTGACCTCGTGATCCACCCACCTCAGCGTCCCAAAGTGCTGGAATTTTCATCAGAAACATTACCCAGCTCCATGCCACTCACCCAGATTGACTTCCTTCTTTGCAGCATTCATTTCACCAAAACTGCTGAGCGCCTACTGTGTGCCAGCATTGGCCAGGCGCTGGGGCACGATAGTGAGCAAACACTGACGGGGGGCTGAGGACGAGGATGATGATGGTGATTCGGCCAGGCTCTCCTCTCCCCCATCTCAGCACATTCTTTCCTAGCTGTGCGTGTCCCTTGCTTCTGGCCTCCCCGCCACCCGGCCTCTGCAGCATCTTTGTCAACACAAGTCCACGCTTCTGACCAAAGGCAACTCGTGAGTCCAAGGTCGTCGGGGCCAGCCAGGGCAGGTCATCTGACTTCTGCCTTCTCTGCCCTTGCCCAGGGCCTGCCATCCTAGCCTCCTCTCTGCCTGGCCAGTGCATCTCACCTGGGCTATCTGCCTGTGGCTTCTGCTCCAGCTACCTTGTGTGCCTCACCCACACCTCTGCCATGGCCCTCCTCAATCTTCCCCTGTCCAGGCTGGGTGAACATGCCTCATCCCCAGAGGCTTCCTTCCCTCCTCTTCCCTCCCTCGGTCTCTCTCACTCCTTCTGCTACCTCCCTCTCCCTTTGTGTATCTGCTTATTTTTTGATAGAGGACACTTTATAGCAGTCCAGATGTTTGTTTTTCTATCTTCTCTTTCCAATGACAAGAATCTGAGAGGAGACCTTTTGGGGCCAGAGCACCAGGGGCTGCCCCAGTCTCGTGCTGCCTCGGGAGCAGTGCTGGCTGGTTCTGCAGCAGGTTGAAGCAGCCAGGCTGAGAGCTGCGAAGAGGAAACTGGCCAGCTGCAGATGCGGGCACAGGAGTCTTTAAAATCCTTCTCTGAGACTGAGGCCCCCCTCCAAGCCCCAGGGCACAGCCCTCACCCTTTGTAGGACACTCCTCATGCTTCCCAGCTCTTCTGGGGGCCCTGCCACCCATAGCCAGCCTTCTGGGGATGCTTAAGCCTCTCCCTGGACTCCTTTATTATTTGGGGGCCCTGTCATTAAAGCAAGAGGATTAGATCCTGAGGAAGCAGGTGGAGGGTAGGGTCCAGGATGGCCCGTCTGTGCTCGTGTGCATATGTGAGCATATGTGCACGCATATGTGTGTGTAGGGGACAGGATGGGATCTCAGAATTCCCCAACTGACCTCCCAGAAGAAGGGGAGTTGAGGAGGCTGCAGGGGCTTTTCCCCTTGAAGGTCAACAGTGGGGTGTCCCTGTGTGCTCTGCTGTGCTCTGAGCACTGCACTCAGCGCATGGTGAGGGGCAATAAATACAGGTCGGAGAATGAGGAGGACACAGCTCACTCCCGAGACAGACTGGACCCTTTTGTCCCCAGGAAGTGGGGGAATGGTAGGCTGTGGCCTCGACCAGGCCCCGCCCACCCTGGTCCCTGCCACTGCGCCCTGAGAAGCCACCTGCAGCCCAGCCCAGCCCCCAACTACGCTCCCAACCCTGCCGGGCTGCGGGGCCTAGAGAGCCGTCAAGGGTACTTGGTCACTGGGCCTTTTGCCTCCCACCGTGGTTCCACTCCTTCTGCCAGCCACAAGCCTGGGGCGAGCCCTGAGGTCCCCTAAACCCCGCAGCACCAAGGGGTGGGGCGTGGGGTACAGGAGCGCACGCGGAGGGGGCCATAGGCCCGTGTTCTGCGCTATGGATGATGGATGGTGTTTCCCACTGCGGAGTGGGGAAAAACATGCCATTACAATCGGGGACAAGCTGTTAAGTTATCTCCCACTCAGCTCGGGTCAAAACAAAACCAGGCTGGGCCTATCGGTGGGGCTAGGATGCAGCGCCTTCGCCTAGCCGGCGGCAGAGGAGGGGTGCGGGGCGCCAAGGAGGCTCGAGCGCAGGCAGGGGTGGCTGCCCTGAGGCTGATCCCTGCCCTCCGGACTCGGCGGCCTGTGGATCGCTCGTGTCTCCATCTTCTAAGCCGGCGGCTGCAGACAGGGCTGGGTAGGACCAGTTAAAATGAAAATGAAATAATCTCCTGTGAGCTTGGCTTGCAAGGTGTGGTGGAGAAGTGTGGGGCTGCTGGGGGCACCGCCTTCAGCTCAGCCTCTGGGGGGATGTGGAATCTAGGCTGGATGGGGGAGGAGCAAGAGCAGCACCTAGAGAAGGCGGCCTGGGTTTCAGGCATGACACTTAAAGATTTCTGTGCTGGGGAGGGGAGCAGTGGGGTTGGAGCTTCTCTTGGGTTCTTTCATCACATCTCCCGACCCTGTCTTTGCTCCCTCTAATTCCTCCCCCTCTCCTTCAAGGGTTTATGTTCCCTGGCCCTGGACTGGCTGCCAGGCTGGGCAGCATGGGTGTCCATGTGGCCCCAGGGGATGACTTGGGATCCCCAGGGATGGACTCTGTTTCCATTCCTTCCTGTGGGCGCCTCCCCTGCCAGGACTGCTCTGGGAAGGAGGGCTCCATCCGCCTCAAAGGCAAGAGAACTGACAAGTCAGGAAGGGTGAGAGCCCCGGCAGACAGCCCGCCTCTCCCCAGGCTCTCCTCTCGCCCAGGCCCTGGGCAGCCTCTGCTTTGGGGCTGGTGGGAGAGAGCAGCGGGGCAGGAGTCTCCCTGGACCACCTGCCTCCATCCTGGCTCTGGGAGCCCTGTCTGGGGAGGAGGTGATATTGAGAGTTAAAGCAAATGCTTGGGAATCGCCTCCAGGACCAGAAGTGTATCCTATTATCTCCCTGAAAGCCCCAAGGGGACCAGGGGAGACTTGAGGGCTTACAGAAACTTCTGCTTCTCCGGTCATTGGAACAGCTGGAAGCTGGGGCTGTGGGGGTGTGGACAGCAGGCTCAGAGGAGGCTAGGTGCAGATCTTCAGTTCCCCATGGACTTCCCTGCCCAGGGCCTGGTGCAGTGTGAGTTCTAGCCCTTGCCTTTTGTGCTCCTGCTGAGAATCAAGCACTTAGGTCGCAGAGAAGCCTGCCGCCTGCTTTCTCTCCCCACCAGGCCAGCCCCTTCCTGGAGCCCCTTCCTACCCAACCTGGGCTGCCTTCCACCTCCACCTGAGTCCTCTACCTCTGCACAGGCCCCCTGCACCCAGGCCCCTGCACCCAGGCCCCCTGCACCCAGGCCCCCTGCACCCAGGCCCCTGCACCCAGGCCCCCTGCACCCAGGCCCCCTGCACCCAGGCCCCTGCACCCAGGCCCCCTGCACCCAGGCCCTCTCCCAGCCACCTCCCTGGCTGCATTTCATCCATGGAACTGTTCCTATTACTTACACTTTTGCCATTGAAGAGTGGCTCCCACACCCAGCAGTGGGCACTGGGCTCTGTACCAATGGTCCCTGAAAGGGCAGATGTTCCCCAGGCATTGCTCCGGGGTTGCTGGGCTCTCTGTGATGCTGGTTCTGCTCTTCGGTTCTTCGGTATGGGGGTGGTACTCTGTCCAGTGACTGGATTTTAGGAAAAGAAACAAACTGGTAGATTTATTATTGTTGTGTGTTGCTGTTTAAAACTCCGTTGTGAAATTTCTGGGTGGTGCCAGTGGTGGGGGGGATTCAGGGAGACACAGCTCAGCCACTCCCTGGCCACCCTGATCTCATGACTCTGTCCCAGAGACAGTCTCTCAGGCTAATCAGAGTGGATCTCCTAAACCGTTTTTGTGTCCTGTCTGGCTGATGGCACACATACACTGTTTGGGTTGGAGTAAATTAAGCAAACAAGACTTCCCAGGCTTGGGTCTACCCCCTGCCAGCCCTCACCAACTAAACAAACAGAATCCTTCAGTCCCCTCCATATCCCGGGAATTCCTGCTCTCCGGTGTGATCGTGGGATATGATTCTAAATAAACCCAGAAGTATTAATGGGGGAGTAACTTTTGTGGGTTCATTCATTCATTCATTTACTTATCCACTCAGAAGAATACGGAGTGAGCCCCAGCTATGTGCCAGGCACATCCTGGGCACTGGGGATTCAGCACTAAATCCAGCCGTTGTGGATGCCTGCCCTCAGGGAGCCTGCATTCCAGTGGAGGCAAAGTGGGATGGCGGGATCCAGCACATCCGCATGAAGCCAGATGTGCTAAGTCCCTGGGGGGAAATTCGTGGGGAAAAGGAGAAGGAAATGCCATAGGGATGCTGGTTATTTTGATGGGGTGTTCTGCTCCTGGATGGCCTTGGAAAGGTGCCATATGTGCACAGCTCCGAGGCAGGTAGGCAGGCAGGCAGGGAGGGAGGGAGGGAGGGAGGCCTGCAATTGTGCAGGGAAGAGCATTCCATGCAGTAGACCTGCAAAGGTGTGGTGCAGGGGTGGGGTCGGGGAGGCATGCGCCTGTGTGGAGGGATGGCCAGGAAGCCAGTGGGGCTGCAGGGGAGAGAGGGAGTATACTAGGAGAGGGAGCCAGACTGCCGAGAGCCCCAAAGGCAAAGGGGGTTGACCGTGAAGCTGTCTATGAGCGCACGGCCCCCATGTGAGACCTCGTATGTTATTTTCTTAGGAAGTCCCCAAATCACAGAAGCCAGATTCACCTGGCTTGCAGGCCACTGAAGCAACTTTAAGTGTTTCTTCCAAATGACACAGGACACCAGTGGAAGGCTGTGTCACCAGATCAGGACAGTGACATCATCTGATGAATATTTTTAAAAGAGAGGGACAAAGTAGCTGGGAGAGTGCGGACAGTGGTGGGTCCTGGAATCTAGGCTGGGTGGGGGAGGAAGCAAGAGCGGGCGGTAGTGGGAAAGGCGATGGGGAGGGGCCAGCGTGGTGGGGTGGAAGAGTCCCTGGGATTGGGGGACCATTGCAAGCGGGCTGGGAGAGGGGCGGACCCTGGGATGGACTGCACGGTGGCTGTTTGGCAATAGGGTCCTAATGATGTGTTTTCTGCAAGTTTCCTTTTACTCCCCTGGGGCATAAAAAGCAAAGTGCCCTTTGGAGGGTGCTGATCCCTCAATCCCTCGATCCCTGGTGGCAAACAGTTGGCTTTGAAGCTGCCCCCTCCCTGGTTTATTAATACCAAATGTTTGTTTTAGATCAAAAGGAAGATGTTTTCTTCAAAGGCAATTTTTTTACTTGCTTTTTTCCCCCTGCAGGTTGAAATTCTGCCTCTGAGAAGCTAACAGTCTTCCTGTGGTCGCCACTCCTCCCCAGCAGCCCCCTCCTTGCCAAGGACGGTCCAGAAGGAGCCCCACTGGGGCCTCCCCGCTCAGCAAAGCAGACCTCACCTCCCACTACCAGGTAAGGCGGCCCCACCTGTCCGCCATGCCCATCCCCAGAGTTTGCATTTGTGGAGGAAATACGTTTTAATGCGGTGATTTGATTTTCCAGCAAGGGTTGTGGGGTAGGGGCGTTCTGTGCTGCTCTCTATAGCTTTCAAGTCATGGTGTCTTTGTGGAGTAGGAGGGGGAACATCGACGGACGCCCAAGAAGGTATGGGGTAGAATTTTTAAGGAGTGACCGCTCTTTGTACCTCGAAGCCCATCAGCCTGGCTGCGGGGCAGTTAGTCCTGGAAGGAGGGTGGGCGGGGTGTGGGGTCCACTGTCTGGTGTCAACAAAGATGCCATAGAGTCCAAAGTCAGGGCCTGACCCTCCCCTGCACGGTTCGTGTTCTGCTGCCCAGATTGCTCCGCGGCTCAGGGAGGGCCCTGAAGCCTTCCTGTGGCTCTAGAGGGGACGGCATGATGCCTCTGTTCCCACCCCGAGAGGGTGACTGCCGTTCAGCTCTGACACTAACCGCCGGAGTCAGCGTCAGACTCCACAGGGTTTGGGCCAAGTGCTCTGTAAGATGGCTCTCACTTCGAATGCAAGCTGCCAGGGTCACCTGCACTTGTGACCAGTGGCAAATTCAGAGGTTCCCAGGACCCCTCAGTTTTGATAATTTGCTACAGTTCACAGAACGACAGCAACAAAAAAGCACTACACTAAAAATGACAGTTGTATGACAGTCGTATGATACACACAGGTTGAGTTCGGAGCATCCACACCCATTCCCCATGGTGTTAGGATGCACCACCCTGCTGGTTCACCCACAAGTTCACCAACCGCAAGCTCCCCGAGCCACGTGACTGAGCTGTCTCTAGCCCTCTCTGCTCCCCTGAGGTGGGGAGTGAAATTTCCAACCCTCTAATCACGTGCACGGCCAGCCTCACACTTGAAGCTTCCTACGGGTCCCTGTGAGTTGCCAGGTCAGCACACGGTCAGGTGTGGTCAGGAGTGGCTTTTTATGAATAACAGAAGACACTCCTATCCCTTGGAAACCCCAGCAGTTTTAGAGATCACCTCCCAGGAACCAGGGACAGACACCAGGTGAATTCTTTCTTAAACCCCCATGAGGTTCAGTGCAGCCCCATTCCCTGCTGATAGACAATGCAAAGCTGTGGGTCAGCGACCCCCAGGCAGGGAGGACTGGAGCCCTGAAGCCTGCAGGCAGGCTTTGCATGATGACCCACTGTAGGCTGAGCAGATGATGCCGACGAGAACCCTGGACAAAGAGACCAGAGGCCCGGACACAGGCTGGTCTCTCCAATACCCATCAAAAGATGCTCTTTCCAGAGTTTGCAGAATTGGAAGTCTCTATGCACAGTCTGGGTGCTTCTCCAGGCGTGCACTGCTTGCTTCTCTCTGGTGAAGGCCATGGGTGCTCTTCTCTGCTCCAGGGCTCCTTGGGGTCTTCTTGCCGTAGCTCATCCATCCAGACTGCCCTACATTGTTCATTCCACAACCTTGAGCCCCCGATGTGCTGAGCCCTGTTTGGGGTGCTGGAGACGCAGTGGAGACAAGGTCAAGTTCTGGCCCTCATGGTGTTTATATTTTAGCAGGGACATGGCGAATAAATGTATGTCAGGCGCCATAACGCTGTGAAGATAAATGCAGTGCATTAAGACCACGGGGAATGGTGGGGGCTGCAGTTGCCCAGGACAGAAGGGCAGGCCCCGGTGCTGATGTTGTGAGCCAAGACAGAAGGAAGGGAGGGAGGACCCCAGGATGTCTGAGGGGAGAGTGTTCCAGACAGAGGGAATGGCCAGTGCCAAGGCGCCGAGGCAGCAACGTGTGGGCATGCTGGAGAAGTAGCAGGAGGGGCTGGCATCACGGGGTCCGGGGGCTGTGCAGGTGGAGGAAGGAGATGACGAAGAGGGTCCAGGGCTGGATGCAGAGGCCTTTAGGTTGGGACTGAGGACTTTGGATTTTGTCTTAAGGGTGGTGGGAGCCACTGCAGGGCTCTGAGTGAGGGATTGAATGGCCTGAGACATACAAAGGTGTCTCTGCCTTCTGTGAGGGGGACAGAGTGGAAGCAAGGGACAGCTGACGAGCGAGCCCACTGTCGCACTCTATCCCTGGGAGCACTGGCTCTGCCATGGACCCGGGAGGAGAGGAGTGGTGGATCTGGGCCCATGTCTGAGATAAACCCTTAAACAACTCCCCTCCTCTGCTGAAACGGCTGTCACCCCATTCCGTAAACCATCAGGGGCCCCCTCGGGGAGCCCAGATAGGAAGGCCACACACCCCAGCCTGTATGGGACAGAGAAGCAGCAATGTGACTGTTTAGAGGGCAGGAATCCCACTGCTCTTTCTGGCTCTTTCTGTCCTGGGGCTCCCTGCAGTGTCGCTGTGAAGGCAGCACTGGTGTGCCATCCACTACGGCTCCTGGTCAGGTCGCTCTGTGCCAAGATCACTGTGCTTGCAGGCTGTCTGAGAAAATGAGTATAGGGCACGAGGTTTGGGGCTGGCCTCAGTGCAGGACGAGAGACCCCCTGAGATCATGCTCTGTCTCTGGAACCTCAGACGCCTAGTTCCAAGAAGATGCGTGCAGCTCTGTCCCTAGGGGAGGGCCCTGACGTACAGACATCCTGCAGGCCGTGACGGTAGCACCATCTCCCATGCTCCTCTGAAAATGCCACTTCCTGCTGCCTCCAAGAAGGAGGTTGCGGGGCCCAGCCTCACCTTTCTGTGGGTCTGAGAACCTGTGTCCCCCAAATAGGTAAATCCTCGGGGTCATCAACAGTGAAAGTACAAGACCAGCCCACCCCCGAGGGAGCGTCTGGGAAGTCCAGGGTTGGTGGGGTCACCCCACAAGCTCTTTTGGACCTGAGCTGCTTCCCTCGGTGTGTTCACTGTCCAGCCCCTTGTTGATTCCAAAGGTGTGCTCTGAATTGTGAAGTGAGGAATCTGCCTTTCAGAGTCTTCCTTTTCTAAAAGGGTGAGGTCAAGGGGAGAGAAGGAAGCCCCTCTGAGAGGAAGCCCCTCAGAGCAAGGAGCAATGCAGTCTGAGGCCTGCGTGTGGCTTTGAATCTCTGCCTGTCTTTTATTCACCTTCAGGATGGTGGATGGCGGGTGTCTGAAGGAAGAGGGCCATGTACACACATCTGAGGTCAGGTGTGCCTGTAGACACCCTCCTGCCCCGCGAGCTCCTGGGTTCTCCCTGCAGCCTGGACATGGGCTTCAGAGAAGGGGCCGCCAAAACCACCCCTTGGGCTACCAGAGCTCTGGCATGTGGATGCCGTCCATGGCCCAAAGGAATGTGACTAGAGGAAGGGGCTTCCTAAGAGGGACTTGGAGAACAGTGATGGAGAAACCCGGGCAGGGAAAAGCCTGCAGGAGCTTTTGCCCCAGTGAGGCGGGCTGGCCTTTCTGATTCAGGAATGGCCTTGGCAAGGAGCCCTTCGACCGAGACTCCCCATCACTGCAGGCGAGTCCTTGCTTCAAAGGAGAGTGTGGGGAGGAAGCAGTTTCCTCCTAGGACATTGCCTCAGCCCTGGTTCATTGCCTCTGCCTCGGAAAGGGTCCTGTCAATTAGATCCCGTTTTAAAGCTCATCCCTTTAACTATGGATTCAATTTGGGTTTTACTGTATAGTAAATTCTAAGTCCTTATTAAAAACATGGATGCTGCAAAACGAGATTTGTCTGTTACATGCAGTGGCTGAGGCCTGGAGCAGATGGGTCTTTCAGGTCCACAGGGAAGAGATGGGCCTGAGCAAAAACTCCAGAGGAGGGTCATCTGCTCCTCCAACCCTGACCCTTCCCTTCCTTTCCCCTCCCCTTCACCACTCTCATGGGATAACCTGAATTTTCCTAAACCACATTGCTGTTCGTTGTTGGGGTCACACAGAGGAGCCAAGGAATGTGGCCGGTTGTCTCTTCTCTAGATGTTTTTGGGGATGGGGGAGCATCTTTGTTCTGGAGCTGAGAGATAAACAAAGTCTTCTGCCCTGATGCAGACAGCATGAGATGGGAGCGGGTGCTGCCGCGCATGCCATGGGGCTGAGTGTGAGCCTGCCGTGATGAGATGGGAGCGGGAGCTGCCGCACACGCCATGGGGCTGAGTGTGAGCCTGCCGTGGTAGTGCAGCTTACACTATCCAAACTCATCCATCCACCCCGGCCCCCACCCTCAGGGACGCACCCATGAGCGGCAACACATGACTTCCCATAAATCATCTCCAAATGAGCGTGCTTCCTGCACTCATCCATCACGCCCGTCTCTTGTCTGCTTGTTTTTAAAAGCTGTTAAACTGGAATCCATCACACGGGGAGCATGGCACCCTTGAGGGCTGAGCCGAGACACAGGCTGCCCGCATGAGCCGTGGGAACGTGCGTGGGGCTTCCTGGAGCACATGAGCGTTGCTTGGCAGCGGGGAGAGGGGGATCATGGCTTCATTTAGTTATACCAGAAGCGGATGGGACGTTGCTCCCAGGCTTGCAGTGAATGCATTCCTTTTGCAGGAGCTCGTCCTAGGTGCTCCTGGGTGGAACAGGCGGTGCCCAGCTGAAGGACGTTGCTGGGGTCTCTCCTTCCTACAGGGGCATCTTATTTCCTTCTTGGATCCAATATTTTAATGAGAAGACTTTAGTTTGAGCCAGTCTTTGGAGACTTGGGTCCTAAAAACTTCTGTGATTCCTTTTCTATTAAGAAATGTATTTGGAAAATATTTAGGAAGGATGCCAGGCTCAGCCACTTCAGTCCCTCATTCTGATCCTGCCTAATTCTGCCACCCTGCCCCTTTGCTTGTTCACCACCAGAGCAAGCTCTGAGGATGTCCCTGTGAGAAAGAGGACATGAGACAAGGACCTGGGGCCCCACTCCATTGCTTCTGTTTCACCCTTTTTTCCTACTCCTCCTCCTCTTTTTTTTTTTCCGGTGACGGAGTTTCGCTCTGTCGCCCAGGCTGGAGTGCGATGGGGCGATCTCAGCTCACTGCAAACTCCGCCTCCCGGGTTCACGCCATTCTCCTGCCTCAGCCTCCCAAGTAGCTGGGACTACAGGCGCCCGCCACCACGTCTGGCTAATGTTTTGTATTTTTAGTAGAGACGGGGTTTCACCGTGTTAGCCAGGATGATCTCGATCTCCTGACCTCGTGATCCACCTGCCTTGGCCTCCCAAAGTGCTGGGATTACAGGTGTGAGCCACCGCGCCCTCTTTTTTTTTTTTTTTTTTTAATTTATCTTTATTTATTTTTTTTTGAAACGGAGCCTTGCTCTTTCACCCAGGCTGGAGTGCAGTGGCGCGATCTCAGCTCACTGCAACCTCTACCTCCTGGGTTTAAGAGATTCTCCTGCCTCAGCTTCCCGAGTAACTGGGATTACAGGCGCCCACCACCACGCCTGGCTAATTTTTGTATTTTTAGTAGAGACGGGGTTTCACCCTGTTGGCCAGGCTGGTCTCGAACTCCTGACCTCAAGTGATCCACCCACCTAGGCCTCCCAAAGTGCTGGGGTTACAGGGTGAGCACCTTCCTCCTCCTCCTTTTCTTCTTCTTCCTCTTCCGTCTCCTTTTCCTCTTTCTCCTCTTTCTTCTTTTTTCTCTCCCCCTACTTCTTTCCTTTCTCATTCCCCCTCCTCTTCCTCCTTCTCTGTCTCTGTCTGTCTCTCTCTGTCCCCGCCACCCCACTGAGGAATTGTGTGCACTTCAGGCTTTTCTGCACTTTCTTTTCCAGACCCCCTAATTCTGCCACCCTGCCTCTGCCTATCCTCTCTATCATCTGGTTCCTTCTCTGCAGTTCTGGTGACTTGGCAGTCACCACTTACCCCTCACAGGGGTCGGAGAGGAGATGAGAAGACATCAGAGATGCCTTATCCCCTCTTTCCTTTCCCCTTCAAGGGGAAACATGTGGCTGGAATCCTTCACACGCCCTGAACTGACTGGCGTGGGGTTTGCCTCCAAGAACTCTTTGTCTCTAGACAGATGTCACAGACCTCAGTGGCATTTGTGATATTTTGTCCCATCTGCTTTTGGCTTTGCCTCTATCCTTTTCTTTGCCCTATACTTGTTGGCTGAAGGATAAAACTGCTTTTTGGCACTGGTGTGACATTTTTTAAAAAAATAGAAAAACGGGCCAATATTTTTCCTTGGTGACTTTAGAGCTCTGTGAGTGAGCAGCGGAGGAGACTGGGCGGGTCGCAGAGGGCGCTGTGGGCGAGTTCCCCAGGACACCGCTCCCAATTAGAGCCCATTAGTCACTCCGTGTGTTAAAGCATTAAGAACAATTAAGGGTGAGAAGAGCTTCCAGATGTAGTTCCAGCGCTGGAGCGGGAAGGGAGGGCCCTGCCGCTGCTCCCCAGATGGAAATAATCCAAGGAGAGGAGCCAGCAGGGCCTGGTCCTCAGGGTGTCAGTGGCCCCCAGAGCACAGGGTGTCAGGTGCAGCCCCCAGGACAGTCAGCCTGGCCAGTGGGGCTGGAAATTCAGATCATCTGGGTCGGTGTCCCGTGACTGCCATCACAGAATGCCACAGACTGGGTGGCTTCTCACGATAGCTCTTCGTTCTCACCAATTCCTGGAGGCCAGGATCCAAAATCAGGAGGGCAGCGGGGTTGCTTCTCAGGGAGAAACTGTCCCACACACGGAGGCCTTTCTCCTGGCTCTGGGGGCCACTGGCCATCCTCTGTGGGCCTTGGCTTATAGATGCACTGTCAGTCCAGTCTCTGCCTCCATCATCATGAGGCAACCCCACCCCCATGCCTGTGTATCCTGTCGCGCACGACCTTCCTGTGTGTGTGTGCATTTGTGTGTGTACATGTGTGCACGCATGCATGTGTGTGCACCTGTGTGTTCTCATTCCCCTCCTCTTCTAAGGACACCAGTCATTGGATCGGGGCCCACCTCTTACCTTCATCACATCTGCAAAGACCTTATTTCCAACTAAGGCCACATTCCCAGGTCCTGGGGGTTAGGGCTGGAACATGTTTTGGGGGGACATGATTCCACCCACTGTATCCTCCAAGGCTGCCAGGGAGGAAGATGAACCCAGGCACTATGACTCTACAGCCCACGACTCATCCTGAGGTGTCCCCTGACCCTCGGCCCTGATCTCACCCAGACACTGAGATGCTCTGGAAAAGAACCATCCCTTGGCTGATTTTAAGACAATGATAAGAAGGTATGCAGGCTGAGCGGTAAAACCAAGGCCAGAATGACTGGAGCTGTAAGAGTGGACATTGGAAGAACCCCAGGACCCCAGGTCAGAAGGCCGTCCACAGACCTAGTGGAGAGGGAGGCACCTGGAACGATGAGCTGAGATCATTCTCTGTCCCCCACCCACTTCCCACCTCCCACTGCTGAGATCGGACTTGAGAACAAACTAAGAATTAAAAGCCAGACCCCAAATCTAAACCTAAAAATAAACAGTTCGTGCTGCAAGTTTTGGGCGCACACTTTTGTCACAGGAGAGAGAAACTGGAGTCTTGCTCTGCCTGTGGGAGAGGGAGGCGTTGTAGAGCTGGGCCAGGAGAGGGGAGCCTGTGAGGTCTCTCCAGGGGGCTCTTGAGGTGTGGAAGGAATGAATTGGAAGGAAAGGTAGGAGTCAGGCCCAAGAAACAGAGGGAAAAAGAGACCTCTGGGGAGAGAGGGATGTGGACACATTTTTGGGTGGGCACGGGTGCTGAAGTTAGTGATGCGTGGGGCTCTGGTGGTGAGGCAGGCCAGTGGGCGGGCAGCAGGGACTGAGTCAGGTGGTGATGGTGGAGGTAAGAGTCCAGGGCTGGGGGAGACCCATGAGGACTTTAGGAAAAGGAACTAATGGCACCAGGGAATGAGGGGGAATGGAAGCAGAAAATAGATCCTGGGTACACGCTGCACTGAAGTTCACGGATACAAAAGTCAAATGTGAGTGAGGTGACCTTCTGCACAGACTTTGCTCCCTGTGTTCCCTCTGCATGCACAGCCCATCCTCCTCTGAGATGCTGAGTCCCCCAGCGATAAGGGCTGTGTCTTCAGTGAGAGCCAATAAATGATTGTCACCATCCGTTGAGGGAAAGGAGGGTTAGTCCTCGTGTTCCAGGATGGTATATCGACACCTGTGCAAGCATGATCCAAACAGACCCTGTCACACAGAAGTAACTGCAGAACTTGTGACTGCATCGTCACAGAGATATTCTGGATGGAGAAACATGAGAAGGTTCCACATGAATCTGTATAAATCCATATGTTTTAGATTCAAAATGATCAAGGGCCACCAGGGACGTGAGTCAACGGCATCCAAGAGCCTAAGTGGTTCTTGCTGGCCTCATTCTTAGATGGGACCTGGGGCTGAGGCCCCTCGATGTGATTCCGGAATTTCTTCATTTTTTTTTTTTTCTGCATTGACACGTGCATTCCTCAGAGGGGGTTGCCGGTGAATTCCATGGCAAAGGTGAATGGACGAGTGAGGATTTGTATAGATTTGGAGAAAATTATTCTTTTACCCGATTTGCAAGGATATACAAAGTGTTTGCAGGATTGGTGCTTTCAAAGACATCTGTGTTCTGTGGGGGAAAGAACAGAAAAGGAGCGTCAGCAAATGCCTGAGGAAGGAAAATTAATTTAGAAGTAGAGGTCAAGGCAAGCCTAACTTTAGTTCTGCGTGTGTGTGTGTGTGAGTGTGTGTGTGTGCTTTTAGGAGGAGGAGAAAAATGGAGGCGGAACAGAATAATTTTTCTTTTTTCCTTTGGGGTGGGAGGGGAGATGGAGCTTGGACAGATGGTGTTTCTGAGTGACCTTGCATTGCTGAGCATTGCTGAGTAATGGCTGGAATTACAGGGAGCTTGCAGGGTGTGGCCACCTGCCGTCACCAGCGGGGGTTCATCAGGATGTCAACATTATGGGAGGGCCTGAAAGCAAGCAAAGATAAACCCAAGTTCAACAAAGATCAAATAATACACTCGTAACACAACTTCTTGTGGGAGGCATCTGTGTGCCTGGAGTGTCCAGAACAGTATGCAAGGCCTGGAAATCCATCAGGCTGACGTCCCTGAATGACACATGTGAGCAGGTTATCTTACCCGAGGTTCTCGTCCCAAAATATATATGAATCATCGTGAATCCTCACAACAGTTCCAACTCGGGCTCTGTGAGGAAGCTGAGCTGCAGATAAATGACCAACCCAGGGCCATACAGAATTCAAACCCACAGCAGCTCCCTAGCAACAGGCTGAGGACACGTCTCACATGACCCATATCTCAGCTACTCAAAGTGAGGTCTGTGGATGGGTGCCAGCCCGTGAGGTGCTGCTCCTGATCCCTGCAACTGAGTACAGAAGCTGAAATTAAGCATTTAGAATCTTTTAGTCATTTGAAGGAGTCGTTTTAGGTCTGATGAGTCTAATCGTTAAGAACCTGGGCTTTGTGTTTTGTATGCCTTCTTTATTCCATTTTTCTAGTGATTCTATTTTTATAGGTTTTCTAAAAACCAAAAGTAAGGGCTTGTCACTTCAACTACTCAGGAGGCTGAGGTGGGAGGATTGGTTGAGCCCTGGTGTTTGAGATCAGCTGGGCAGCATAGTGAGACCCTGTCTCAAAAAACAAAACAAAGAAACAAAAATGTAGGTCCAGAATGAATTGGAAATAAACCAATGAATCCTTCACCACAGATGGTTTGAGAAGTGCCGGTATAGAGGCCACACAGGTCAGATCACAGAACTTGTCACGTTTGAATAAGCTCTGCCACTGACCAACAGACCCAGGGCAGTGTCCTCGCTTGAGAATGGAGGGTGGTCATGAGATGTGGGAGGTGTGTGGTCGGCTTGGGCTGCCATGGTGAAGCCCCTCAGCCTGGGGGCTCACACAACAGAGGTTAATTTTCTCAAAATTCAAGAGGCCAGAAGTCTAAGATCAAGCTGTTGGCAGCATTGGTTTCCTTGAAGGCTTCTCTTTGGCTTGTAGATGGTCATCTTCTCCTTATGTCCTCACATGGCCGCCCCTTGATCTGTGCATGTCTGTGTCCTAATCTTCTTCTCTTAGAAGGACACTGGTCAGAGTGGATGAGGCCCACCCATATGGCCTGGTAAGGGTCCTATCTCCAAATACGGTCACATCTAACGTACTAGGGGTTAGGACTTCAATGTATGAATTTTGAGAGGGCATGATTCAGTCCATAATAGAAGGGTGCACGGGAATTTTCTGTACTATTTTTGCAACTTCCTGTGATTCTTAAATTATTTCAAAATAATTTAAGGACTACCACTCCCAACCCTCTGCCACCAGCTAGTACGACCACTGTGGTCTATCTCAGATGGGCCCCGTCAGGCACACTCATCATTCCAGGTTTGGGGGAGCTGCTCTCTGGGATGGAGGCCAAGTGGGCATGACCCAGAGCCCACCCCCACCCCACCTTCCTGCCCTCTGGTCCTGCACACCTGCAGAGGGCAGCTGGGCGGTCGTCGTCATCTGTGCATGGAGCTGCCTCTTTGGTCATGTCTCTTGTCACCTGTCCCCTTTTCTTTCTGGAGTTCCTTAAGGGCACAGGCTGCAACTTGTTTCTCCCACAGTGCTGCACATAGTAGGTTTCCATAAAGGGTTTTCCTGAGGCGTATTTGATATAATGTGCTTGGTGGAGATTTAGTCGCCTCTCTTGAAGTGTTCTCCCTCGACCCTGGAGAACGGTGGGATCCCGGGTCACACACGGGGCGCTAGGTGTGATGCAGGAGTGATGCATAGGGCTGGGATAGCTAACCTGCCTGCGTCCACCCAGGCTCTGCACACGCCCTGGCCATGGGGACACAGGCAGTGCTACTCACCTGACAACGTTCAGAGTCCTTTCTTGTTATAAAAAGCACTTTGGGTGATGACTGTCTTTTAAACACTGCAGTCCACGGAGAGGTGACAGGTGTGTGTGCGCCTTCCTTGTTTATGTCGTGCTCTTTGTAGCTGAGAAAGCTCACGCCTGTACCCACAGTACTGGGTAACTGGCGGCTGCCTCAGCCACCAAAACAAATGTCCCTCAGGCCAGGGGTGACCAGAGGTGGCGTTTGAATATTGTCTCTTGTCTGTGAGCCAGAATGTCATTGGATGGGTCATTATTCTAAACCATTCTGTTGCTCCAAAAGTTCCCAAGGCAAGGTCATCATGATTTTTGAATTATTTAGTATTTTGCCCGGCCCTGCACGCTCTTTGCAAAATGCTTTGCCCTCATTTCCCTGCGAATACCCCAAGCGTCGCACCCTGGCCAGTGCTGGTCACGTACCCCGCTTTCCATGAGCTGAGAGCCACGATGGCTGCTTCCCATGAGAGACCCTTCGTGTGTCCTGGCCTCTTCCAGCAGGAGGGGTGCTGGGGACCCAGGACTCACCTCCATTCTGCATTATGGATGTCAAGCATTGTCACTGAGGCCAGCAGAAAGCTTATTTTGACTGTCTATGAAGCAGTTAATTCTGTTTTTTCTCCTTCAGTGAATAGAAAGGAAGGGCTGGTTCTGCTGTTATTTTTTTCGTGGTGGTGCATCACAGAGCTAGAACATGCGTGCAGTGGGCTGTGCTCAGGCAAAGGGAGATTAAGTGGCCTGTCTTGGATGACAGAGAGGCACACAGCATTTCCCTGGAGGTATACATTTTCCCCGGAAGACTCCAGAAGAGAGGAAATATTAAACCTGTACCCCTGAGGGACTGGGCGTGTGTTGCCAGAAGGGGTCCAGAGAAAGGATGACATTTCTTTGAAGTCTTATTTGTTCTCTTAAAACTTCAAGCACATCTTACATTGAATCCACAATATGCTTGTGCTGGCTATAACCTGACAGTAATAGTTCCCCCAGACACTTTGGCTAGAACGGATACTTTGAGAGGAGGCACATGCGTGGGCTGTGTGGCCAGCCACCCTCATCTCACCTCTGCACACCCTTGGGGGCTGAGGGGGGTTCCCTAGCTTGAGAAGCACGTGGTAGGATGTTGGGGAAGGGATTCTAACCTTAGATGCATGTGTGTGCTGAGGGGTGGTTTGGAGTAGAAGAATTTTAATGCCACCTTCCTGTGAAATTTTATGAGACTCTGCTTATAATGTGGCGACATTTCACATGGGGAGCCAGTAGCCTCGGGGGGAGCTGTTGAGTGAAGACAGCCCTCCGTCCAGCCCTAGCCCACCCGCCAGCCTGTCTTATTTGCTGTTGACAGTCTTTACTCTTTCCCCTCTGTCCAGCAGAGTGGACACACGGCATTTTGGCCACCGGGGCCAGGATGATGTCCCAGGTACACACATGTGGGCCACTGGGGCTGCGGTGGTGTCTCCAGTAGTGATCTCCTGAGTTCAGGTGATATTGAAGCACACAACTATTCATTCTCCAACATTCGCAGGGCCCTTTTGGGTCTGGATCGGGGCCAGGGGCTGTGTGTGTGGAGCTGAACGTAAGGATGACACAAAGATGACCCATGACAGCCTCTCCTCCAAGGCACCTGTGGTCTGCAGGAGGCCCCACACGTGCCTACGACCCTCACCCTGGCTCTTGGTCACTCCTTGGAGCACACTGCCAGGGATGTGTTTTAGGGTGAGGAGCTATGGGCTGGAGACGATGAGATGGTCTTCCATCTCCATGCGTGCTCTCTCTCATGCACGTTCTCCATCATGCACGTTCTCCCTTGTGCACGTTCTCCCCTGTGCACCCTCTCCTCCGTGCACGTGCTCCCCCATGCGAGCTCTCCCTCATGAGCGCTCTCCTTCATGCGTGTTCTTCTGACTGCACGTGAGCAAGCTGCCCTCCCCATTACATTTAACTAGAGGTCCTTCCCTCTCTTAGCTCAGATCACCCCATCCTGGTGGAATGAGGGAGGCCAAACCTGTTTTTTGGGGTCCCACATCCAGTTGTGTGCAGCTGTGGGTGGAGGGAGGGAGTCTGGTCTGGCAGGCTCATTGTGGCACCTAAAGGGTGGTGGGGTGGGGCATGTGCCATAGGGAGATGTGAGGTGCGAGCAGGTGGTCAGCTGCTTACCTGCAGGACAGGGGACAGGGACGGCACAGGGAATGTAGGCACAGGGCAGTTGTCCAGGCTGGAGCGTTAGGCAGGACCAGGCGCCCTGACGTGGAGTGGGGTCCTCTCCACACACATCCCTGTTTCAGGTCAGGTCTGGTCCCTGGTGCCTGGATTCCCAGGACTGCATGGGCGGCCAAGGGGCCCCAGTGCTGCTGCAGGGAGATGGGCACAGACCTGGACTTGAGCCCGCCCAGCATACATGTCAGACACCTCGTGACCAGTGAGAATTCATCTGGCTTGAGTCCTTGGCTCCTCTGCTGCCAACTCGATGTCAAGACCTGGACCGACCTTTCTGAATGACCCATAAAGGAGAAGGTGTAGGGGAAAATATAGGGGTTTTTTCCCTACATTTTCTCCTCTATAGAGGAGCTATATCCATATCTATCTGTATCCATCTATCTATCTATCTGTCAGTCTGTCAGTCGATCAGTCAATCAATCAGTCTATCTATCTATCCATCCATCCATCCTCCTGTCTGCCTGCCTGCCTATCTGCTATCCATCCATCCATCCATCCATCCATCCATCCATCCATCCATCCATCCATCCTCCCGTCTCTATCTGCCTGCCTATCTGCCATCTATCTTCCTATCTATCTATCCATCCTCCTGTCTATCTGCCTGCCTATCTGCTGTCTATCTATCCATCCATCCATCCATCCATCCTCCTGCCTGTCTTCCTGTCTATCTGCCATCTATCTTCCTATCTATCTATCTATCCATCCATCCATCCTCCTGTCTATCTGCCTGCCTATCTGCTATCTATCTATGCATCCATTCGTCTATCCTCCTATCTGTCTGCCTGTCTCCTATCTATCTATCCATCCATCCATTCATCCATCCATCCTTCTGTCTATCTGCCTGCCTATCTGCTATCTATCTATCCATCCATCCATCCATTCATTCATTCATCCATCCTCCTGTCTGTCTGCCTGCCTGCCTGCCTATCTGCTACCGATCTATCTACCTATGTCTGTGTATGCATCTATCTATCATCCATGTGTGTACCCGTCTATCCATTCATTTGTTGATCTATTGTCTGTCTGTTCAATCATCCATCTATGTATCTGTCTACCTACCTGTCCATCCATCCATCATCTGTCTATGCATCCATCCATCATCTGTCACCTGTCTACCTGCCTGTCTATCTGTATGTCTCTATATCCATCTGCCTATCCATCTACTCATCTATCTATTATCCATCTATGCAGGTATCCATTTATTCATGCGTCATCCCCTGTCTATCTGCCTATCTGTGTGGAACTCATTAATTTCTATCATTATTGTGAAGTTGATTTTGGAAACTTCATCCTCCTTTGGTCTTAGCGTGTGGGGTTCAGGGTGGGAAGGGCAAATGGTCAAAGTCATGTTTCCTGGCTCCACAGTCCCTCATGGTTAACCAGTCTCTCAGCTCCTAGGGCTCAGCGAACCAAACAATGCGGACAGTAAAGCTGCAAAGTGGGAAGTGAGAGGCAGGGAGGAGGCATGACGTCTGCCTCGGGTGTTGGAGAAGAACCGTCTCCTGGGTTCTCATACCTGTGGCACCTTGCAGGGAGACAGGCCATGCTCAGGAGCCACAGAGAAATCAGAGGGTCAGAGGGCGTGGTGGGAGGGGGCAAGCAGAGGAGGAGGCCAACTTCCCGGAGGCCTTGCTCAAGGTCCCTTCCTGGGAGGACTCAAAGGCCCATAGCAGAGAGAAACACTGTGATTCTGAACAAAGACCATAGTGATCCCAGGGAGGAGAGGTGCCCACTCCTGGATCCTGGCAGGAGGCAGGTGGGGCACACGTTCCAGGGACGCTGGCACTCATGGATGGAAGCCGGAGGCCCTAAGCCCCACGGAACAGGTGCTGCCCCCCACCATCTGCAGTTAGGCAGCTCAGGAGCAGAGCTGCTGGTGGCGGTAAGCCTCTCTGTCAGGCAGGCAGAGCAGGGGGTGGCCCAGGAGTGCTGGCCACAGGTGCACAGCTGGGACATGCCCCCGGGACATCAGGTGGCCTCATGTCCTCAACATCCACATGAGTTTACCTGGTACCAAGAGAGGGATCATCTTAAAAGAAGGCAAAATGTAAAAGAAATTTGGAAGCAAGGTTCTTTGAGTTTTTCCACCTTCTCTCCCTCCTCCCCGCTCTGCCCTCATCTCCACCCACTTCTTTATTTATCACTCATCCCCTGAAATCTCTGAGGAAGGCACGCTACTCTGGGGACCTAAGCCACACATCAGCCTCTCTCAAGCATCAGAGGAGAGGTTTCCATGGGAAGCAGCACGGTGTGGCTGGTGAGAGACCCTAGGACCCCCCGTCTGCAGCAGCCCGTGCCACCAGGTGTGAGGAGGGCCTCCCGGACCCAGACCTGGCAGGTGATGCCACCGCAGTCCTGAGCCATCTCGATGAGGCCATAACACATGCCCGTGGCAGTGCCAGCTCTGCACCTTATCTAGACGTGTGCAGTGCATGCATATGGCATGTGTCATGCATGTGCACAGAGGAAGCCTGTACCTGGTTCACAGACAGGGATGTCCCCATTAAGAGACCCTGTTATGATGTCATGGAGATGGCTCATGCCTGTTATGGGGTCACCTGCCAGGTCTGGGTCCAGGAGGCCCTCTTCACACCTGGTCGTGTGGGCTGCCCTAGGTGGGGAGACCTGTGGCCTCTCATCGGCTGCACTCTGTGGCTCCCCATGGAAACCTCTCCTCCAATCCCCTGAGTTTACCACTCAAACCAGTCACTGGGCCCCATAGCAACCAAGGCTGGCAACGGCGCCTGCCGCCCGGGAGAAAAATTAGCAAAATCGCTTTCTCTTGGGGAGGGTGTGTGTGTGTGGGACTTTCATTATATAATAGGCCAATGTTTCCAGCTCACTTTCTAAAAATGCAGAGGGTCCTCCAATGGGCATGCATGGCCTGAGGTCACTGTGGCATGTTATTGGTCCCTGTGGTCTCCAGAAGGGCTGCAGGTGACCCTCCCAAGGTCCCAGGGAGTAGCCTGGGTCTGTGCTCCTTGGGGAGGGCAGGGGCTCTGCAGAAAGCCAGGCAAGGAAGGAGGGAGGTTCTGCCCTCGACTCCCCAAGGGGCAAACACTCGCAGGTGCTGCCCTTCTCCATCCTGGGTCACCCACCTATCTGGGGCAGCTTTGCTTCCCTTCCACTGCCTGTGCTCGCCCCCCGCCCCCCAGGACTCTTCCTGATCACCAAGGCCTGTGGCTTTGTGATGCTCAACCAGAGAACAATCCGGGAGAGGGTGCGGGGCCTCACAAGCCTAGGGCTTCCAGGCTAGAGGAGGGAGGAGGCCGCTGGGGCCCAGTCCCACCTGACATGCTGGAGAGATCTTGTCCCCAGCCCCACGGGGTAGAAAACACAGCCCAGCAGAGGCCGGGTCTGGGACCTTGGCTTGGAGCTGCCAGGTGTCTCCACACATGCACTTTGGGCAGAGGGAGCCTCATGGGCCAGCCCTTGGATGTGGATATGGAGACGACCTCTGGGCTGGGAGATCCAGCTGGGTTGTTCCTGGGGGCCGTGGGGATGCCCAGAAGCTTTGCTCAGGGAGAGGGGAATGGGTGCAGACATCGAGGACAGATGGAGCCGGAGGAGTGGCTTTGTGGAGGCGTAGAGAGAAACATCCAGGCTAGGGAGGGATTCTGTCCAGGCGGCCTGCACTGCCCAGGCCGCGATCCCGTGCCTACTCCCTGCTGGGCGGATGAGAGGCCACCGGGGGCTGAAGCATGGCTACCTGCCGAGTGACTCCCTAACCTCACTGCTTGCTGTGGGTCCAGGGCAGGCCCCGACGGGAGCCCTCCAGGCCAGAAGCTGGCCACGGGGCTGCTCCTCCGAGGCTGAGGCAAAGCTTAGGCTAGTTAACATGCAGGGAGTGTTGCACTTGGAGAAATTTAGATGTATTTTTTTTTTTTTTGTGCATGTGTGCTTGCATGTAAATGTGGGTAGGTGCTGTCCTGATTGATGGCAATTAGCATTTTCTAACGGGAACAGATGTTCAGATTGCCAGGAGGCTGGTACCTAACGCCCACGCTGCCATCTGTTCGCTGGGCAGGGCCAGGGGAAGCAGCCCCGACCCGTGGCCCTCCAGTCCTCCGTGGTGTGTACTTAACAGGATTGCGTGAGATTGTTTCTGGAGGGAAGAAAAATAATAATAAAGATGTTTTCGGGATTATAAATAGTTCATGCTGTTTATTATGGGATGGAGCTTTTCTCTGACGAGCAGCTCTGGTTTCTATGTGGCCTGAACAAAGGGAGCTCTGAATGGAATGCACAATGTCAGCTCCCGTGTCGGGGTGAGGGGAGGCCGCCTCGGGAAGCCAAGGTCGTGGTGCGTTTCATCGGCTCGAGGGTCTGAGGGCCAGAGGAGGAAGACACGAGGGAGGTGGAGAGAAGTCAGAGGGTTTAACTCGGGGTTTGCAGTCCTTCACTTCCACCTCGCCTTCGGAAGGCTGAGCTCATAAACGGGAGACCCTTGGGTCCCCATGGCAGTGTGGCAGGTGGGGGCTCAGAGCTGGGGCCACCTCGTGGTTCCCCACTTGCTAACTTGCCGAGCCTCACCCTCTTCACCTGTCAAATCGGGTTAGTGACCATCCGACTTCACTGAGCTTCTGCAGGGACTGAGGACTCATTCACAACAGGGCGAGCACTGTGCCAGCACGTTGCTGGCATCTGAGCGGCTGGGGCTGGCCTGTTCTCAGCTGTCCTCGGGGCCGCGGAGGGAAGGCCCTGGCCTCAGTGTGCCTGGCACCCTGCACTTCTTTCTGTGGTCAACCAAGGTGGCTCTTACGATGCTCCCAGCAGTGGCAGAAATGTATTCTCCTTCTTTTTCTTTTTTCCTTTTTGGCTTCTTAAGGCAAAACAGTTTGTTTGTTTGCTCACTTGCTATAAAAAGAGTTGCCTCCCTTCCTCCCTTCTCCTTGCCTCCCCCCGGCGTCTGCATCACGGCACGTTCCTCCAGCAGGCAGATGTCTGCGGGGGAATCTGTCGCCTGTCCTCGGGCCGCCCCGACAGATGTACTGGGCATCCTTCCTCTGTGGGCCGAGGTGCACGTGACACCTCTGTGTCCCTGCTCCGCCTTGATGGGCATCCTCCCCAAGTTGGCGGTATTGATGGACGGCACCTTGGGCAGGCACAAAGGCCCGTCCACGTAAACATTCCCCTCTTCTCCGGGCTGTCGCTAACATTTCCCCCAACGTCTTTCTGGGAATTTTCTCTGTCCGTTGGAAGAAGCTTGAAGGAGAGGAAATCGGCCAGTCTCCTTGGTGGTGAAGGGAGAGCGAACATTTCCTGATGTGCGCCCGTTTCGCAGAGGCCTCGCCACAGAGCACGAGGAGCTGGTGCACTCCTGCGTCTTCCCATCTGGATTTCCTGGTCTGGGTCCAGCAAAGCAGCAGTCAAGTTCCCCATCATTGGTGGTTGCCAAGGGCTTACGGTTAAGCCCAGGAGGAGTTTGTTTTTGCAGAGCAGCCCTAGGAAAGCTGTCACGGCTGCTACCAATGGTGGTGGAGGTGGCAGTGGCAGTGGCGATGGTGGTGGAGGTGGCAGTGGCGATGGTGGGGAGGTGGCAGTGGCAATGGTGGTGGTGGTGGCAGTGGTGATGGCGATGGTGGTGGCAGTGGCAGTGGCGATGGGGAGGTGGCAGTGGCAATGGTGGTGGTGGCAGTGGTGATGGCGGTGGAGGTGGCAGTGGCAGTGGAGATGGTGGTGGAGGTGGCAGTGGCAGTGGTGATGGCGGTAGAGGTGGCAGTGGTGATGGCGGTGGAGGTGGCAGTGGCGGTGGAGGTGGCAGTGGTGATGGCAGTGGCAGTGGCAATGGCAGTGGAGGTGGCGGTGGCGATGGTGGTGGAGGTGGCGGTGGCAGTGGCGGTGGCGATGGCGGTGGAGGTGGCGATGGTGGTGGAGGTGGCGGTGGCAGTGGCGATGGTGGTGGAGGTGTCAGTGGTGATGGTGGTGGAGGTGGCAGTGGCGATGGTGGAGGTGGCAGTGGCGATGGCAGTGGCAGTGGCGATGGCAGTGGAGGTGGCAGTGGTGATGGCGGTGGAGGTGGCAGTGGCGATGGCGGTGGCAGTGGCAATGGCAGTGGAAGTGGCGGTGGCGATGGTGGTGGAGGTGGCGGTGGCACTGGCGGTGGCGATGGCGGTGGAGGTGGCGATGGTGGTGGAGGTGGCGGTGGCAGTGGCGATGGTGGTGGATGTGTCAGTGGTGATGGTGGTGGAGGTGGCAGTGGCGATGGTGGAGGTGGCAGTGGCGATGGCAGTGGCAGTGGCGATGGCAGTGGAGGTGGCAGTGGCGATGGCGGTGGCAGTGGCGATGGCGGTGGAGGTGGCAGTGGCGATGGTGGTGGAGGTGGCGGTGGCAGTGGCGGTGGCGATGGCAGTGGCGATGGCGGTGGAGGTGGCAGTGGCAAAGTCGGTGGAGGTGGCAGTGGCGATGGCGGTGGAGGTGGCAGTGGCGATGGTGGTGGAGGTGTCAGTGGCAATGGTGGTGGAGGTGGCAGTGGCAGTGGCGATGGTGGTGGAGGTGGCAGTGGCAACAGGGCAATCGAACGATGCTCAAAGAGGCTTCTCTTGCTTTCTCTCCTCCACCTTGGAATGGGCTTGGGCTGAGAGTGTCCCAGAAGAAGTAAATGTCAGATAACCGCTGTGTCTGGGCTGGAGACGCTCTGTGTGAGCTTTCAATATGGCAGCTAATGGGTTGGAAAGATAGACGTGTGTGTAGTCATTTCCCCAGTTTTATAATTCCGTATCTGGGACTTTATTTCATCTTTACGTCTTGCTTCTTTCTCTCCAGAAACCAATTTTACTTTATATCAGGACTTCTCAACCTCAGCACTAGTGATGTTTTGGGCTGTAGGACACTGAGCAGGATCCCTAACTTCTGTCTACTGGAGGCAGTAGCAATCCCTCCACTAAGTAGTAACAACCAATAATGTCTCCAGGCATTTGTCTCATGTCCCCTGGGGAGCAACACTTGCCCCCAGTTGAGAGCCACTGTTAATTTATTCTTGAGTGACTTCATTTCTAACATCTAACGTTGAGGGCTAACTGTGCGTAAGACACCGTCTATGCCTTCCTAAGCATTGAATCCATGTAATGCTCCATGACTTTTCTTTTTAATCATTCTTTCCACCCTACAGAAGAGAAATCTGCAGTCCAGCAGTGTTAGAGAACTTGCCCAAGGTCACACCATTAGTGCCTTGGTGGCAGAGCTGGGAGTCAGGCTCAGGCAGCCTGTGCATCTTATCGTTACATCGTTCATGCATCTCATGAGTGTTTGTTGGCCACGTACTATTTGCGGGGCACTGTCTTAGGAGCTTGGTACTCATTGATGGATAGAGATAGAAATACCTACCCTCATAGAACTTGTGTTCTAGAGAGAGAGGCAGACACTGAACACATCCATAAATTGTACAGTTTGTTAGCAGGTTAATTTTCTAGGGCTACCAGAACAAATTACCAAAATCTAGGTGGCTTAGAACAACAGAAATGTAATCTCTCACAATTCTGGAGGCCAGAAGTGAGAAATCAAGGTGCCCGTTGGCAGGACTGGTTCCTTCTGGAGGCTTTGAGGAAGAACTTCCCTTGCCCCTTGCACCTTCTGGGGGTTGCTGGCCACCCATGGCGTTCCTCAGCCTGTGTCTGCATCCCTCCAGCCTCTACCTCTGTGTCACATGGCCTTCTCCTCTGTGTCTCTGTCCAAATCCCCATCTTTTTCTTATAAACATGCCAGTCATTGGATTGGAGGCCCATCCTAAATCCAGGACAATTTCGTTTCAAGAGCTTTGACAAATGACATCTGTGCAGACCCTGTTTCCGAATAAGGTCATTTCTGAGGTTCTGGGTATATCTGAGTTCTGGGCGTCCACTGTTCAACCCACTGCAGTAAGTGATGCTCACCATGGGGAAATGGGCAGTGTGCCGAGACCCTGTGCTCAGCAGGGCTGGGGACACTTCACAAGGCATAGAAAGGATAAGATGTAGTCTATAATTGTTAAAATGGTATAGTTCCACCTACAAATGCTGTTGGAGTTCAAAGAAGGCGGAAATGGTTGGAGATGCAATCTCTCCATCTTCCTCCTCCTTCCCAGCTGTTCAACTCACTGTCCCAGGGAGAATGGAAGACTTGGGTGGTGGTATTCAGAAGCAGAACAGAAAGAATGTGAATGAGAAGAGAATATTTCTCTGTGACAGCCAGAGGTCCTCATGGGCTGAGTTCTCATGACTCACCATCTTTTATTCATTCCTCATTGAATCCTGGGCCTTCAGTGGTATTTGTGAAATGAAAGGATGTGTTAGTCATCACGCTGGGTCCTCAGGATCCCAGATGAATGTAATGTGTACCCCCAACAACCCCCTTGGGGAGCTTGCCGTTTCATGGAGGAGACAGATAGGTTACAGTTTATGCATCCTTTGCAGTGAGGCAGAACAAACACTTTGGGGGCCCAGTGGAAAGGCTTTTGAGTGGGTTTTGAAGCATGCACAGAAGTTTTCTGGCAAGAACTGGTGAGCATGGAACTGCACACAGAGCAAAGGCATGGAGGTTTAAAAAAAAAGACACTGTTTTAGTCCATTCTGTGTTGCTGTAATAGAATACTACAGACTGGGTAATTTGTAAATGATAGACATTTACTTGGTCCTTGCTTCTAGAGGTTGGGAAGGCCAAGAACATGGCCCTGGCATCTGGTGCAGGTCTGCATCCTCCCACGGTGGAAAGTGGAAGGGCAAAAGAGCATGAGCAAGAGGGAGCTGAACTCACTTTTATAACAAACCCACCCTCGTGATAATGAACCCACTCCCACAATAACTACATTAATCTATTCATGAGGGCAGACTCTCATGACCTCATTACCTTTGTTAGGCCCCACTTCTCAACATCCTGTGGCAGGAATAAGTTTTCAACACGTGAACTTCAGGAGACATATTTAAACCATCATAGCATGGCTTATGTAAGTGCAGCAAGAGAGCTCAGAGTGGCTGGGGCATGGGGCTTGAGGCTGAGGGCGTGGCCCTAGCTGGCACAGTCCTGCGAGCTCTGCCTGCAGGGAGGGAGAGCTAGACCTGATGAGCTTGATTCTGGGGAGCTGACTGTGGTGGGAGTGTGGTGGATGATAGACTGGAAGCCTTTTAGGAAGCTGCTGCTGGAGTTGAGGTAGAGAGGACAAAACTCAGAACTCACCTGGGAGCAGAAGAGTCAGAGAGGGGCCCATTTTTTTTTAATGAGGTAAAATTGTACATAACATAACATGAACTATTAATTGATTCAAAGGGTGCGATTCAGTGGTATTCAGTACATTGAGAATATTGTGCAACCATCATCTGTGTCAAGTTCTAGAACACTTTCATCATCCCAGAAGGAGATCCTGTACTCATTAGCAGCCTCTCCCCATCCCCTCCCGTAGCCCTTGGCAACTGCCCCTCTGCATTCTGTCCTGTGGATTTGCCTGTTCTGAGTGTTTTGTAGAAATGGAGTGAAACCTGCCCTTCTGCAGCACATTGCAGCACCTGTCCATGCCTCATTCCTTTTTGCAGCTGAGTAATCTTCCGCTGCTTGGACCTACCATTGAGTTTATCCATTCAACCATCAAGGGACGTTTGACTATTGACTATTCCAGTCACACAATAGACATGTGGGACTATTTTCTGAAGATTTCTGGTGCTCAAAATGTGTTTGTAGAATGAGGAAATGAAACAGTAACCCTGAATCCCATACCCCTCACTCTTAAATCCCCTCTCCCCCAACCTCACCATCATCATCTCTGTGTCCCACCTGCAAGGAACAGGTGTGTTCCAATACCTGCCATTGTGTCAAGGGACCTTATTCTTAGCCTTTAAGAAGGTGGCCAGTGTTGAGGGTGGCCTGGAAGTCTCTAGGATTGGTGGGGGTGGGGGTGGTGGACTTGACTTCCAGGGGAACACAGCACTGCCCCGTGATTGCCTGGTCCCTCGCCTGGTGTCCTGCAGCCTGGAGTACCATCTGGTCCTTGGCATCCCCTTCCTCTGCCGGGCAGGACGTTGCCCAGTGCCATCCGCCCCACTGTGCTCTGTACCATCTGGTCACACTGGGTTCCACAGGACTCCCCACTTCTTGGAGAAAAATGAAGTCCAGCCTTGGAGGGTGGGTGGAGGGAAGAGAGTCCTGAACGCTCTGCACATCCGCCCCTGCCCTCCAGCCTCCCCAGCGCCTCCCACATGGCCAGCACCAGCTAGTGGAAGAGCAGCAGCTCTCTCTGCCTCCAGAGCCTCGGAACCTCCAGGGCCCCATAGAGGTGACGCTGCGGCATTGCTGCTGTCCCTATGCACTCTGAGAGCCACCTGGGCCTGTGAGTCATGCCAGAAGAGGGACCTGGGGACTCTACTCTTGGGAGCAGCAGGCTGTGGAGTGCCTAGGGGAGGGGTTCTGTGTGCCTGGGCTGCAGAGCTGGTCAGGTCTGGGTGCTGCAGAGATGATACAGACAGGGAGACCCTGAGAAGGACGAAGTGGGCACAGGTGGAGGCCTGGTAGCCCACGGCCGCGCTTCACATTCTGCACAGGCAGGTGCCCCAGCTTCCTGTGCTTGCCATTAGATCCAGCCATGCTGCTTGGAGGGACAGAGAGAGGGAACAGTACCCGGGAACCAGAGATGGAGGGGAGTGTGAAGGCAGGAACAGGAGAGGAAGCTGGTGGCTGTTTCTCAGCTGGGCCTCCTGTGGCAGGGGTGAGGGCTTCAACATCTCGCTCCTTATTCTCTCCCTGATTTGCCACCCAGAGTCCCCGGACACCAGGAAATTGCTCCTCCGCTCAGGAAGCAGACTGCCCAGCTGCTGCCCCCGCCCCAGCTCAGCTGAGCTGCCCTAGCACTGCAGAAGAGCTCACTTACTTGCTGTGACAATTCTTAGTTTTCAACCTTTTTTTTTTTTAATTAAATAAACCCCAACCCAGGCTTTTGTGCTGATGCAGCAGTTCCGTATCTCAACTGCGGTGATGGTCGCACGATGCTGCACATGTGATAACATGGCAAAGAGCTACATATCTCACGCACACGCACACACAGGCATGCACACACAGATGCACACACGTGTGTATATCACTGGGGAATCTGAGTCAGCCCTGTGTACTGCCCCATCTCGGTTTCCTGGTTGCATGGTGGTTACGTGAGACGTCAACATTGCGGGGAGCTGAGTGAAGGGTGCGAGGCACCTGTACATTTCTCTGCCCCTTCTAGTGAATCCGTAATTATTTCCCAACAAAAAACAAAAACAAGGCCCTGACAGATTCAGAGCATATGAGTCAGGCAGCGCAGTCCCATTAAGGGTAACCGTGTGCGCCGACTGCTTCGAGACACTGCGTGCCTGCCTACCATGTGGGCCTGGCAGACGGACCTCTCCCTGCTCCTTCCCTGCCCAACTGCCTGCTCTGTTACCCACCTGGGGAGGCACACCCGGGTCCCCCGCCCTGCAAAGATGGCCTGGGCCTGGTTGCATGATTGCGAGGTCAAGGGACTTGGGGATTTCTGCTGCCCTGGCCCAGGTGAGGTTGTGCTGTGGCCTGACTGCTGGATGCAAGGACCTCTGGCTCCCCACCCACCGTGTTTTCTGGAGGAATCCATTGACTGCCACACCCTTTCCTGAACACCTTCTTTCTGCCGTTGTGCTGGGCTGTGTTCTTCAAGTCGCCTCTGCTCTTAGAGGTCACGTTCCGTTTCCTTATGCACTGAAGGGTCTCAAGGGTTTTCCTGCACCTCCCCACACTGGACTCGCTGCCTGAGGGCAGGGATCTCATGGCTGTTGTGTGCAGGGACATCGCGGGGACAGCCCCAGGGCCTGGCTGGCCTAGGACGCATTCATTCTCTGCATCTCTTTGGGAGCAGAGACCAGCTGTTGCTCTGTGCTGCCACACTGCCACTGTCCTGGGGAGAGAGGGCGCCCCAACTGCCCCGGAAACGGAGGTCCCGGGGCATCTACACGGGGCTGCTGGCCCTGGGCTTCAGGAAGAGCCGCTGGGATGTTGAGCAGGACATGAAGGCGCGTTAGAAGGAGTTAGCGGCCACGTGTCTTGGTTGGGTGATTTCACAGATCTCTGGAAGTCGATGACATTTGCGGAGATTAGAAAGGCCGTACCCCCATTCATGAGCCATATTAAAGCAACCCCTCCCCTCAACACCCCAGTGAGGAGTGATGGCACACACCACATGGTGAGAGCTATTGATTCCAGCCTGTGTCCTGTGTCTCCACAACAGCTCCTTTTCCACTGCTACCCGAGGCCATGCCATGAGGCCCTCATCCGTCCGACCATCAACCCTGAAATATTCTAACAAGGCCCTACTCCATGCTGGACATGGGCCCAGGCCTTCTGCTCAGGGGACCAGGAAGTAGGGCAGCCATGCCCCCAGGAGCCCATGCCCTGGGGAGGAGGGTGCCTGTAGACCTCACCCTGCCTGTCTACACCTGTGCCACGTGTGTGTCATCTGTGTCAACCTATCTCATTATCTTCTCTATCAATATACCTATGCCTGTACCTCTGCCTATAACACACACATACAATTCATGACTAACTGTTGGAAGGACTCCCATGGGAATGGGCAGGTGCTGTGATACAGAACAACTTGGGGGATTTAGGATGGGAGGAGGCAGCCCTGTGCTGAGTGGGTGGCTGGGGACAGAGAGTAGAGGGCTGGTCCAGGCAGTGGGACTGACTTGTGCCCAGACCTCTCGAGCTTGTGTTTGAAAGACCGAGAGAGCCGGCCGGGCCAGGGTGGGCAGAGGCAGGCTCTGAAGGGCCCTGGGGGGTTTGAATCAATTCAAGTGTGGTGGGAACTCCCGGGGGTCTGACTCAGGAGGGGCTCTGGCCTGGTATAAATATGCATTTAACAGTGTCTTTATAAAATGATGGCATCTCTGAAATTCACCGATTAATATTTTAAAAGAATGGTCTGGTATATGGTTAGAAGGAACTAGGTCAGAGGCAGAGAGACCCTTTGGGAACCCAGCGCAAAGCCTGGGTGAGAGGGGCTGGGGCTTGGTCTGGGGCGGGTTCTCTCCAGCAGGGGATGCATGGCAATGTCTGGGGTTGTCACAGCTGGGGAGGGGGCTGCCCCTGGCATCCAGTGGGTGGGGACCCAGGGATGCCAGTAAACATCCTACAGCACACGGGATGCTCCCACCAAGAAGGACCCAGCCCCAGATGTCCATGGTGCCTGGAGGGGACAGACAGGGTCAGAGTGGGAGGCGGAACAAACAGAGTTGGCGGGACGAGGGTTAGGAGAAGAGGACAGAGCAAGGATGATGCCCAGATTTTCAGGTTGAGTAGCAGAAAGAAAGACTGCGTGAGAGAGGAACAGGCTCGGGAGCACATTAAGGCTTGGGGTGGGACCCTGTCAGTGTGATGTCCTTCAGGCTTGGGCTGGGGCCCCGTCAGTGTGATGTCCTTTAGGCTTGGGGTGGGGCCTGGTCAGTACAATGTCCTTAAGGCTTGGGGTGGGACCTGGTCAGTGTGATGTCCTTAGGTTTGGGGTGGAGCCTCGTCAGTGTGAAGTTCTTGAGGTTTGGGGTGGAGCCTCATCAGTGTGATGTTCTTGAGGCTTGCGGTGGGACCTGGTTAGTGCAATGTCCGAGAGAGGCAGACGCCACGTAGCACTGGACACCTGGGTGGCCCTCGGGGGAGGCCAGGCTGGAGGTGCCGCTGCAGGTGTCAAGGGTGCATGTGGAGCATGGGGCTGTGTGTGGCTGTGCGTGTGACAGCAGCTCTGTGGATGAGTGTGAGTGTGGAATGTGTGAATGTCTGCGTCCGTCTGATGCTGTGAGCGAGTGTGTGGTGGCATGTGTGTCTGTGAATGTGATTGTGGAAGTGTGTGTGTGAATGAATGTGTGTGTGGATAGGTTCCTCTGAACGTGTGCGCATGTGAGTGTGTGACTGCGTGCGTGTGTGTGTGTGCACACACCCGTGTGCCTGGCCTCCCCCTTTCACCCTCCCTGGCCTCTGCTCAAAGGTTTCACGGGCCCCGTGGCATCTCCATGGGGCTCTGTGGTGGCAGCTCCCGTGGAGTCCTGCCTGGCCATTTCTGGACCCAGATGGCCACTCTCCTGGGCTCATCTGATTCCCACCTTCAGTTAACACTGACCCTCCTGGATGACCCTCAGGTGGTCTCTCCTGGGCAGAAGCGTGGTGCGGTTTCTTCCTGGCCAACAATTTCCGAATTTCTCCTCCCCAGATGCCACTGCTCAGGGCCTGCCTCTCCCCCTCTCCGCTCCCCCGTCACGGTAGCCTGCGCGTCTTTGGATCCTTTTGTGGCTGCTGACCTGGGAGTAGCACATCCAGCTTCCTCCAGTTATGGGGCTCATTTTTAAGATACAAGAAAAGTGGGGCCCATGTACATCCCATGGAGGGGGATGCTGCCGGGCCTGTGCACACCCCGTGGAGGGGGACGCTGTCCAGCCTGTGTGCACATACCCCATGGAGGGGTTGCTGTGGGCCTGTGCACACCCCATAAAGGGGATGCTGCCAGGCCTGCACACACCCCATGGGGGATGCTGTCGGGCCTCGTGCACGTGGCTGGCTCTGTAGCAGCCCAGTCTGAGTGGGTGCAGGTAGGCAGTATCTCCTGCCTCTGGGTGCAGGGCCCCCAAACCCCAGGCCTTGAATACTGAGGAGCTACAATGGGAGTGGGCCCATCACCACATGGGGCCATCAGATGAGACCCTGGCTCAGCTCATGTCATCTTCCAAGTCGCTCCAGTCAGTGTGGATAGGGCTGCTTCTGGAGTGGGCCACAGGAGCCCTAAGGTGGGTCAGATGTCTTTGCCTAATGAGCTGTGTGACTCCAGACAGGTCGCTTAACCTCTCTGGGCCTTTGATTCCTTGCCAAACTCCCATTTCTCCCTGTGTGGTAATGCACAGGGCCGGACGGTATGAAATTCTTCCTTGGACTTTCTTGACTGGGTCCAAGAGTGAGTGGACCCCTTTGCTGTGGACAGGCCAGGAGGACCTACAAATAGCTAGAGATTGGGGGTGCTGGGAGGGCTTGGTGGGCAAGGTGGGGGAGCGGCAGTGTTCTTGATCCCAGGAGAGGTGAGGTTGGTGGATGAGAGAGGTGGCGGGGCTGGGCCTCCGCAGAGGGCAGGCCAGGAGGGGCAGGAGGGGCTGGGCAGGGATACAGCAGACAGAGCCACCTGGCCCTGGGGCAGGACAGATGTAGGCAGCCTCGGACTCCCTGGAAGCTGGATTTGGGGGTATGCTGAGGAGAGGCCTCAAGGGAGGGCCCTGGGAGCCAGAATGATGTGCCCAGGCCTGGGGCATGCGGCTGGGTGGGGAATGGGTCCTGGCCACCCTTCTGAGAACAGGGGAGAGGTGCAGAAGGGGCTGAGGAGGTGCCAGGTTGGCATGGGGGTCAGAGCAGAGGTGATGGGGCAGGGCTCCAGACGGCATTGCCTCCCCTGGCGCATCTGAGAGGTGCCCTCCTGTGCAACCCCTTGTCAGAGCGCATTTCCTACACAGGACGTCACCAAAGACGCTTCCCAACTCACCATGGGGGGCACATGGCACCTAGCACCGCCCCAGGTCATGGCCTGCTGTCCACCCCGGGCTGAGAGGTGTCCAAGGGATCCCAGAACTCAGCTCCTGGGCATGGAGTCAGCCCCCTTTCCTCTCCTCTGCCAGCCAAGCTGTTTCGAGAGCCTCCCTCATGCCTGCGTGTCAGGCTGCAGCTTTGCATGGGGACCTGAGGGAGCTGGCAGAACATGGGAGAAGATCTCTCCCCCAGGGTCCTCTGGGGTGAGGCTCACCAGCCCCAGTCCTGTCCCAGAGATGCCTCTGCACACACCGGCACACACTGCACACACATCTACACACACACCCCATGTGCCTGGCCACACCTGCACATACCCACACATCTCCGCACCCACTCTTCTGCACACTCTTAAACGGCACTATTTCTCTCCATAACCCCTGTGGGGCTGTGGGGCTGCAGCAGGCGGCCTGCCAGTCCCCTCTGTTATCCTGGGACTCTGGGTGACATCCCTGCCTCCCACCAGCTTCCCTTCCACCACCCCAAAGGGTGCCAAGGAGATGAGGCCTGTCCCTCTGTGACCACTGAGCTGGCCACTCAGGGCCAGCCTCCCCATCTGCCGCCAGGAGGAAGAGAGGGGCCCCACTGCGACGCCCCAGCTTCTATGGCCATCTCTGCTGGCCACACAGCTCCCCCTTTCAAAAATGAGATGAAGCCACTGCCCCAGAGGGCCTAGAGTGGTTTGTTCTCTGGGCATCGCTCTGGACTTAGGGTGTGGCCAGCATGGCCGCTGGGTCTGGGCAGAGCCAACACGCACTCTTCAGCTCCGGCATAGCATGTGTAGAATGACACGGCTATTAGCATTTCATCCCGGGTTTACAGAAAGGACACACTGCCGTGACTGCAGGTTGAGGACTGCTGCAGAAATTCGCTCATTTGATCCTCAAAGCAATCTCCTGAGGGAGGCCCTGCGATCACCCCCATTCCACAGATGGGTAAACCGAGACCTGGAGAGATGAAGCCATGTGCTCCAAGCTGCACGTCTCAGTGGGTGTTGGAGGGGAGACGTGGTCCAGGTGGCCGGGGGGCCGTGAGCGGGATGGCACCACGGTGCTGCTTCCTCTCCACTGGCTTCTTGGTCCAAAGGCCCTGAGCCTGCCAAGGGTGTTTCTTCCCTGCAATGCCCCCGGGTTGTGCAAGCTCTCTGTGCCCTCCTTCACCTTTCCTGACCCTGCCGGGCCTGCTTCTCCACTGATGGCAGGGAGATGCCAACTTCTCCAGCAGTTGGCAGGGGCTGTGGCCACCAAGTCCGAGTCTCTCCCAGTGGTCCCCTCCCTCATCCCTGCTGTGTGGCTTCTTTCTTCCTGGAGCCTCCCCTCTCCGCTCTGTGACCCCATTCTCCCCTGATGGCCCTAACTTCCCTTTCCCACTCCCCCACCTCCAAGGTGATCTTTAATGACCCATTCGCTGCTGCATGCCAGAAGCCAGAGGGCAGGGGACGGTCTCCCTGAAGAAGAAAGAGCCAACAGCCTCAACCTGGACAATCATAAACCACGTCCATGTCTGAGCATCCATCTGTCCCAAGACAGTGGAGCGTCAGTGACTTGCTGGAGCTCTGCCTTCTGCGTCGAAGGCATGTGCACAAAGAATGCCCATCCGCCTTCCCTTCCACCATGACTGCTGCGTTCCTCCGCAGCGGAGGTGGTGACAGGGTGGGCCTCCATCCTGCACTGCCGATTGCCCATCTGAGCTCCCAGTCTTACTCTCTAAAAAGTTCAGTTCCCAGCTAGCCCCTACACTCTCACCTCCGCCTTCCTCCTCAAACATCCCATGTTCCTGCCAGATCACAGCATTCAGCAGTTCCCACCTCCATGCTTCCGTCTGCCCCATGCCTTCCAGCAACTTCCTTCTCCTTAATTTCAACCATTCAGAATTCTACCCATCCTTCTAGGCCAGCTGAATTCTCCTCCCCTGTAGCCACAGGGAACATAGCGTAAAGCCCTCTGGGCTCTCTAGGACTCAAAAGAGCCCTGCGGGTGTTGGTACCCCCCTGTAATTTGTGTGGATGAGGGTGCCAGTACTGGGTGGCAGGGATGCTGTGGGCGTGGGGGAAGGTGTTCTGTGGAAGCGTCTCCAGACGTGAAGCACGTATGATCCCTTGGGCACTAGGCCCCACCTAACGTACGAACACTGCGATGCTGTCATTCAGTACTCATGATGATCTGATGATGTTGGTACGCTTATTGTCACCGTTTTTCAGAGGATGAAATGGAAGGTTGCGGGGGACCCAGTGGTTTGCCCAGGGCCTCCCTGCCCATGAGTGTCAGAGCCAAGGCTTGAGCCTGGGCTGCCTCCTCACCAGGGGTGGGTGCTCCACGGATGCCTCTTGCATTGAGGGTAACTTACTGTGATGGTTCGTAGGTGATCCCCATCTGAGAGTAGGTCATTTTCCCTCCTGCCAGTTGCAATTCAAGGGCAGGCCTCACCCCCTGATTCAGGCTGAACAGTTGAGCTGCAGTCAAGGTGAAGAGATTTGTCTCTAGGGAAGATTTGAACAGACTTCCCCAGCTTCCTCTCTATCCCCAAGATGATGCTTCTGAGATGTTGACAAGCTTGTCTTCTGGGTTCAGAGCTCGGCGGAGGTGACAACGTCTTCCCGGCACGTCTTTGCCTGTGATTGTCACCCACACTGACAGTCCCGGGGGTTCAGGGTTGACTGCACTTGACTGAGCCGAATAAATTAGCATAAAACATTTAAAACCAAATTTCCTAATGTATTTTTTTTTCTCATTTACTACTCAGGTGTTTAGATATAACTTCTTCCAAATGATGCTCCTAAACATCATATGTCCCCTGATAATTGTGCCTTTCGATAGCAAATTGTCCCAGTGAAGCAAGGCAGGCGAGAGGAAGGGTTTGGCATATTTGTGGGTGGAAACTTCTGGACAGAAAACACTGCCTTGGGTGAGCCATCGGGCCCCCCAGCCTGGGCTTGGGAGTCAGAGCTCTCGGATGAGAATGCTGCACCCCCTTCTAATTGAAGGCTGCCAGCTCTGATTTAGAAAATCTCATTTTGTGCTTTTCTAAAAGTAGGTTTTACTTCTTGAATTTGTTTCCTTAGCCAGAGTTTTACTTTTTCTCTCCTCTTGGCATATATCTTTTGGGACTAGTCTTATCATTGTTATGCATGCAAACAGCACCTTGCACAGTGCTATTTTCTTGGCAGGCTACCCTGGGAGCTCCGTCGAATCCTTGCCAGACAGGGGTCCTCCTGATCTTCAGTAGTGTAGCACTTTGGATCACGATGAGTTGCTAATAGTTGTTCTTGTCTTCTTCTTCCTTAGGCCCATATACAGGTGCTCCTGGAATTATGATGGGTCACACCCCAACAAACCCACCATAAGTTGAAATTATTGCTAAGTTGAAAATATATTTAATACCCTGATAAGCCCATCATAATATAAAAAAAAAAATCAGAAGTCCAGGGTGGTCTGTGTTTGGATGAACTTGTAATTCCTCTTGGAATTTTGGGGTGATTCGTTTTCCTGGAGTCCCCATCCCAGGATGGCTCCGATGGGGACATCTGTGCCAATACCTCGGCATTTGCCTCTTCACATCTGTAGGGAGGTGCTCCTATAGGCTCCGGTGTTTTTTCCCCGTTTTATTCTTCCTACTGCCAAAGTAGCTCTTGTTCCAAGTCCAGGCCTTCATTCACAGCCTGAGAAGGGAAGTGATTAGAATTGAAATTGGAAATGGCCTCTTTTCCTTTCTGCTTAACTCTCGCCTACAGGAGGGCGGGAGGGCAGTCCACAGTGTCTGTACACCCACGGGTGACTTTTGACCTCCTTGAGTCTGGCATCCATGTTGAGAGAGTTTCTGCACACACATGGCTTCTGTTTCATCATGCGTGTGCATGTGTGTGTGTGTATGTCAGGTGTTAGAAACGTCCCATCGTTCCACGGTCTCTCTTTCTGCCTCTTCACACAGACCCATTAGTTGCATTTTGGGCTTTTTTGGCATTCCACTGTGCTAACATCTTCCCCCCTAGTGGGAAACGAGATAGCTGTGATTAGCCTAATGAGTGATTAATTAACGAGCGGGCTGGCTGGAAGATGGAAATATGCTGACCCTGCTGAACAATGGCCAGGAGGGGGCCAGCCACCCACCACAATGGTGTGCCCATCGTGACTTTAACCCTTGAGTCTTCTCCTGCCCAGACCACTCTCCTTTCTTAGTGCAGAAGTGAAGAGGTTGCATCCATGTATGTGCGCCCCCAGAGCTGGGGTCACCTGCCATCCAGCATCCGGAATGTAACGTCCACCAGCAGAGATGCTCCATTGGGTCTACGGGTGGCCAGACTCAAAGTGTGTGTGTGTGTGTGTGTGTGTGTGTTTATGTGTGCAGGTTTCAAATAAGCACATCAGTATATTCACCTATAATTGAATGATGAAAACTGACCTTAATTGGCAATTATGCAAAATTCTAGAATATTTCAGAGTAGAAGTTGTTGGAGGCTTCTGAATGGTTTTGTTGGATGAATTGGATTAGGGTGTCTGGGGTGAGCTTTGGGGAGAGCCCAGGAAATTTTGCAGACTCACCTGGAGGCAGGTTGAGAGGGGGACCCGGGAACTGTAAGGGAGAAAGTTTGGGGACAGCCCGTGTTCTAGGCTGTAGGGAGGAAGGATCGTGGGGGCAGAAAGGGGTTAACGGGGGTTAGCACAGGAAGCAAGAGAGGTGAGTGACAGGCCTCTGCTTATGTTTCATGTAGCTTCTACTGTAATTGTTAATTTTCTTCATAGAAGCTGAAAAAAACACACAGTGCCAGAAACCCATCCCGGGCCCCTCCTACCCGAACCTCTCAGCTTCAGGGGTTTTGTTTGCTCTCCCTCTCCTCTCTGTGGTAAGGGACTACAGGCACAGGCAGGAAGAGGGGTCTGGGCTCTTGACTAATACCTGTGCACCCCCAACCTGGCAAAGCAGCTCCAACCCAGTGGCCGAGGCAGGCAGACGTGAGGGTCCACAGGGGAGCGTGGCTGGCAAAGTGACCCTTCTAGTGCCCAGGACGTCAACTCTGAGCCAAATTCACCATGGGAGCCACATCCTTCTGGCCCTTTTCTCTGTGTCAGGGAACCTGCATGAGGGGTCTGGGGGCTGTTTTCCCTTCATCAGGGGCTGCCGTCCAGGTGGGGAGAGGGAGATGGCCTACTTCTGAGCCTGCGAGGCCAGATTCCTGGTGTTGAACCTGCTCTGGGAGCTCCTGCAAGTTGAAGCCCCTTAGCCCCAGTCCTTGAGTATGTCTGTATGAGTGACCTGCATCTGATATAACAAGTGACCGCTTTCTGGGGGCCTAAAACAGCAGACATGAAGTCTTGCATTTCTGGAGGCCACAAGCCTGAAATCAAGGTGTGGGCAGGGCTGTGCTCCCTCCAAAGGCTTCAGGGGAGGGTCCATCCTGCCTCCTCCAGCTTCTCGGCCCCAGGTGTTCCTTGGCTTGGAGAGGCATTGCTGCAGTCCCTGCCTCTGTCTCCACGTGGCCTTCTCTGTGTGTCATTCTTCTCTTCTGTTTCTTATGAGGACACTGATCCCTGGATTTAGGGCCCATCATAATCCAGGATGATTTCATCTTGAGATCCTTACCTTAAATTTGTCTGCAAAGGCCCTCATTCCAGATAAGGTCACAGCTTGAGGTCCCAGGTTAGGACTTGGACACATCTTTTTGGGAGACACAATTTAACCTACTACAGTGTCCAAAGGTTTCAGTTTAGAGTCTTCTGCCCAGTTTTCCAGACTCTCACACCCCCACCCCCTCTTCTGGGGGCTCCTGAACCATTGTATTAGTCTGTTCTCACACTGTTATCAAAAACTACCTGAGACTGGGTAATTTATGAAGAAAAGAGGTTTAATGGACTCACAGTTCCACAGGTTGTACCAGAAGCGTGGCTGGGAGGCCTCAGGAAACTTCCAATCATGGCGGAAGGTGAAGGGGAAGCAGGCACGTCTTCACATGGCAGCAGGAGAGAGAGCGAAGGGGGAGGTGCTACACACTTTCAAACGAACTGGGTCTTGTGTAAACTCACTCACTATCATGAGAACAACAAGAGGGAAATCTACCCCTGGGATTCAATCACCTCCCACCAGGTCCCTCCCCCAATATTAGGGATTACAGTTTGACATGCTATTTGGGTAGCGACATGAGCCGAACCATATCACCCATTTTGGGGCTCACCCTGGCCGCCCCTCAGCACGGCCCACAGCCTGCTCTGCTGAGCAATGCTCACATGGATGGCATGAAGCTTCAGAGAGAGAAGGAGCCCTCCAAATCCTTCCCCAACTGCCTGTAAGAAAATCCCCACAAGGTAAAGGCAAGGGAGTGAGGATGGTGCTTTAAGCCCAGGCTTGGGCACAGTCTTCAATTTCAGCCCCTTGGCCCTCCCTGTGCTGCATCTTGGGCAACTTCTTGACTTCTCTGTGCCTCAGTTAGTCCTTCTGTAAAATGGGACTGTGCACCGTATCACCGTACACAATAGACAGACGGGTCACAGGCTATCACAGGCAAGTCATGCCTGCTCGGTTAGGCACAACCTTCCAGATGAAGCCGGCACTCTGCCAGCAAACACGGCATCTGTGGAGGGGGAGTGGCAGTTTGTGGGACCATTTGTGCAGTGAGGTGGCTGGATGGATGAGGCTGCACATTTAATTTCCCTGCGGCTCAGAGCTCCAGCCCTGAGATTTGCTCATGGGCCTCTCAGAAGGTGGCAGAGACCTGGGCTGCATCCACTGGCAGAAGAAGCTCCAGTTCGACTGAAAAATGGAGGCATGCCGAAAGCGGGTTACAGAACTTCAGGTCTGTTTGAAATGTTTACTGCCGACAAATTCACATTTGCTGCACACATGGAAGGCAGGGACTGCACGTCCAAGCTTGTTTTGAGATAATATCAAGAGACAGAATGGAGGCATTTGAAGGGAGGCCCAGGTTGACACGGGCCCCAGCCTCACCCAAGGTAGGCTTTGGCTGTGCCTCAGGTACTCGTGTTGCAGGGCAGGCAAACTCCAAACTGGGGCTTAGCCCAGGAGAGTCCTTGGCTTCTCTCAGGAAAGAATTCAACAGCAAGCCAATGGTAGGAGAAAACAGCTTTATTGAAGCCGTGGTGTTACATCTGTGATGACGTGGCAGCTCCGTGACTGCCCCTGCAGAGCAGGGCTGCCCCATGGGCCGTGTGCAGCTCCGTGACTGCCCCTGCAGAGCAGGGCTGCCCCATAGGCCGTGTGCTGAGAGCGGCAGCTCAGGGCAGGTTTGCAGTCAGATTTATACCCACTTTTAATTGCATGCAAATTAAGAGACAGGTTATGCAGAAATTTCTAGAAAAAGGGTGGTGAGTTGTGGGTCATGGGTCATTGCCGTGGAAATGGGCAGTCACTCCTGGGTGCTGCCCAGGAGCGTTGCCATAGCAATGGTACACTAACATGGCACGCTAGTGGGCATATCTTAGGGAGAGCTGCTTCCATCCCGTTTGCTTGGCTAGTCTTCAGTTTGGTCTGATGTCTGAGCCTCACCTCTGGAGTCAAGTTCCACCTCCTGCCTCAATAGGGGTGGAGGGAGTTTATGTGAGACCCCAGGCATGACCACAATCATTCCTCTCCTCCCAGCCCTGAGGTCTGACCAGGGGTCTGCCGCATTGCTGCCTGGAGGAGAAAGGCAGCCATGTCCTGCTTAGAGCAGAGAGAGGAGCTGCTGGAATTTTTGGACGTGTGGAATCCTGTGTCCTTGGAGTATGGGAATGATGGAGGCAGCATCGCCAGGGCCCTGGAGGCTCCTGACCATCTCTAGGGCCAGCGTGCTCTCAGCTTGACCGACCATGCTGGGTGAGGAGTTCAGAGCCTCAGAGGAGCTGTCACCTCCCAGGTCCCCTACCCTTCAGGGCAGGGTTTCTAAACCTCAGCACTGTTGACATGTCGGGGGACCATTCTCTCATGTGGAGGCCGTTCCTTGCATTGTAGGATGAGCAGCATCCCTGGTTCCGCTCGCCATGTGCCAGCATCACCCCCAGCCACAGCTGTGACAACTGGAAATGTCTGCAGGCACCACCAAATGGCCCCAGGGGCAAACCCACCCCTGGTTGGAGGGCCCCTGCCCTAGGTCCACCAGTCAGACTCAGAGAGCCCCTGCCCTCTGCAAAACCTTCCCAAGGCCAAGTGATTTGGGGACTGTCCTGCAAACCCCGGCTGAATCAGAAGGTTCTAGCAATAAAACAGGGCAACACCCAGCCGAGCAGCTTCTTGTGACTCTGGGAGCACATGGAGGAGGAAGGGGTGGGCTTTGGAATGCCCCATCTTGGACTCTTCTGCCTCCCCGGCTTTGCCCCCAGGAAAGCAGGCTGTGCAGACAGATGCTTTTTGTGGGCTCTGAGCTCGGCACAGCAAGGAAGGGAAATCACAGGGGAGGAGGGTGTGGGGAGAGATGATCCTGGAAGTGGGCTTGTCTTGAAGATCTGGAAATTGCTCTGCTTGTGGGCTGGGGTAGACAGTCCTGGAAATCGAGGCGGGTCCTGAGGCCTGTGGCTGAGGTTTCTTAGAGAATCGAGTCTCCTCCTCTAAGACCCCAGAGCCCTGCAGTGCCTCCCGCACGTGGAAGGCCCTCACCCAGGCCGCTGTCATTTAGAAACTCATTTTTCATCCTTGGCTCCTGCAGCCTGAGCTTCACCTGACATTCCCACTGGGCAGTGGGACCCCCTTACAAGAAAATGTGCTCCCTAATATACATAAGAGAAATGAAAGCATATGTCTGCCATGAACACACCTACCCGTGTTCCCAGCAGCGCCATTCACAGTAGCCAAAATGTGGAAGCAACTCAATGTCTATCGACTGATGAAAAGGTCCACAAAATGGAGTCTGTCCCTGCAGTGGAATATTATATAGCCACAAATAAGCATGAAACCTGACACAGGCTCCAACACACATGAACCTTGAGGACGTCATGCTCAGTGAAAGACACAGACATAAGGCCACAGAGTGTGTGACTCCATTTTCCTGAAATGTCCAGAACAGAAAAATCTGTGGTTGCCTGTGGTTGGGGATGGGCAGTGACTGTGAATGGGTGTGGGTTTCTTTTTGGTGCAATGAAAACGTTCTAGAATTAGATTGAGTTGTAATTCCTTATATATTCTGGAAGAATATATAATATATAACTGCATATATATATTTGCATATATATAACTGACTATATATATATCTGAATGTATATTTGCTCAAGACTAAACTGTAGGCTCTTCTCTACTGCACGCTGTTGAGAAGAGCCCACAGTTTAGTTTGGAGCAAATGCGGGCTTATAAGGCACAAATCTAGACCCAGGGCTTGTGAAAGGCCAGTCCGGGAAGTGTCTGAGGGAGACTCTGGAAGCCAGGTCACATCAGGGGACAGAGAGGAGTCCAGGGTAGCCTTGGGTGCCCAGAGGAAGTGGTGGAGAGAGGTTTGGTGAGGGAGGCTGGGGTCAGGCACAGAGGGCTTTGGAGCTGTGGCTCAGAGGCACCGGCCTATGTGGGCTTTGGGCTGGCTCAAGACTTCATGGGGTGTTGCTCAGCCCATCTGCTCTGTGAGCTCAGGTTTCTTCCCCCGGCTGGTCTTCGGTGATGCATGCCCAGCTGCTTCCAACCTCACTGGGCTCAGGGTGCCTGAGAGTGGACCTGAGCCAGACGCACAGGCCATAAGAGGGGTGGGTCTTGCTGGCCCCCAACCCACAAGGGGCTCCCAGTCCCCCAGCTGAGGTCACAGAAGTTGGCTGACCCCTGAGGGTGCTGGGCAAACCTGAAGTGGGTGTCCGGTCTGCAGCCCCCTCCTTGGCCTTCTTTTCTCTCCATATCCCCAGGGTTTCCTTGTCCCTCTCAATGTATCCTTCCCACATTCTGTCCCCCTAATGATTCACTGACCTCCATGTAGCCACCCTGAACATACAGGTGTGCATTTGTGAGCAGGGCCTGCCAGGGTATGAGCTTTGACTTTGCTTCCTGCCTCAGTTTCCTCCTTTGGGAGATGGGAAGAGGGATGGCAGTGCCTGTCTCAGGCACCATGAGATGAAGTGTCACGGCACTCGGGATAGCCCAGTAAGTCACGGGTACCCTGTAGGATTTCTGTTCTCCTTGTTGGCATTCTGAGTTCTCTGCAGCCTGCCCCTCCCACCATCATCCCAGAGGGTCACTCTGGGGCTCAGCAAATAAAGGGTCGGGGGCCGAGGGAGGCAGTGGGACAGTGTGGTCATTAGACAAGGGAGAAGAGGCTGCGATCCCAAGTAGTGTGAGCATGTGAGAACGAGTGTGTGCACATGTGAGACAGTGAACAAGAGGGTGCGGTGGCTCATGCCTGTAATCCCAGCACTTTGGGAGGCCGAGGCGGGTGGATCACCTGAGGTCAGGAGTTTGTGGCCAGCCTGGCCAACATGGTGAAACCCCATCTCTACTAAAAATACAAAAATTAGCCGGGAGTGGTGTCAGGTGCCTATAATCCCAGCTACTCAAGAGGCTGAGGCAAGGAGAATCACTGGAACCTGGGAGGCAGAGGTTGCAGCGAGCCGAGATCGAGCCACTGCACTCCAGCCTGGGCGACAGAGCAAGACTGTCTCAAAAGAAAAAAAAAAGAGGCAAGGGTGTATGTGAGTGTGCATTTGTGTGTGTCTAAGCATGACTGCATTTATGTGAGTGTGTGTTTGGCAAGGCCTTGGCCTGGTCTCCCCCGTGGCGAGGCCGGTGGCAGAGGCCTGGTGACACACACCTAGCAGCTTGTTGGGGCAGAGGGGACTTGGCAGCACCCAGGATTGGACTGGACGCTGGGCCCCTTCGGCTGATCTGACTTCCTCGGGTTCCCAGGTGGCTGGTTGGGGAGGCGACATGGGAGGCTGAGCTCCGGTTTTGTCCACAGGGGCAGAGGCCACCACTGTCTCGTCCATGTGCACCTTTGGCCTGTGAGGACCTCATGGCACAGGTGGATGTTTTCCAGGGGTTCTCCAGGCAGGTGGAGGCTTCTGACCAATGCCGAGCTGCTGGGCGCTGCTTCATGGCCTGGGACCTCTTTAAGGCCAAGTCAGTCAGATTTTCCATTGTGGCTGTGGGGAGCTTCAGACCAGAAGCAAGGAGTGGAATCATGCACGGACCTGATTCTACCCGGGAGCTGAGAGAAGAAACCTTCAGGTCCTGTCCTCCTGGGAGGGGTTCTTCTGGGAGGTGTCCTCCCCTCACCCTCTCTCCCCTCCTCACCCCCACCCCAGTCTGCCCCTCCGGCTCTGCCTGCAGCTTCCTCTGGCAATTATTAATAGTTACGGCAGCCCCAGGGAAGCAGTGCAGGGTCCTCTCTGGGAAATGAGGTTGGAGCACCAGCAGCCCCCACGGCAGGTACTAGGTGGAAACACACAATTGTAGCAGAGTCCTAGGTGGCTCCCTCCTCTGGGTTTGTCCTTTGTGTCTGCATTTTGTCATGAAATCCCAGCAACAGCAGCCACCGCCATTTGGAGCTCTTACCATACGCCTCTCACCACAAGGGGCCTTGCAGGGTGAGCTCCTTACTACCCTGACACCCAACTCACCCAGCCCTGCTTGGTGTCTCTCTCTCTCTCTCTGTCTCTCTTTCTCTCTCTCTCTCTCTCTCTCTCTCTCTCTCTCTCTCTCCCCCCCTCTTCCTCCCTCCCTCCCTCCCTCTCTCTCCCTCCCTCACTCCCTCTCTCTCCCTCTCTCTCCCTCCCTCTCTCCCTCTCTCTCTCTCTCTCTCTCTCTCTCTCTCTCTCTCTCTCTCTCTCTCTCTCTCTCTCTCTCTCTCCCCCTCCCTCCTCCTCTCTCTTCTGCCAGTGGTCCCCAGCAGCTGTGGTTGGAGGCCGAATGGGGTTCCCCTCCCTCCCAGGCCAGGCTCAGCAGGGACAGAGGAGAGGGCCGTGGATGGTCAGGTCTCCCAACACGTCCCTTTCACCCCAGGGCCTTTGAAGAGCATCTTTGCTCTTGGAAGCTTCCCTGAGAAGTTTGGGGCTGGAGCCCAGAGTAAGTGGCTCCTCAGGGGACCTGAGGAGGATTTCCAAGGTCAAGGCGGGGCCCGGGCTCCTGACCTGTTGGTCTGCCTTTCTCTACGGCCATCTGTTTTGATTCAGTGAGACCCTTGATTTCACCTGCCTCACTAAGCACCTGCCTGGGCCAGGGCTGAACCAGCACCACGTCAGCCCTGGCTGGCCGAGGCCTGTGGGCCACGAGTGTGTGTTCCCACCCAAGACCCACCCTGGGGTCTGCCGGGGCTCCACCCTCATTTCCCAGGCAAGGACGCAGCACTGCTTTCTGGGGGTTGCTGTAACTGATGACCGCACACTAGGGGGCTTAAAACAACAGAAATGGACTCTCTGCCATTCTGGAGGTTGGAAGTCCAAGATCAAGGTATTGGCAGGGCTAACTCCTTCCAGAGGCTTGGAGGGAAAATCTGTCCCTGGCCTCTCTCCCAGATCTGGGGGCTGTCCGCTGTCCCTGGGATTCCTCAGCTCAAGGCAGCGTCTCTCCAATCTCTGCTCTGTCTTCACGTGGCCACCTCCCTGGGTGTGCCTCTGTGTCTCCTGTCTCTCTGGCCTTGGATTTGGGGCCCACCCTAATCCAGGATGGCCTCATCTCTATCTGCACCTTACTTCCATCTGCAAAGACCCTGTTTCCAACAAGGTTGCCTTCTCAGGTTCCAGGAGGACATGAATCTTAGGGGCCACTATTGAGCCCCTGCAGGCCGAGGCTCCGGGAGGAAGGAGGCACGCCCAGGACCCTGGCCTAGAGCCTGGCCCACCCTCGTCACACCTGCTCCTTCTCACGCTTGGACCCATCTCTGGGCCAAGTTTATTTCCCTCTCCTGATGACCCTGCCCCAGGCGATTTCTCTTTCCACAAATCCTTCCGCTGTGTCTCTGGTTGCCTCCGCTGACGCCCTTTCCTGGGGTCCTGATCCACTCGGCATCCTCTCCCTGCACCCCCAGGTGTGTGACCTGCCTGCAAAGCTGCCCCTGGGCCCAAGCCAGCTCTGGCGGGACATTTCCAGCCTGTGCGGCAACTATGCATGTCTCTGATCTGGTTCCGACTCACCGTGCGAGGGCTGGGCCTGAAAAGAGCTCCAAGTCCCCTCGTATGGGGTGTGGGGAAGACCAGGAGGCCTCTGAGGGACAAACCCTGGGTGAAGGGAGGCCGTGGTCAGGAGCAGGGGTGTGGATGCTGATGAGGGGGTGCAGGGGGGCCCTTCCTCTGGTGGGGAGGGGCTAATGGCCATGGGGAAGGGGGGTATGGCAGGAGGTTGTGCTGGGGAACTAGAGCCATAGGGCAAAGGTCAACCTTGCGGGTGAGGCTTTCTCACAGTTGGGGTGCGAGGGGCATGGTCCGGGGTCCAGAGGTGATTTAGTTGTGGATTCCATGGCTAAAAATGAAGTCCAGTGGGGACGGCCAATGAGGAAAATCTGAAGAGGGCACTGCTGTGGGAGAGGTCGGCAGAGGCTGTCACGGAGCTCCCTGCCCTGTGGTCACCGGCTTCGGCTCCCCTGGTCTGGGCTTCGGCCGGCCCAGGTATAGCCAATGGAGCCCCAGCTGGCAGGGAGCTGGCTAGGAGATCAGGCAAGTCACTCGGGCCCCTGGTGCATCAGATGGGGAGGATGGTACCTGCCTCTGTAGTCACAGGGGACAATAAATGTGACCCTAAAGGAAGCCACCATTTTCAAAAATGCCCTGGGACATGGGAAATGCCGTGGAAAAGCACGGCCCGTCCGCAGGACAGCGCTGTCTCTGCAGCTCAGACGGACGCTATTAACCCTGATAACAGGTAAACAGTGTGCCTGCTTCAGCTGCAAATTAGACACGGCTTTATCTCTGTTCGGTAAGGCTGGTGAAAGTGACAGAGGCCTCCTGAGGAGGCCTGGTTATCGCTGGTGGCCCATGTCCTCGTTGCCGCTCAGCCCAGATCCCCCCAAGTGCCCTCTGGCCCGGGTGTGAGGCTCGGGCAGCCTCATGAGTCTGACAGGGACGCTCCCCTCCCCTGCCGCTTGATGCCATTCCTGCGTCCTCCTTCTCTGACGCCTCTCCTATTTTCCCGTCTGCACATGTGTGCCTTCTCCTACTCCTGGAATGTTCTGGATTATTCATAACAGACTCAGGGTCACCAGAGAGTAGAGTTGGGTCAGCAGGAGAGCTCAGTGTTGGCTTGTGCCTCTCCCCAGGAAGGTCTGGTATGTGTGTGTGTGCATGTATGTGTGTGTGCATGCATGTACTTGCACTTACGCACACATGTGCATATGCACGGTGTGTGGTGTATGCCACTGAGTGTGTGTGCATGTGCAGAGGCACGTGTGCACATGCGATCATGCTTGCACATGCATGGACATACATGTGTGCAGTGTGCGTGTGAGCTGAGTGTGTGCATGACATACACATCTTGTGAGCCTGTATGCACAGATGTGTTCACGCAAATGTATGTGAATGTGTGTGTATGTCAAGAGGGAAAACAGCCTAGACCTCCTGGAAACTTCTCAAAATCCTGAGTCCACCGCCTGCCAGACACCAGTCATGGTCACTGCTGTTTGGATGGAGCCTTTAGGGGAGGTTACGGGACATCTGGGCAAAGGCGAGGAGAGATGAAATCACAGTGAGATTTGCAGTACGTTACCTGTTTTTATTAAAAATCAATGACACAACAGAGCGATTTCGCTCTATCTTACTTAAACTATATCCACTGCATGGGCATCAGGAGGGCTGGGGAGGGGCTGGGGAGCGGGGTGCTGCTCTGCAAGCAGCCTCTCTTCCCCTCCATAAAGCCCCCAGCTCATCTCGGCCCCATCAGAGCTGGGATTTACGGCCAGACCTGCCGACAGCTTGCTGCGCGCCTCTCTCGGTTTTATTCCTGCTATTTATCACGCCGGGCCCTGCTCAGCGCCAGAGGGACAGTTAATCAGGGCAGACTTTCTACCTCGTCATCCTGGGATTCTGCCGGGAGAAAATGTGAACTGTAAAATTAAAATCTTGGGAGCTGGGGAATTTGTAAAGAAGCTGATGGTTTCGGGAGGAGGGAGAAAAGGGAGATTTCCCCAGCTTCCTGCCCCATGTATGGACAGACCAAAATATTGAGCTTCGGGGATTTCACACCCAGAACTCATTTTCTCTTACTGCCGTGCCATGGACCAGTTCTGAGGCAGTGACTTCCAGATTTCATCCCTCCCCTCAGCTCCTGCTCGGGGGCACTCCTCCCTTCTAGAGGAAACGCAGGTGATGGTCATGGCCGAGAAGCCAAGCAAAGCAGGTGAGTGCCCTCGGGAACTGATGAGGCCTGACCTAGTCCGATTGTAGGCACGGCCCCTGCTGGCCCCTGGGGAGACCCCCAGCCAGCCCCTGACTTCACCTATGTGGTACTGGGCCAGGCTTTCCTAGAGGGGAGAGGAGACGGGGAGTGACCCCAGAGAAAGGAGCCCACTGCTGTGCAGCCTGGCTGCCCCGCTATCGTGAGGGCGAATGTTCAAGATCCAGGAGAGCCAGATCAGCGTTTAGAGATCCAGGAGAGCAGAGCCATGGACCTGGGAGTTGGGAGCCATATGCTGGAGGCTGAAGCTCATCATTTGATCTTGGAGAGGAGGGAAAAGAGTAGCTTACAGATCCTCCTTGATCCTTCCATGAAAAACAGGGTGGGTTTTACTTCATGTTTACTATCATGGAGGAGCTGGTTGGACTGGGCAAGAGGGAGTAGGATACATAGAACCCAGCGCTAGCGGTGCCCCTACTGGGCCTGCAGGGTTAGGACCTGAGCTCAGGGGCCAGAGCAGGGAGAGCTGCCAGGGACCCTGGCCAGCAGCACAGAAGGAGGTTTTCTTTTCAACAACATGAAGGTCACTGCAGCTGCATTTAGAGCCCTGGTGGTGACGTGTGTGTGTGTGTGTGTGCGCCTGTGCACCTGTGTGTGTGCATGTATACATGTGTGCTTGTGTATACCTGTGTGTGCATGCCTGTGTGTGCATAGTGTGCTTGTGCCCCTCTGTGTACATGTGTACCTGTGTCTGCATGTGTGTGCATGGTGTGCTTGTGCCCCTCTGTGCATGCATGTATCTGTGTGTGAATGCGTGTGCATGTACATGAGTATATGTGTGTGGCATGTGCCTCTCCAGGTCTGCTCATGAAGAAGGGAAGGGCATGTATGTCAGGCACTAGAACAAATGGTTTTCCAGATTCCCAAAGGGCAGAGCAGTCAGGCAGGAGCCAGATGCCTTCTGGAAATACCCTTTGGGAGATGACACAGGTTTCAGGACCAAGGCCTCATGCCGGCCTAGGGTGGGAAGTCTGGGGAGCCTGGCATTTGGGAATGGGGTTTCCTGACTCTGGGGTGCCCAGGAGACTCCTGAAGACCAGCCCTCCATCCCCACATGGATCTGTCTGCCTCCCATCCCCACATGGATCTATCTGCCTGTTGCTCCTCCACCTGCTCCTGGTGGCCTGGGGGCCCAGCTCCTACCGGGTGTCCCGGGCTCTGCCAGCTCTCCAGCAGCCCTCCAGGACCTCAGAGCCTGGAGTGGGGCTGGTGTCACAGAGTGGCAGTGACGGTGACAGGCAGCTCAGCTCAGAGGTGCTATGGGCTTTCCCGCACCTCCCTGGGCTCGTCATTTATTGAGTCATCTCTTCAAGGTTCTGGAGGAGCTCCAGGAGGAGCGGGTGGGCAGGGGGACCCGGCCTCCCCGGCTGGAGCTTGGAACGGACAATATTTGCATGGGCAGCTGTCAGTCAGGGCCAGCCGGCAGCAGTGGAGGCACCAGCCAACCTCTGGGGCTTGGGGATGGGGCGGCCCCAGACCCCAGGGGGGCTCCTGGGGGGTGAGACCCTCAGGCCTGGCGATGAGGTCAGCATGGGGAATCCAGAGGAGAGAAAGCGGAGGCTCAAAGGCAGACCCCAGAGACCCTCCTGAGCACTCAAAGGTCCCTGTTGGAGAAGGGAATCGGGGCGGCCTGTAGGCTGATTGAAATTATTCAGCCTCAGTTGAGACTCCACTCTCTGGGCCCCCATCTCTAACAGAGTGCTTCCCAGGACAGAAGATGGCGGCTCTGGCCACAGCACCCCTCCTCCTGCCCCAGCTCCCCGGAGAGGTCAAAGCATCACCAGGGGCCAAGTGGAGGGGGTGGGTGGCAGTTTTTTGTCAAAAATGAACCCTGGGCTCCCTGGCTCTGAGGCTGGTGAGGTCCCAGTGCCTTGGGCCTTGGATCCTGCATAGAGACAGGGCTGCGTTGGAATCGGCTCTGGCAGCCTGTGGATAGCCACCTGTGGGAAACACTCAGGTCCTGAGCTTTCTTCTTTCTTCCCCCTTTAAAACATAAGCAGGCGCCTTTGTTCCAGGGCTTAGGCAGGAGCTCCCTGGCCTCCTAATCATCTGGTCCCTCCAGGCCCAGGCACGTACTGCTGCCTGCCTCCCATCCCCACATCTATCTATCTGCCTATTGCTCTTCCACCTGCTCCTGGTGGCCTGCAGGCTCAGCTCCTCCCGGGTGTCCTGGGCTCTGCCAGCTCTCCAGCTGCCCTCTAGCCCTGTCCCGCCCATGGGGCTGGACTTTCAGGCTACCCTCTGTCACCAGGCCTTGGTACCTCTATGTGGCCTCTGCTTCAACCGTACTCATGCTTAGGTGCACCCGGGGCCATGCCCCTCTGTCCAGCTGCACCCAAGTATGTGCACACACAAGCATGTGTGTTTCGGAATGACCTTCCCCTGCCCTGGTCTGTTACCCAGCACTGCCTTAGAGCAGCTGCCAATGGAGCTGCCTGCCCCACCCAAGCCAGGCATCCTGTGGGCAGCCCCATGTCCTGTACGTTTGCACAGTGCCCACTCACAGCAGATGCCCAGCGGCTGCCTACCCGGGGGTGTTTGCTGACATTCTTCTAGAACCCCGCTCTGTGGTGTAGACCCACCAGCATGAAGAATCCACACATGGGCCTGGGGAAGTGAGGCTCCCTCTGCTCTTTCACAGGTTGCAGGTCTCATGGGGGCGGTGAAAACAGCTGCAGGGAGCGTCTGAGATCCCAGTGCCGTTTCTGTGGATTTGGAATGCAGTCTGTGATTCTGTTGTCACTATAGGTTTACCTTCCCAATTATGTTTGACTTAGAACAATGTTAAGATTGCTTTGCATTCCCCGAGCACACAGAGCTGGAGTGTGGGAGGAGGTGGCCGGGGATGTGCAAGGTGGCTGGGAGACATCGGGGACTGGAAGGCTGTTGTGGATAAGCCACACACCACTGATAAAGAACCACCTGCATGGAGACACCCTGTGAACTAACAAATGCAAACCAATGGGAATGCCAGCACCTGGCCAGCAAAGGGGAATGGGGCACAGGGCTGGAGGGCCCAGGGGCCCGGGCCTGAGCCCGGGGACCAACGTTTGTCAGTGCCTACCAGGAGCCAGGCTCTGTTGCAGGGATTTCCTCCTGTTGACACATTTACTCCTAAACGCCCTGGAGGAGGTGGTGACTGTGCTCATTCTCCTTCTACAGAAAGGTAAAGCTGGGTACAGAGATGGGTTTGGAGCGTAGGCTCAGGAACCAGGATCAAGGGGTGCCACACAGCGGCAGATCCTGCATGGGGACAAGCCTGTGTTGGAATCAGCTCTGGCAGCCTGTGGACAGCCACATGTGGGGGACACTCAGGGCATGAGCTTTCTTCCTTCTCCCCCCTTTAAAGCATAAGCAGGTACCTTTATTCCATGGCAGACCTGGATCCTGGCTCCAGAGCCTACACTCCAACCTCCATGTGGTGCCATTCCATGGGACAGAGACTCCAAACTGAGAACCAGCTTCCTCTGGTGACCAGCAGGCAGGCCAGAGGCAGAGGGCACAACTCACTGTCCACCCTGCGGAGGTGGGGGGCAGACACGCTGGCACCAGGACGCACCCAGCAGAGCCAGATATTGGGGTCCCAGATTGAAGGAAAAGGGGAAGGCTTTGGGGGCCACAAAAATCATGTCTTTTTGTTTTGCAGAGGAGAAACTTGTATTTTTCGTGATGTTACCTTCCTTGGTGTTTTCTTTGCACGGATTCACACACGTTTTTTACTTAGAACTTGCATTTTCACCTGCTTGGACAGGAGCCTGCTTGGAGCACAGTCATTCTTTGAGCACTGTCACCCCATTCTTCAGGGTCCCAGCCATGCTTGGCCATCACCTGATTCCCCGTAGCCCCGGAGTCCATCTCCAGAGAAAAAGTTCTCTCCCCATTAATGAACCTGAGTAAAACACAGCTTTCTCTGAAGTTCAGAGTCAGGATTTTGAAGTACTATGAATTGAATCCTCTCTTCCCTAAGTACAATGCACAATTGTCTGGGCCTGCTTGCTCCCTTGGCTAAATCCCCTATACAAAATCACACAGCTAGATGCAACTCACCTAGAATGTGTTGGGGTTCAAGAGAGGCATGTTGCCTGAAAGAGAGACAGTAGGCTTTTATTTCCCACTGTGATGTGAACACTGGGATTTTTATGCTGTCATAGGATAAAGAGAATCCCAACTCGCTTCATGGACTTCAGCCTACCCAGGTGTTTCCAACACTTCCAGACTCCTCCTCCTTGGAAGTTGGGGGCATGGGTTCTCTGGGTCTTCATCATGTGTAAGTCAGTTCTTGCTGCGTAACAAACGGCCCCATAAGTCCATGGCTTCAAACATTTACAGTCGATGCTCATTATTTGAGGATTCTGTATTTGCAAATTCATCTACTTGCTAAAATTTATTTGTGACCCCAAAATCAAGATTAAAGGTGCTTTCATAATTCTTCCTGCACCTGTGCAGAGCAGCAAAAAAATTGCAGTAGCCAGATGCATGTGGTCCCAGCTGAGGTCAAACAAGGCCTTCCAGCCTCAGCTCTCACACTACAAAGCGTCCTTTCTGAGACCTGCTTAGTGCGATGTTCTTCACGTTTTTGTGCTTTCCGTTGGGGGGTTCACTGTTTAAAAGGGCGCTGGAGCCCCGTGCAACACAGCTGTCCAGTGTTCCTGAGCGCCAGGAGGCTGTGACGTGTCTTATGGAGAAAATTAGAGGTGCTTCCTCTAGTGCTGTTAGCCGTGAGTTCAATGTTAACAAATCAACAGTATATATGAAATACAGTGTCTTTAAATAGAAACACCCTTAAAACAAGGTTAGGTACTGATTGACCGATGAAACTTTTGCGACCAGAAGCTTGCAGGAACTTAGCCATGTATTTCCCCGGGAGCCCTTGGTTTAGTATTGGCTAATCCAGTGTGGACGGTGACTTGATAGAACATAACCATGGCAAATGTCAAGAAGCAACCGCACCTTGCTCGTGGGGTCTGCAGGTCAGTGTGGGCTGGGCTGGGCTGGGCTGGGCTGGGTGCTGCAGCTGCTTCAAGCTGTGAGCCAGCTGGGCGTGGCTCAGTCCTGCTCACGTGGAATCGGCTGGGTCCAGGGGCAGCAGCTCCCAAGGGAGGTTCTTCTCCCAGCCACGACAGAGGTCCAAGAGGCCAAGCCCAGCTGCATAAGTACATTCGGAGCCTGTGTGTACATTGTCTGCTCACATTCTGTTGGTAAAAGCCAGCCAGCCAGCCAAGCACAATGTCACAGGGTGGAGTAATACACTTGCTTCCATGGGAGGAGTACAAAGTCACATGACAGAAGTGGGAACAGTGCCCCCTCTCCCACACTTAGATTTTGTATCTGCTTAAAAGACAGAGGTATGGGCAGGATGTCCAGGTCAACTGGCCTAAAACCTGGGTAGCTAGAGTAGGGGTAGGACTGTGGTGAGGGAGCCCTGGCCCAGAGACCAGGGCGGGACCTCTCCCAAGGTGGCCCTGGGAACAGAGGATGCGAGTGGGGTGACTCACACCATTTTCCTGATGGCACCTGGACCCTCCTGGCCCTGAGCGTCTGAGTGACCGTGTCTCCCTGCAGAGACGTCTGTGTCCCATTGGTGTTGGTGGTGACACAGGCAAGCTTGCCAACCACACCAACACCAGCAGGATGAAGATGTAACCTGGAGTCTGTGCTGGGAGAGGGAGAGAAAATGAGACTAGTTAATTAATGCTGGGGTAGGGGGAGCAAGAGAAGAGGGAGGAGAGCGACCGGATTCTAAACGTTTTACTTAAGGACGTCTTTCACGCTGTCACCAAGTTAAGTGTAAAGCACCGATCTTCAGGGACCCAGCCTCGCGAGCTGTGGCACTTGTCCTACAGACCCACTTGTTTTACTAAGAATACTAAGAAGAGGAGCTTGCAGAATTTCTAGGATCATTCCAATTACGTTGTCTCCTTTTCTGAAAGCTTGTACCACGTTAGCTTTTTTTTTTTTCCCCTTTGTCTGCCTTAGGGCATCTCCCTGGTTTCTCATCAGTAAATGAACCCGTTCCCTTCACATCTGGGACACAGGGCCTTTGATACCAGTGTGCATGAGAAGGACGGAAGAATAATTAACAAATTAATTAATTGTCCTTTGTTTACACTTCAAACAAATGAGGCAGATTTTTTTTTAACGAAACAGGTTGCACACAAATAAAAGGCTGCTCGCGACCCTTGGGAAGTGAACACGTGTTTCCAGTGGCATTTGCAGATGTCCCACCAACCCAGGTGACTGATGTGGGTATGGTTAGCTCCTCCATGAGCCAAGCTGGCTTTTGCCGCCTGGCCCAAGAGGTGAAGCTCCATGGAGATGCTTGTTTCTATGAAACAATCTTTTAAAAGACTCTCCCAGCAACCCCACTTCTGGGTATACACCCAACAGGGTTGGAAGCAGGGTATGGACGAGACATGTGCACACTCGGTTCATAGTAGCGTTATTCACAAGAGCCAAGAGGTGGAAAACCCAAGCGTCCAGCCACAGATGAATGGAGAAACAAAATGTGGTCTGTCCATGCCAGAGAATATTACTCAGCCTTGAAAAGGAAGGAAATCCTGACACAGAATACACAGTGTGAATGAAGCCAGAAAACGTGATGCCTCCGTAAGAGAAGCCAGACCTAAAAGCACAAGCACTGTATGACTTAGATGAGGTCCCTAGAATGGTTACATTCATAGAGACAGAAATTACGTCGGTGTTTACCAGGGCCTGAGAGAGAATGATTGGGGAGTTAGTGTTTAATGAGGACAGAATTTCAGTTTGGGAAGATAAAAGCATTCTGGAGATGGAAGGTGGCGATGGCTGGACAGCAAAGCAAATGTTCCGAATGCCACTGACTGTACACTCAAGATAGTAATGGTTCAGAGATATGTTTGTTCAGTTGATGAAAATGTGGGCCGGGCGCTGTGGCTCACGCCTATAATCCCAGCACTTTGGGAGGCCGAGGCAGGAGGATCACCTGAGGTCAGGAGTTCGAGACCAGCCTGGCCAACATGGTGAAACCCTGTCTCTACTAAAGATACAAAAATTAGCTAGGCATGGTGGCATATGCCTGTAATCCCAGCTACTCAGGAGGCTGAGGCAGGAGAATCACTTGAACCCAGGAGGCAGAGGTTGCAGTGAGCCGAGATGGTGCCACTGCTCTCCAGCTTGATGACAGAGTGAGAATCCATCTCAAAAAAAAAAAAAAAATTAGCCAGGCATGGTGGGGGGTGGGGGGCACCTGTAATTCCAGCTACTCAGGAGGCTGAGGCAGGAGAATCGTTTGAACCCGGGAGATGGAGGTTGCCGTGAGCCAAGATTGCATCGTTGCACTCAAGCCTTGGGGACAAGAGTGAAACTCCGTCTCAAAAAAAGAAAATGTGGTCAGAGGCTCTTGGGAACCTAACCATGTGTTTCCCCTAGGAACAATGGTTCAGTATTTGTAAAGTCAGTGTCTGAGAGGTCTTTGTGGAACATAACCACTGCAGTGAGAACAGACCGCGTGTTTAAGGTTTCCATTTCACACCTTCGTGTTCCTCAGCTGGGCCCTGGATTCCCCGATCCTTTTCATGTGCAATACCCATGATCACCGATCGGGCTTGACCTCATGTTTTTAGACTTAACTGTAAGGAATGATTCTCTGGTTTGATCCGGGAAACTTGAAGTTGTTCTTCTGGCCACAGAGATCAATGAATTTCCAATCTTCGGCACCTATCAGACATGCTTTCTGGTGAAATTGATGTCCACAGGCAGCAAACTGAACATGGGGCTCTGAGCGTGTCTGTTTTCACTTTATGCCCAGTGATCTTATGACAGTCTTTTGGCAGATAAGAAACAATATTTGCTGAGCACAGGGCGGGTGTGGTGGCTCACGCCTGTAATCCCAGCACTTTGGGAGGCCGAGGCGGGTGGATCATCTGAGGTCAGGAGTTTGAGACCAACCTGGCCAACGTGGCAAAACCCCATCTCTACTAAAAATACAAAAATTAGCTGGGTGTGGTGCTGCATACCTGTAATCCCAGCTACTCAGGAGGCTGAGGCAGGAGAATCGCTTGAACCCGGAGGCGGTGGTTGCAGTGAGCTGAGATGGCGCCACTGTACTCCACCTGGGTGACACAGTGAGACTCTGTCTCAAACAATAATAATAATATTAGTCGAGCACAGTATAAAGCACATACTATTTATACTTTAGAAACAAAAGTACTTGCAAAAGCGTATTTGATACTGAAATCACCTTTCTGATTAAGAGACTCCTAAAAGGACAGTTAAATGAACTATAGTTTGGGAAGCCTCCTTAACTGTAGGCAGGGGTTTTCCATTTACGGATGTGTTGAAGGATTTTCAGGCATGTTATGTTTGAGTCTATTTTCTACTTTTTTTCTTATCTGCTTTATTTATTTATTTATTTATTTATTTATTTATTTATTTGGAAGATGTTTTAGACAGGTTCACTCTCCTAAGAATTTTTCTTGCTATTGTAAAAACAATGGCTCTCGAAGTGACTGGGCTATTGTTCAAATCAAACACCTTTTCTCTGAAGTCGTCTTCAAAGCGACGGCTGGCTGGCCCCTGTGGTCTGAGTGCAACGCTGGGGGAAATCACTCAATCCTAGAGCTGGGTTGGTGCGCTGATGTCTCCAGGGAGCTAGGTGAAGCACCAGGCTCCCCCACCTCGCCTCGGCAGCCCCCTGCCTGGACTCTGATGTGCTGGGGGCTTGCATCCTTTGTCCTCTCACCCACTTTCCTTTCTGGATTCGCAGAGGTCAAGGACTCCCAGGCCAAAGTCAGGTCCTCAAGCACAGGCCCCAAGTTGAGCAGAACCACGAATTTATAGAACAAAGGCTGCAAGCCCTCCCCTTCCTCCCAAAAGAAGAACAAATGTAGGGATGTTGGGCTCTGGAGCCCAACGCAGCTGGCATCAGATCCTGGATCTCACTCAGGAAGCATGTGGCCCCGACGAGTCATTGATTCCCATGGCCTCGGTTTTGTCTTCTGTAAAATGGAGCTCCTAGTTTCTGGGTGGCAGGACTGTGGGAATTAGAGTCAGCCTCTCAACTGGCCCAGGTGTGACCTCAGGCTCCCCTGGGCTCCCCAGGTGCCCCCTTGAGGACCCAACCTCGGCAGCTGCAGGCAGCTGGCACCACACTGGGCTTCTTAGTGAGGGACTGAGTGAGAGGCAACTGTATATACAAACCCTGGCCCAGTCCACGGCATGGCCTCCCTCCTCCTGCCCAGCCTGCTGGACTCACTCTCTGCCTGCATCTCTTCTCCTCCCATCACCTGCTGCCACCCCACATTGCCAGTCCCCATTTGGGGACTTCAAGCGTTTCTTCTTCCGGTTTCCTCTGTTCCTCTCCCATATGGGCAAGGATGGGACTCATGACCATCCCAGGGCCCCTCAGGGTGGACGAGGCTCTGTGCGGGTGTGTGGTCGCTGGCCACTGCCTCTCCTCACAGAGGGTCAAGGATGCCTTTCCAAGGTCTCGCCCAGCTCTGTGCTGGTGTCCCTGAAGAGGCTGCAAGGAGCATGCTCCACGGCCGTGTGTGAGCGTGTGTGCCTCTGCACACGTGTGCACAGCACGTGGACCTGGGGCTGCTTTGGCAGAGGTGTTGTTGGCATCAACAGCAGCAGGAAAAGGTTCTGGGTAGGGGAGAATCTCAAGGGGGAAGAGTCTCTCTGGGGGAGTCACTGGCAGGGGAAGAGTCGGTGAGGGAAGCACTGGAAGGGGGACCCGGAGTAAAGAGGGAGTCAGCCACTCCGGGAACTCTGTCCATGGAGCAAGGGCAAGCTCCAATATACTGTGCAAATACTATATGACTTTACTTATACAAGGTCCCTAGAACAGTTAAATTCATACAGACAGAAATTAGACCGATGGTTACCCATCAGTAATTCACTGCTAGTTCTGAGAACATAAGCCGGGGGGCAGGGAGTGTCACCTACCCTCAGTCCTGAGCTGGGGAGGTCACAGGCCACGTCCTGCTGGGGACGTGAGCGTCACAGGCACTGCCACCATGGCTTCTATCAGCAGGGGTGTGGACGTGGGCGTCTGTGAAATCAGAGCAGTCCGTATCTCTGCCTCCCGAGGCTGTCGGAGGCTTTTTGTGGGTGCAGCTCAGGGAACCAGAGGAAAGCAGGAAGGCCCGTGGGTCACCTGTGGGTTGGCATGGCTGTGGTGATGTTCAGGGGACAGCAGCCCCGTGTTAGGGACAAGTAAAAAGTTGAGACCAGCCTAAGAGGGCTCTAGGCCCCATCAGTGGAGCTGGCTCTGCCCTGATACCGTGTCCCTGGACTTGTTCCTGGATGCGAAGGCTGGGCGGGGGCAGACGCAGGTGGAGAGTGGCTCCCAGACCAGGGTGGGTCTGCAGGAGACCGTCCTGCCCCGCGAGCTCCCCCATGGCACCTGCCCTCCCTCACCTCCCCTCACTGCAGGGGCTCCGGGGAAACTGTGCCTTCAGGCTGTGACTGTGGAGATGGGAGGGTTTGTGCTGGTGCCACACCCAGGAGCCACCTACAGTGCACCAGGCACCTTCAAGGGACAGAGAGAGAGGGAACGAGGACAGCGAGGATATTGCTGCAGGCGGAGTCTGTCTCGGCACAGTGGCTGCCTTGTGGGCCCATTTCTTAAGGCTGAGTGTAGGGGTTGACCTGGACATTCAGTTATACAGGAGGAGGGAGTGTGGGGATGCCGTGGTTTTGTGGTGGCCACGTCAGGTGAAGTGCCAGCCGTAACCAGCAGGCCCAGCTCCATCTGCTGGGAGCACGGGGCCCAGTCAACAGCTGCTTTGGAAAAGAAGTGGCTGGGAGACAAAGCATCCTCAGGGACGTGTGTACACGTGTTCATGTGTGCATATGTGCATGTGTACATGTATGTTCATGTGTGCACGCCTGTGCATGTTGCAAATATGTGTGTGCGCATCTGTGCGTGTGCAGGTGGGGTTTGTCAGATGGTGTGAATGGATGTGCTATGAGGAGCCTCTGCCTTCTCTGCTCATTGTGCTTCCTATCTCAGGATGTTTCCCCAACAGGATCCTTCTTCGGGGGCCTTAGCTGTGTCCTAACAAGGGTCTCCACGGTTAAGAGTGAGAAATGCTGTTAAGGAAGTGCAGTGGGCTCTGCCCATACTTTCTTGGTGCCTTCAATGGGACAGTGTTCATCAGGAGCATCCACAAGGCAAAATCACTGGCTGAGCTCCCAAGCGTATTCGGCCTCACAGCTCCCCTGGTTTGTGGGAAATCTTGTAGGATCAGTGTTGCAAGGAGCAGGCACAGCCCGGGAAGGCCCCCTGCAGTCGCCCCTCAGAGACAGGGGTGCTTCCCGCCAGCCCAACTGTGTAGGGACCTTTCTACCAACAGGGTCAAAGGACATCTCCCAGGACCTTAGAGCCTCAGCCCCTCCATTCCCTAGAGCAGGGTCCCTGAGGTGGTGCTGGGTGATGTGGAATGGAGCCTCCCTGGCCGCACTGCTTCCCCGGACAGATTGGGATCCAGATTCTGAGTGGGCCTGTCTGGGCAGGGGCCCCCCGTCCGCATCTCTTACCAGCTAAAGGGGAGGCACAGCTACTGCTCCGAGCACCATACCTGGAGAACTGAGGATGTAGAGAGCTTCGGGATTGGCGGGAACTGAGGGTCTGCAGGTCATCAGAGCCAGGTCCCTGCTTCTGCAGATAAATAAACTAAGAAAAGGGACTCCGGGGCTGGGTGTGGTGGCTCACACCTGTAATCCTAGCAATTTGGGAGGCCGAGGCGGGTGGATCACCTGAGGTCAGGAGTTCGAGACCAGCCTGACCAACATGATGAAACCCCATCTCTACTAAAAATACAAAATTACCCGGGCATGGTGGTGCATGCCTGTAATCCCAGCTACTTGGGAGGCTGAGGCAGGAGAATCCCTTGAACCTGGGAGGTGTAGGTTCCAGTGAGCTAAGATCACACCACTGCACTCCAGCCTGGGCAACAAGAGTGAAATTCTGTCTCAAAGCAAAAAAACAAACAAACAAACAAAAAACACACACCCCAAAGTAAATAGAGCCGTGCTGTCCCCTCCAAAATTTGGAAATGAGGTGGGGTGTGGACAAGTAAGTCAAGCTGTGGGCTAGGGAAGTTCTGGGGTTCACACCGAGGCTTCATCAGTTCACTTTTGGACTCCAGTTCCCTCACCGGTAAAACGAGGATGATAGGTGCCTGCCCCATCGGCTGGAAGGAAAGTCTTGTTGGAACCACAGAACACTGTGTCGCGAGTGCTCCCGGCCTGCCTGCCGTTGTCTCTTCATTGTTGTCACCTCTCAGGGATGCCAGTTTAGAATGTGGGTTGTTCCCCTGACCCTGAGGTTTTATTTACTGTTCGAGCAAGAAAGACATGGCGCATTCACGAGAACACCTCCTCTCCCAGCACCTGCGACAGCCATCCTCGACTGTCTGCCTCCCCTCTGGGCCTTGCCTGCATGGGACAAGTGGGACAAAGGACTGGGATGCTGCCGGAAAGGTGGGCCCCACGACCTGGGGAACCTGAAAGTCCTCACACCCCAGCCAGCTCTTCTGCTCCTCTCTCTCCTCAAACCCAGGCCACCAGCACCCATGCCCCCTGACTCACTCTTGCCAAAAGCCCCTGGTTCTGCTTGTGGGCTGTGTCTCCCTCTCCTCCCCAGCTCCAGGCCATGAGTCCCGCAGCCTTGCTCTCTCCCCCTCCACACTCTCCGTGATTCCTCCAGTGTTACACTGGTCACCGCGTCTGTCTTCCCATTGCAGAGAGAGCCCTCGCCTCGCACCACCTTCCCAGGCGCAGGCCTGGTGCCCGCCCCTCTTTGCAGCAAGATCCCTGGAAGGGGGTCTCTGCCCTCACCATTCCTTGTCCTCTCCTCCCCCCATCCTCTCCTCCTGCCCTCCCCATCTCCACTGCAACTGTCCAGTGTCTTTCGGAACCCCCGGGCCCCCAATCTCCCGCTCTGTCCCTTCACTGCTCCCTCTGCTCTTGCCGCCTTCTAAGTCGGAATTCGTGGCCCTCCTGTCTTCTCCCCCTTCCTTGCTCTGTCCATCTCTTGGCTGTGAGTGCCGCCCCAAGGTTGATCCCAAGTGCACAGCTCAGCAGGGTCTACCTTGGAAACTCCCTCTTTATTTACCCCCATGGCCTCTGCTGTGTCCTGTTGGGTCTCCCAGATATCTCAGGCTTTGCCCCTCTGAAGGAAGTGAGAATCTTTTAGGGCACCATCCTTGGCAGCTGTGGACACGGCTCCAGTCCGGGTGGGAGGTGCCTCCTTCCTCTGGGGAGTGCAGGCAGTTGGGGCCCCAGGGGGTTGACTCCCTGCTTGGCTACACACTGTGGGTTCCCAGTGAGCACTGGGGCCACACAAGCCCCCCCAGGCCCTCCCCACTGCAGAGGGTTACTGCGGAGGGGACTTGCTCAGGGCACTCAGAGGGAGCTGAGGCCTCAGGGATGAGAACCAGCCAGGAAGGAGTTAGGTCTGGACGAGGGTGCTCCAGGAAGGGGGGTTTGCAGGGTGCGGTGGCCTGGGCAGAAGGATCTGGGTATGTTCTAGAAGCTGACAGAAACCCATGCTCCTGGAGGGTTTAGTGTAGCAAGAGGAGGTGAGAGAGGAGGGTGGGGCATAACAGGCCTTGGGTAAGGAGCACAGATTTTATTTTCTAAAACCAGGAGGCTTGTGGAGGGGTTAGCAGGGCGTGAGTGTCACCTGATACATGTTAAACAGCAAGCCATCGGGCGACAGGGTGGGGCTGGCCCAGGGTGTCAGAGCACAGCAGAGGCCACAGGGAAATGTGTCTCCCTCTGGGAACTTGCAGACAGTTGACCATGGTGGGGAGGGGCTTTGGTGACTAAATGGGTAGGGGCTGCCTTCCAGGAGCAGAGATGGGGCGAGTCAGGGGACACCAGCATCCGTCCAGGCAGGCCAGGTTTGAGGATCCCAAGGGATGACCCCAGGAAGGACATGAGGTGGCAGCTGGAGCTCCGGCCCGGCCCGAGGGGGAAGACTATGGCTGTTGTCAGCAGGTCCTCCTGAGCCACAGACCTGCCTGAGGCCAGAGGGGAGAGGAGAGCCAGGGCTGGACCGAGCCCTTGGAAGCCTGGTGGGGGAGGGGGTGGTCCTAGTCAAGGAGACTCAGTGGGCACCACCCTGGAGACAGGAAGAAGCCCCAGGCCAGTGGTGACTCCAGCTGGAGAGAATTTCACAGGAAGAGCATGGCTGGCAGGTGGCAGGGCCCATGGCTGCTGAGAGTCGAGAGCTCAGTTGCGGGGGGAGCGGAGGGACCTTAGGGCAGGCTCCGCCAGCCTGGCTGGCTGTTCTTTCCTGCCAAGCCCCAGCTTCACTTCTGGGGGCAGGGGCTTCCTGGCTGTGGACTTCCTTGTCCATCCCCTGGTCAGTGCCGAGGGAGAGACGCTCACCCCTGTGCTCCTGGGACGGGCGGGAGGCCCGGACAGGCTATGATTCCCACGCCACCTGTGCTGGGAGAGCCCCTACTGTGTGTTCATTCCTCACATGATGTACTTGCCTGGAGGATTCCGCTCTGCACTTGGGGAGAGGGGTGAATAAGACCCGCCCCTGGCTGCAGGGAGCTTCTGCTGTGAGCAGGAGACAGGGAGGGCTGAAGGCTGTGCAGCACCCTGGTATGGGGTGAGTGAGGGTGCCTAGAGGGCGCCCACAGAAGGGGCTCCTGACTCGGACTGAGGGGCAGGGAGGTCTCCTTGGATGAAGGGGTGCCTGGGCTAGGGCTGCAGGCTGGCTGGCCCTTGCCAAGAGAGGACAAGAGGGAGCCATTCCGTGTAGAGGGCATAGTGGCTGCAAAGGCCTCAGGGAGCTGAGGGCATGTGGCGTGCTCTGGGTAGCACATGACTGAGTGTGCGCCTGGACTGGGCATCCGGGATGGGGTCACCAAGAGCCTCGTGGACGATGGAGAAGTTGCAAGGGGATTTGCTGATGGGCAGCCCTGCCCAGCAGCGACTCCACTGGGCTTGTTCCTTGTCCGTTCCTTGAACAAGTATGTATTGAGCTGACCTTGTCTGTGGGCACGGGGTGGTCGGGGGGGCAGGCATTCCTGGGAAAAAGCAAATGGGACGAAGGGGTGGGGGCTGCGTTTGCACAGGGGGCAGTGTCCAGCGTGGAGAGGTGGCGGCGTTTGAGAACGATGTGTGGGAGATAGCGGAGAACCCCAGGTGCTGGGTACCGGCAGCGCTGGCAGGATGTGACTTCTATTTTAAAGGAATCTCTTTGGCTGCTGTGCTGAGAATAGCCGGGGGCTGGGCACGGAGGTAGAGAGATAGCAAACGTCCGGCAGAGGTGGTGGCGCCGGACCACACTGGAGGTAGGGTTGGGGTCTGTGCGGCAGGATCTGCACAAGCATTGAAAGCAGAATCATCCTGGCTCCTGGCATCCTGGTCGATGGGGGCGTGGCGAGGACGGTCAAGGAATCCAGGACAATGCCACGAACTTGTACCTGGGAACCTGGAAAGATGGGGCTTCCACGGGGAGACCGCAGGACGTGAGGAGTTTGGTTTTGGACATGTGACGCCAAGACACGTTTGAAAACTCTGGTGGGGGTGACTAGTTGGCCACTGGACCCAAGAGTCTGGAGTCTGGAAGGAGACTGGGGCTGGAGGCAGAAAGAGGGGAGTTCGTGGCACACGGGGCACCCGAAGTCCCGTCGCAGGGGCCGGCCTGTCCCGTGCCTGTGAGGACTCTTTCTGGTGTAGATGCCGCCTTCTCCCTGCGACCTCACGTGGCCTTTTCTGTGCACCCCTGGAGAGAGACAGACAGAAACACAGAGAGGGAGACAGGGAGAGGAAGAGAGAGTGCATATCGCCCTGCTGTCTCTTCCTGTAAGGGCATCAATCCCATCCGATGAGGGTCCCTGTGACTTCACTGAACCTTAATAACCTACTTATAGGCTCCACCTCCAAATGCAGCTACACAGGGGGGTCAGGGCTGCAACATATGAAGTTGGGGAGGGGGCACAATTTAGACCCTAACAGGTGGTGATGGAGAAGAGCCAGGGTGCACCCCGGGTTCCCGCCACTGCGCCCAGGCAGAGAGGAGCACTGCCGGGGTGACGACCCAGCATCTGCCCAGCCTGGCCCCGCCCAGCCTGAGGCTGCTGGACCCTGGGCCTTGCCCAGACCGAGTGTCTGCCTGGCGGCTTCCGCAAATGAAGGGGTGTGTAGGGAGCGGGAGGACAGAGGAGGCAGCCTGGGCCGGGAAGCCCTGGGTGAAACACAGAGGGCAGCAGCCGGCTCGGGCAGGTGACCCCCTGGGCTTCCTGGAGGCACCGGCCTGGGAGTGGAGGGCCGGGCACAGGGAGGCAGTGGGGGTGCTGTGGCAGCACAGGACGGAGGGAGGGGTTGAATGTGTGGGGAGGGGGGTTGGGCATCTTGGTCACAGTTGCCAGCGAGGCCATAGGATGATTTACCAGGAAGACGAGGCTGTGCTGCCGCTGTCGGGGGCCAGCCCTCCCCGCGTGCCCGTCCCAACTGCTGTCTGCACATGGCTCCCCCTGTTTCCCTGTCTCCCTTCTGCCTCTCCAGAGCAGCTATCATCAGAGGGCCTTCTCAGGACCTCTCCTCTCCTCCCCGGCCCACACCCTTCTCCCCAGGCTCCAAGTCCCGCCTCTCTCAGCCCCTTCAATGCTCTTCTCCCCTCTCTGCCCCTCCCTGGGTGCCTCTGTACCCCATGAGGCTGGAAGCCAGCAGCCGGCAAGTCCCCCTCCTCATCTCGTCCGGGCAGCACCTAGAATTCTGTTGGGAGCTGCTGAGCCTGTGGAACATGGGGCCAGTTGCTGAGGACCGGGCAGCTTGGGGTGGGGCGTGGGTTCCTGGAACCCATGAGCCTCGTGGGCCACCCTCACGGGGCCTTCCGGCACCTGATCACTTCCTTCCCCTTCTCTCTCTCTGCCCTTGTCCCAAGGCCTCAAGGAGACCTCCCCACCACAGGAGGAGAGAGCATGGCTGCTGCCCCGGCCTCAGGCTTGCCAGGGGCCTGCGTCATCTTGCTTGGTCCTATGGTCATCTTGTTTGGTCCTATGGTGACCGCGTTCGGTGTGCCCCTGGGGTCCCGCATGCCCTGGTCAGGGGTCCATGTTCCTTGTGTCCTCAACTTCTGGGGCCCCCTCCTGTCACCCAATGCCAGCATGGGTCATTTGAGCCTCGCCTCCTGTCCAGGTGAGGCCCTGGGCCCTGTCCCTCCCCACATGCTTTCTTCAGGGGGAGGGGCTGAGAGCTGCTGTCCTGCCAGTGGCTGTGGTCCGTGGGCTCTGGAGAGGCCCCTAGGCTTGGCAGGCAGCCAGGCCCAGCCTCCTTCCACATTGAGGGGGCCATCCACTTCAAGCAGCCCCACTTCTGACACCAGCCTCAAGCGTAGAGGCTTCCAGAACCACTCTCAGGCCCGGTTGTTTGCTAGAGGACCTCGGAGCCCAGCAGTCATGGTTCTCACGCTCAGGGTTCATTACAGCTAAAAGACACAGGGTGGAACCAGCTGAGAGAAGCGGCCGCGGAGGTTAGGGCATGGAGGCCTGTAGGTTAGGGCACGGAGCATCCTGCCCTCTGCTGTGAAGCCAGGACGGTGTCATCTTCCTGGCACTGATGTTTGACAGCACCTGGGGAGGCTCACCCAGCAGGGAAGGCCCTCGACCCACCTGGGGAGGCTCACCCAGTAGGGAAGCCCCTCAACCCACCAGGGGAGGCTCACTCAGCAGGGAAGCCCCTGGGCCTCCATGCCCGAGTCTTCACCAGCTTCATCATGGCGGCTTGGGAGGTGTACATGGCTGACCTGAGTCTCCAGGCTTTCTAGAGGTCAGCTGATCCCGTGAGACCCCAGACCAGCCCCCACATCACATTGTTACTTCCTGGCTAGACGAAGACCCTGAGTAAATAAAGACACTCATCAGTAAGCCGTTCCAGGGGCTTAGACATCCTGTCCTAGAAGCTGAGGGCAGAGGCCTGACCCTCCTGTGGCAGGGGTGAGATTCCTCACAGCAAGGCCTCTTTCCTCCACCCTCCCCTCGGGTGGCCGAGCTCTTCAGCTGCAGAGCAGTGGCTGGGAGGCAAGCGGTTCCCGTGCACTTCCCTCCCCTAGGCCTGCCCTGCCTGCTAACAGTGGTGCCATGGAGACCCCTGTGAGAATGTGGACCCCTTCTCCTGGGTTGGGATGGGGGCAGACCTAGGTGCTGGACAGAGCCTGGACATGGCTGTGGAGGGAGAAGGTCCCAGGGGACTCTAGCAGGCTGGCTGGCAGAGGACTCCGCCCAGCAGCCCTGGGGCCGCTGACTCACACTTTCCTCCCATGCTCCCTTCGTGGGTGGGGGCGTTCTAATTGGGAGTCCCTGACTTGGTGCTGCACATATGTTCTGAGAAACTTGTAGATAAACAAGTATTTTTAAAAATGGCAGTAGATTTGAAATGCACTCAGAAACTTTCCATTTCCACGTTAAAGGGACCTTTTGTAAAGTGACTCACCAGCCAATTTGTGTTTTTTAAACATCAGATTTGCCTAAAAGGAGGCACACCTGTTAACCATCTTTTGTGTGTGTGTGTGTGTGTGTGTGTGTGTGTGTGTGTGTGTGTGTGTATGAGACGGAGTCTTGCTCTGTTGCCCAGGCTAGAGTGCAGTGGCATGATCTCAGCTCACTGCAACATCCGCCTCCCAGGTTCAAGCGATTCTCCTGCCTCAGCCTCCTGAGTAGCTGGGATTACAGGAACACGCCGCCATGCCTGGCTAATTTTTTGTATTTTAGTAGAGACGAGGTTTCACCGTGTTGCCCAAGCTGGTCTCAAACTTCTGAGCTGAGGCAGTCTGCCTGCCTCGGCCTCCCAAAGTGCTGGGATTACAGGCATGAGCCACCGCGCCCGGCCCCTGTTAACCATCTTACAGCATTCATAAGTCTGCTCTTGGAGAGGATGCCAAGACACCAGGGCGCCCAGAACTCACACAAGCAGCCCTGCCTTTGATTTCATTGGTGCTTTGTGTGTTTCAAAATGCTTTCCTATTTTTCATTGCGTATGATCTCACAACCACATTGTGAGGGGGACTGCAGGTGGGAGGTGGGTATCACTTCTCCCGTTTAGAGGTGAACGTGCTGAGGTCTGGAGATGAAGGGGCTTCTCCAAGATTGCCCTGTGTAAAAGTGGCAGAGCTGCAGGCGTTTGTGAACCTCGGAGCGCCTGAGCGCCTCTGAATTTTGTGCACACGTGTGTGTACATGCACACAGGCAACCATTGTGAGCACTGGGTGGTCCTCGTTGCCTGCTATGCACTTCCGAAGCTCCTGTTTGACCTCCTGCATCTGCAAGAACCCTGCCAAGACGTAGGTCTTGGCAGTGGTGAGGCGTTGGCTCATCTTTGGTTTTCTGGAAACACCTCTGATGATGGACATTTTCAGGAGAAAGGTTGGCACAGGAGAGCACAGAGCAGTGGGTGGCACCCCAACATGGGGAGAGGCCTCTCACGGGGAAAAGGCATCTTAGCAACTCGAGAGACAGATGAGCCATTCCCAGCCACGTATGCCTGAAACATCCATACACACATGTGTGCACAGGCATGGCCGGGCAGCCCACAGAGGTGAGGAGGGGGCGTGGGGAAAAATGAAATCATGGATAATTGCTTAGCTGCCATGGGAATGTTGCCTGCTAATTTACAGCATTAGGAGGACTCAGGATGCCACGCTTCCTCCTGAGCTTGGACGATACGGTCCCTTGACACCAGCAGACGTAATTATCCACATTTAACTGAGGGCTTGTAAAATCTATTTGTCTAGCAGAATGTGAATATAATTGCTATAGATTAAATAAGGATACATTTGTAGCTGGGTGGTGACCCAGTCTGAGCTAGCACAGACAAGGGTGCCATCTCCTCAAACCTACTGCCTGGTACCAGGCTGCATGGGAAGGGGCTGGGTCTTCCGTGCCATGTCCTCCCTCACTTTTTGGGAAGGAATTCCTCTCCCAAACCTCCTTCTCAAGCAGCAAGTCTAAGGAGAGTGGATTTGCCACCCAGACTTGGGGGATGCCAGGGCACTTGGCACAGCCACATCCATCCCTCTCTGTCTTGGTCTTAGTCTGCCACTTCCTGATTTTCTCCCAGACCTCCTTGCCAAGAAGCATCCCTGAGCTGGGATGCTGCCCTGAGACTTGGCCCCACGACTGACCACCTTCACATGTCTGGGCATCTATGTCTGTGCCTTTCTTCTTGCTCTTGGCCAGAGGCCGCAGGCTCTTGGCTGACACACACGGCTTTCTCGCGTGGCACGGTGTGAATCCTTCTTTATGAAATTGTTCAAGGAGATTATCTAGTGGAGGGAAAATTGGGGGCAGGTACCTTTCTTTTGCTGTAGGAAGAACGTGGCCAACTTTTAGTGTGGGAAACGTGTGTGCACGCGTGTGCATGGGTGGGTGTGCAAGGAGGGAGGACTAGGCAGCTGGATGGAACACATACATCCCTGCGATTGGAAAAAACTTTTTGTCGTTGTGGTAAAATATGCATAACATAAAATGTACCATCTTAACCATTTTTAAGTGCACTGTTCAGTGGCATTAAGTACATTCATCTTGTTGTGCGGCCATCACCATCCATCTCCAGAATGTTCTCATCTTTCTAACCTGAAGCTCTGTCCCCAGGAAACACGAAGCCCCCTTCCTATCTCCCCAGCCCCTGGCATCTCCATTCTCCTTTCTGTCTCTGAATCTGATGACTCTAAGGACCTCACATGAGTGGACTCACACAGGATTTGTCCTGTTGTGACCAGCTTACTTCACTCAGCGTCATGTCCCCAGGGTTCTCCCATGTTGTGTGTGTCAGAATTTCCTCCCATTGTAAGGCTGGTCATATTCCCTCTATGCATGGAGCATGTTCTGTTTCTCCATTCGTCCATCCGTGGACACTGGGCTGCCGCCCCGTGTGGCTATTGAGAGTGATGCTGCCGTGAACACGAAGTGCACTTCTCAGTTGGAGTTGCGGCTCTCAGTTCTCTTGGGGCTGTACCCAGGAGCAGGGTTGCTGACCATATGGCAATTCCATCTGATTGTTTAAGGAACCGCCAAACCTTCCTTTTCCGCAGCAGCGGCGCCATCTTCCATTCCCACCAGCAATGCATGAGGGTTGCAACTTCCCCACACCCTCGCCAATGCCTTGTTATTTTCTGTGCTTTTGATAGCAGCCATCCTTATGGGTGTCGGGCAGCCCATTGGCTTGTAGTCAGGACTCTTCCCTGCCTGGTTGGGCATGTTCCTCTGAGAAAGAAAGGCCGTGGGGAACAGCTACTTTTCAACATCCAGGGACAAGCCAGGCCGCTGGTGCTCTCTGGAAGGGATTGTGACAGGGCCAGGGGTGTCCTCTCTGATGTCCTCAAGAACTGCAGAGCCAGGCCCCTTCTTTCCTGAGAGCTTCAGCTGAGGCACCCCTGAGCAGGAGTGAGTATTCTGCCTCTGACCAGGGGTTTTGGGAGAGGCTGAGGGGCTGAGAGACTCTTACGGGGAGCAAGGAGAAGCTTCTCTGCCTCTGTTATCTTCTCTCCTCTCCCCCAGGCTGTGCAGATGACATAGGCACAGTCACAGCCACTTCTCCCCTTTCCTGCCATCCTGGCAGAACACCTGGCTGCCCCTTCCACCCTGCCAGGAGAGATGTGCCCCTTATGCAGAGCTGGGGAGAGCGGCAGGGACAGGGTGGGGCCGCCTTTCCACTCCCTGCCATGCGAACCCTGCTGCAAACCATGCCAAGGGGCCTGGGGCTTACCAGGCAACTGTGGTATTCCTCGGATGCGGGTAAGGAACATGGGTCCTGCCCAACCTGCCAGCCAGGTGCAGCCAGCAGGAGGGAGAGCCGCATCCCCAAAACAGCACATCCCCTGGGCCCACAGTTTGCCCTGCAGACTTTCATGGCAAGGGGGCTGCTCTATTTGTGTTGCTTTAGATTCTAAAGGTCACAAAACAGCCAGCTGCGCTTGTCAGTACCAAGGGGTCAGCAATCGAGGCAGATAGATCCAAGGGGCTGCTGAAGCCTGAGTGGCAGCCCCATCCCAACCTGGAGGGGTGGGTGCGGGGGAGGGCCGGCCTCCACTTCTCCTGCAGCTTCTCTCCCCACAGGAGGCTACTGGGATTGGCCCCAGGGTTCACCTGCTGGCCCCCGTGGGAGAGCAAGTGTCTTCGCTCTCTCTGGTCACGCCATCGCAGGGGCCACACCAGAAGTGCTGGGCCACGTCGCTGTCTTGGATCCTGGAACCATTGGGCGTCCTTGATGGATAGTGGGGGCTGACAGTGAGAATGGGGACTGTGGTGCTATCCTTGCCCTATACTATGCCTAGCAGGAGAGCTGGCGGGTCTGCTAGGGAGGAGGCTTTGGGCTTGGCGGTGGGCAGAGCAGGAAGGGCTGGTTTGGCAGGGGCCATGGCCAAAGCACCTCAGACCAGAAGAGGGAGGGAGCTCTGGGTGCAGTAACTGCTCCCAGGTCCACTCCTTGACCGAGGGTTGCAGGTGATTCCAGCTGCTCCCGGGGAGGATTCCAGCTGTCCTTTGGCCCTCCCAGGTGAGCTGAGACCTGTCCGTGCAGGTGGCAGCCCTTGGCCTTGTGGGGGCACCTGTGGGCAGCCCTGCCCTGCCTGGGGGTGCTGGAAGGACTCCGTTGCACCACATGGACCCTGGAGTGCAGGCGAGAGGAAGAGGCGGCGGCAGAAGGAGGCAGCGCAGGCATGGCCTTTTCCAGCCTCCTCCTGGAATTCTGGGGCCCATGTCAGTGGAGAGGGGAGCAGAGACTCTCAGAGTCTGGGGGCGTCTGCAGGTGAGGAGGTGGGAGGGGCCTGCTCCAGTGTGTGGGCTCCCCTGGGGTCTGCGGCATGCTCAGAGACCCCTGCAGTCCCTCTCCCTTCCTCCACAGCCCCAGCACATGCAGGCTGCCATTTGCAGAGACCCCTCCTTATGACCCACACAGACTCTGCCTCCCCCAGGGCCCAGATGAAAGAAGAGTTTCACCTAAACGTCAGGCAGGGAGCCGACTCCGCCCCAGCCCCTCCCTCCGAGGACCTGCTCCCTGTGTGCCCATCGTAACTGAGCCGCATGCAATTGTGTGACTGTCCTGCCACTTGGCCATCTAGCTGCCCGCCCTGGTGGCCCCAGGAGCCGGCAGAGTGGCTTTGGAAAGCTTGGGGCTGCCTGCATGCACACACCACCAGAGGAGGGAGTTTCTCTCTCCTCCATCTGCGTCTGCCGTGCTGAAATACAAGAGCCGAGATGTCCAGGGCTTCCAAGTTTCCTTAGCTCTTCCACAGCCGCTAGGGTCGGCCTCAGGGGTGCACAGTGCCCCCTTCTCCCTGGGTGGGGGAGGGGAGGTACTCTGACCCCCAGGATCAAAAAATGGACCTTGGAGTATTTAGCCCCACACTTCATGTGGGGATCACTCAGGGTCCAGCCATGGGCAGCCTCCTAAAGGTGAGAGTCTGTGTGCCAGGGACTGGCTCTTTGGAACTCATCTGGGCTTAAACGAATACAAAGATTCTACCAGGTATTGCTGGGCCTCGGCCCAGGTACCTCGGCAAAGGCGGTCCTCGTAGGTGGCACCGGGCAGATTGCACCCCCAAGTGGTCTCAGAAGTCACTTGAACTCCCCAGACTCAGAACCCCGTGATGAAATTGCAGCCTGGTGGCCCTGGGATTGGTGTGAGTCTTTGTCCGCATGTGGACCGTGGCGATGAGCTGGGGAGGCTGCCCTGGGGAACAGACCTGTGCTTTGGCAGCTGGGGACCTCAGAGGCTCAGGAGCCCTCTGGGAACGGGAGCTGGACTGCGACGGCCCCTCCCGCTGCCCTGGCTCCCGCCACCTCGGGCTCTGTCCCAGACCCACTGCCAGGGGGTTGCTGCATGGTTCCTCCCGACTGAATGGAAAGATGTCAGCAAGGAGCTACAAAGCCCATCTTTTCACCAGAGCCTGTTCGCGCCAGCGGGAGTGCAGAGGCTGTTCAGTCCTCCCGTGGGCACGCTGTCTTCCCAGGTGCCCATCCTCTTGGGGGTCTGCTGCTTACCCCACACAGCAGTTCCTTAGCTCTGCCAGGCCGGACCTCCCAGACCTGTCTTTACTGTTTCTGAGTCCGCAGCCTGGAGCAGGCAGGCAGGCGAACAGACAGCCAGACGGACAGTCAGACACAGGCTTAGGAAGCTGAGAGTGCAGGGAGACCAGGAGAGGTGGAAGGGATTCACGGGGAGCTTTCGCCCTGGGGCCTGGACACACGGGGCACCGTCCCGCCGCATTTGCATATGGAAATACACGCTGAGGGGCTTTGTGGGGAAGTTGTGTGTGTTAATCCATCTTCCTATGGAAAGGAGGAAATTATTCATAATTAAAAAGTAATAATAATGTGGTGTGAAGGAACTCGCTGTACATTACCCAGAAGGAAGGGGGTAGGGTGGCCAATCTATTTTTAATAGTCTCCATGGCAACGGAGACTTTGTTTACAGTGATTTTTTTTACCCCTTGTTCTTCAGCAAGGCAATTGTTGATTTGCATTGTATTAGAAAATGCTGCCGCAAGTCCCTGATATGGACAGGAGTGTGGCCCTGAAGGGGACTCCAGGAGGGCCCTTGAGAACCTGCCTGAGCCTCTTCTGGGGGCTTTGTGGATCCTGGGTAGAATAACAAGGCCGAGGCCAGCCGAGCTGGTGGGGAGTTTCCTTCCAGCTGCCCAAACCCAGCTGGGTCCCCTCTGCCTGGTCCTGTCCTGCCCCTGCTGCCCCTGAGACACAGCTTCACAGCCCCCTACATGCCCCCTCTCCTACCCCCAGAGCCCACGCCACCTGCCTAGGGCACCACTACCCGCCTGTATGAGGCTGGTAGGGACCACTTGGCACAGAACCCAGGCCCCAGCTGAGGTGCAGATGGGATGGCAGCCGCCTGCCCTGTGGCAGCCAGTGCACATGGCTGCTGGCCAGGCCGCAGAAGGATGGCCCGGGCTGGGTGCCCAGGTGCGAGCTCTTCCTGGACCCTGTGGGCTCGCGGCCTGCTGCTCCTCGGGCTGCCTTCCAGCCCCCTCCCCTCTGCCCATCGCCCAGGTGTGCACCTGCAGAAGGATCTCTCACTGGGGCTGCAACGCTGCCTGTGCCCAGAGCCTCCTTCCCACTGGCTTCAGAGTCTCCACGCTCCAGGTGGAAACCTGCTCCCTGATGAAGTGTGGCCACGGGAAGAGAAGAGCTCACGGCCTGAGCCTCCTGGGTGGGAGCGGGGATGCTGTGGCTCCAGGGATTCCCTGCTGTTTGTGGGGGGCCCCAGTAGCCCAGGTGTCACTTTTGTGTTGTGGCTCCTCCCCACATCCATGGAAATTCAGAAAGCCTCTGGATGCAGCAGGTTCTGGAAGGAGAGCCAGGTGAATGGTCATTCTTCCACTCAGAGACTCCACATCCTGCCTTTGGGATAATTTGGAGTCTAAGTCACGGAAATTGAGAAAGTGCAGCCTTTGTAACCAGAGCAGTTTCTTGGCTGGCACAGAAATGGGCACTGCAGGGGAGGGGTGCCCCGGCCTGCCCTCTTGAGGCTGGGTCTGGGCTGATTTGAGGTTTCTGTTTTGGTCTCTCTTGCATTTCAGAAATTTCATCTGCAAGTGACATTTGCAGGCAGTTCCCCCTTTCCCCCTCCCTGCTTTTAAACCAGCAGAACCTTTTGGGAAAATGCCCAATTTTCCTTCTTAGGAGAGATGGACGGAGACAGGGCAGAAGCAGGCTGGTTCCTCTGGCTGTCAGAGAGCAGAAGGGAGGCTGGAGGGTTGAACAGAGAGGGGCTCAGGGTCAGAGAGTGGTAGTCACCCCTTTACTGTGGGTGGGGATCATGCCACACACATACACAACACGTGCATACACACCACACATACATTCATACACACACGCACCATGCCCTCACATATATACACACACATGCATAGAGGCACACACACATACACCACACACATACACCACACAGACATCACAACACGTGGATACACACCACACACATTTATACATATGCACCATGCCCTCACACATACACATATGTGCATACACACATATACACATATACCATACACTCACACATATCACACACAACACATGCATACATGCACACATTCACACACACATAACACCATGCCTTCACACATATATACACACGTGCATACACACACATACCACACAGCACACACATATCACATACAACACATGCATACACAACACAATGCATTCATACACACCATACCCTCATACATGTATACATATGTGCATATGTGCACACACATACACAATACGCTCACACATATCACACACATGTATACACCTCACACACATTCACTCACACCCATACCACCATGCCTTCACACATACACACATGTGCATACACACCACACATATCACAACATGTGCATACACACCACACACATTTATATACACATGCCCACATACATACACACATGTTCATACACGCACACATACCATACACACACCATACACTCACACATATCACACACAACACATGCATACATGACACACATACACACTATGCCCTCACACATATACACATATGTGCATACACACTTACACCACACACAGATCATGCACAACACGTGCATATACACCACACACATTTATATACACACACCACCCCACATACGTATATACACGCATGCGTCTACACGCACACATACCACACACTCACATACACCACACACACATATACACAACATGTGCATACATGCTGCACACACATTTATATAACACACATCATGCCCACAGGCATATATACACACGTGCATACACGCACACATACTACACACTCGCATACACCACACATACATATACACAACACGTGCATACACGCTGCACACACATTGTTCCATATTTTCCATTTAATTGGCCCCAGTATGAGCCTTCATTGTTCATTCATTCAGCAAACGTCCCCTGAGTGCTAGCCCAGGGCTCCACGAGGACTGGGGCCTGGCTTGTCCAACACGGGTGCTCTAGAACAACCATTGCATGCATGGATCACAGCATGAACAACTGCTACAAGTCAGGCACCATGGGAGACTGGGGACATACAAGGGAATGAGGCTCTGGTCCTGCCTCACCACTGTGCAGGTGGGGGCGTGGGGACCGAAGTCGGGCTGGCAGGCAGGGGCTTACAGCACAGAGGGAGGGCATGGAAGGGGAAGCCTGGGGCCAGGGCAGCCCCAAGGAGGGAACTGATGGAGACCTGGAGGGGAGGTGGGAGAAGGGTGGAGGAGGAGCCCGTGGAGCTGAGGCCAAGGCTGAACACGCTCCCCAGGGAAGAATGCTCCACACAGAGGGACGGTGCGTGCAGAGGCCCTGGGTCCGAGACAACCTGGCTGCTTGGGGTAACTGCAGGTAATTCCAGAATGAGTCTCAGTGGGTTTTGGTTTTTGCATTTGGTGTGAGCAGATCAGTGAGGTGCCATGAGGTGCCCCCACCCCAAAATGCCTTTGGGACCCTTCGATATAGTTCAGAAGCTGGAACACACACCCAGAAAGCAGGGCGCAGGCAAGCAGCACACAGAAAGTCCTGGGAACATTTGATCCGGTTACGTGACAGCATCGGCTCCGTCGGCACAGCGCCTGGTGCCGGGGCACGAAAAAAATGTGCTCAAGGTGGTTCCTGTTGCTGTTTTTATTTTACAGAGGAGGAAACTGAGGCACAAAATGGCAAGGTAGCTGGCAGAGATCGCACAAGTAGAAAGCGGGGTCTCTGCACTCAGCCCAGGTCTCCAGATGCCCAGCCCAGCCGTGTGGTGCAGAGAGTGGGAGGGGTGTGAGCAGGTGCCAGCTCGTTCCCCAGCCTACAGTGAGCAAGCACCTGCTGGTGCCACAGGTGAGCAGCTGGTATGGCGGGGCCTTGCCTTCCTGGGGCCGGCAGTCAAGCGGAGCAGCCTGCAAAGCAACTGAGGCAGGAGGGATTGCAGAGCTCAGGAAGCAGGAGGCAGGAGGCACCGCCTGACCTGGGCGTGCATGTGCCACTGATGAGTAACAAAACACCTCCAGCTCAGGGGCTTAAGCAACACCATTTTTCTGAAGGCCACTTTTCTGTCAGTCAGAAGCTCAGATGCACATTCCTCACCACGGGACCCCTCCACTTTCACGCCACCAGTGGAGAAGTTCCCCTTTGCCCCATCCCTTTTACTGTGGAATCCCCTGGCTTCCTGTTCTGCGACCAGCTGGAGAAAACTCTCTGTGTTTCAAAGGCTCATCTGCTTAGGTCAGGCCCACCTGATAAACTCCCTACCTGGGTCCTTAATGACCGCCCCCCTGCCGCAAAATCCCCTCACAGCTGCACCTCGGTTTGTGTTTGGCTGAAGAACTTGGAGATGTGTGTACACCAGGTGCTGACCTGGAACTCTGCCTGCCGCAGCCAGAATGATGCACGGAGACGAGAACCAGCCTGAAACGCAGCAGGGTAGATGCCACTGACTGGGAGCAGCTAAGACTGTGCAGGGGAGAACCTATGTCCCAGAGGAAACTGACCGTCCACAAGAGACACTCCCTTGGCCCAAGGCAGCCAGGCGGCCAGGACACTGTGTGCAGGGGGCCGTCTAGCATTGCACACGCATGCTGAGCTGAGGCAGCAGGCACGGGAACAGCTGTTCACTGTCCAGGTGTGCAGAGCTGAAGGGTGGAGAGTGGCAGTGGAGAGGAGCAGGCGGGAAATAAGGAGAGGACCTGTTGTCCTAAAAGAAATCACAACACATCCTTCCATTCGCATTGTCTGCATTCCAAATACCACCCAAGATGCCAGGAGACTTCCATTCCTCCCTCCAATCTGCACCTTCTAGGCTGAGGCCACTTGACCCCATCAACAGGGGCCAGAGGTGCTGGGATAAGAAATGGGTGGATGGGGGGGTGTCTCTCAGAGGCCAGACAGCATCCCTAGAGCTGGCCCCCTGCCGCCTCTCACCAGTGCCCATCCCCCAGCCTGACCCCATGGCACTGGTCTCCAGGGACCTGCCTGCCCGCTCTGTGGGAATACGGGGACCCCAGCTGCCTGCCAGCTCCAGGTCTCAGGCCCACCTGCTCTGGGGTTAGACACAGGGCCCTGCACTTCACTTCTTGCTTATCAGTTTCCATATGGACAGAGGCAACATGCCACCACCCTCTGCACATGCCTTATGGACTTCAGAAGGCCATATATCTACACAAGTAATAGGCAGCCACTTCATAGGCCACAGAAGGAAAATAAACCAGAAAATAGCAGGTGTTGGTGAGGATGTGGAAACATTGGAACCCTTGTGCATTGTTGGATGTAAAATAGTTCAGCCACTGGAAAACAGGGTGGCAGTTCCTCAAAAAGTTGGACATGGAACTATCACACAACCCGGCCGTCTCGCTCCTAGACACACACTCCAAAAAGACTGCAGTGGGGGCTCAAAGAAATCCATGTGTGCACACGTTTGTAGGAGCACCGTTTGCAAGAGCCCAAAGGCGGAAACAAGCCAAATGCCTGTCAGCTGGAGAATGGACACACAAAACGTGGTAGGGCCACGCAAGGGAGTGCCACAGAGCCATGGAAAGAAATTCAGTTCCGATACAGACTGCCACGTGGACAAACCCTGAAAACAGTGTGCTCAGCAGAAGGGGTGGCCTTTTGTGTCTAGCCACATATTGTATGATTCCATTTATATGAAATACCCAGGGTAGGTAAATCCATAGAGTCAGAAAGGAGATTGGTGGTCGCTGAGGGCTGAGGGCCAGGTGGCAGGGGCTGGTGATGGGCAGAGGCTGCTTAACCAGGTAGAGGGCTTTCTGTTGGCGTGATGGAATGTTTTTGAAGTTGATAGAGACAGTGGTTGCATCACAGATTAAATGATACTAAATGATACACTTTAAAATGGTTAATTTGGTGTAATGTGAATTTCACCTCGATGAATAATAATACTACAATAATTACTTGGTGAGAGAGACCATTAATGCAAGAACAATGATGGTGATGATGTTATCAGCTCAGCTTTACCTGGCGTTATAATTCTGGTTATTATTATTATTCAGATGCAATTTGGCATTAACTCAGCCAAACAATGTGGGCCTCATCGGCTAAATGCATTTTAAGACTCTGCTTCTCAGAACAGGGTCTCCTAGGGACCTGCCTTCCATCCAGCACCCCCTTAGCAACCATGTCTAGATCTGTGGTTGGGGGAGCCCTGAGCAGCAGATGGGGAACCCGCAGGTTCGGAGGTCGCTGTCTTTAAAACCACAGAATGACTTGGCCAGGCTCCTGGGATGGCCGTGAGCCACAGAGCCCTGGGCCCCCATCCTGCTCAGATCTCATTGCCCGCTGGTTGCTCCAGCCTTTTCTGCTTAAGTTCTTCGGCTGATTCTGCCCCGTGGACTCACCTCCTCATCTTTGACCTCATAGCTCAGTGCTGCGTGGGGGCTGCCCGACCCTCCCACTGGTCTCGCTTGGGTGAAGAAGCTGTCCTCGGTGGGGCACTTCTCACTGTGATGAGAGAGATCATTTAGTAAGAGCCCCTGCAGACCCAGCCATCGAGTGTGTGTCTGGGCCGGGTGTTCTGCTAGATACGCAGCCTGCCTCCCCACAGTGACCCCAGGAGGCGAGTGCTCCTTCTCCCCCCACTTCACAGACCAGCAAACAGAACTCTGGAGATCAGAAGCAGCTTCCTGGGGTCTCACAGCTGGCAAGCGTCAGGGCAGGATCGGAAGTGGGGCTGGCGGGCTCCAGAGCCCACGCTGGAAACAAACTAGCTGGGACCTGGGTTCCGTGCTCGACACAGCTCCTTGGAGGAGAAGCCGGCGTTTCATCTTTGCATTCCGACTCCAGGCCAGTGCTGGCTGCATAGTAGGTCTTTATATAGTGCAAAGGAGTAAAAGAACGATTCTCTGTTGTTTCTAGTCTTAGCAAAGAGGACTCTGAGAACAGGGGTTTTTCACAAGCCCTCTCAGAGGGCGCCTTGCATTCTTGCCTCGGTGTTACTCCCACCTTCCCCCAAGCCACCTTGAATGAATTCCTGCTCCCGGCCGCCTAGCTCTCCTTCCTCCTTTGCAATCCTGCAGAAGTCCTCCCCACGCCTTGTCCCCCAATCCTGAGGGACCCTCTGTCCTCCAGACAACTCGCTCCTTCTGGTTTGAATGGAAGCCAAATGCGGAGCCTCATTTATTGTCTCACATTGTGAGTTACTGCATGTTCCCGTCTTGCTCTCCAGCCAAATTACATACTACCTTGAAAGAAGGCAGGACAAGCTCACAGCACTTCAATGAAGATGCGGAAACACATCACATACAAAGTGAAAAGCCCCACTCCTTCCTGTCCTCCCCCAGGGGAAGCCTCTTTTAACAATAGGACAGATACTCCCAGACCTTTATTCAATAGTTGAGTGATTTATTTGTTCATTTGTGAGATTTCTATTGTTACTTTTACTAAAAACATGCAAACAGGGCAGGCAAGGTGGCTCACGCCTGTAATCCCGGCACTTTGGGAGGCCGAGGCAGGTGGATCACCTGAGGTCAGGAGTTTGAGACCAGCCTGGCCAACATGGCAAAACCCCGTCTCTACTAAAAATACAAAAAATTGCCGGGCATGGCGGCGGGTGCCTGTAGTCCCAGCTACTTGGGAGGCTGAGGTAGGAGAGTTGCTTGAACCCAGGAGGCAGAGGTTGCAGTGAGCCAAGATTGCCATGGCACTCCAGCCTGGGCGACAAGAGCGAAACTTCATCTCAAAACAGAAACAAAAACACACAAGCATGCACGGACGTTGGTAAGCACCGGTGGATCTGCAGCTCACCTCTCTCTCCACCATAGCTCCCCAGCAGCCTGGCATGGAAGTCCGTGCAGATCCACTTCAGCTGCATAGAGGAGTCTGGAGCCAGCTTCGGGTATTTCTTTGCATCCCCCAAATATTGTCCCCCCAGGTCCTGGCTGCTCAGTAAGCATCCAGCATTGTAGGGAGTCACCCTTTCCCATGGCGGGGGCAAGCCAGTTAAACAAACACATGTAGTAGCCCCAGAATTTTATGAAGCAAATTTTATCAACTGCTGGAGCCAATTCCATGCGACGTGGTCATGTTGGGAAGGTAGGACATGGGGAGATAATGACACTCAGCGCCGCGTCACATTTACAGGCGTGAAAGGAAATGGAGGGCACCGTTTGTTAATTGTCCCCATCCTGATGGGACACGCCTCCCTCTCCACAATTCCCGGCAATTAGAAGTGAGTCAGGGATTTCCTGGCGGGAGAAACAACAGCCAGGCAATGGAGAGGCCTCATCCTCGCCAGCCCAGGGAGAAGCAGGTGGCTGTCCTGCCTGGACACGGAGTGGAGGGTGTTGCAGGAAGAGCTCTGAGACCCAACCAGTCCTGAGACGTGGAGACTGAGAAGCGACCTGGCAGAGTCAAGATCCCCCAGCGGGAGCCACGGGTGAGAATTTTGGGGCTGAAGCAGTGCTGAGCCGACCCCATCCCTAGGGTTGTCGGCAGCTGGGAGAACGAGCAAAAAGAGAGTTTGCTTGTCTCTGCCTGGTTTCCATCTTCTAAAGCAACATAAAGAATGAGAAAATAATCTCTCAAAATAAGCTGTAGCTGAACAACACAGACAGGCATGTTCCCAACAGCTCTGTTCACAAGAGCCCAGAAATGGAAACAGCCCAAACATTCATCAGCAGAGAGATGGATAAATAAACCCTGGGGCATTAGGAATATTACACAGCCATGAAAAGGGGCAAGGGGCCAATACATGCAGGGAGGTGAATGGGCCTCAAAACCCTGATGTAGCATGAAAGGAGCCAGCAGTGAAGGCGTGCAGTCCCAAGATCCATGCACAGAAAGTTCTAGGACAGGGAAAACTCAGAGGTGGTGGAAAACAGTGAAGACAGTGGTTGCCCTGGGGGCTGGAGGTGGGAATGGCTGGGGAGGGGCATGAGGGGACTTCCTGAGGGGCATGGTCTGCATCTTGGCAGGTGAAGAGTTGTGCAGCTGTGTGCATTTGCAGATTCATGCGTTTCTTTTTCTCTTTCTTGTTTTTGTTTTTGAGATAGAGTCTCACTCTGTCACCCAGGCTGGAGAGCAGCGGTATGATCTCAGCTCACTGCAACCTCTGCCTCTTGGGTTCAAGCGATTCTCCTGCCTCAGCCTCCCAAGTAGCTAGGATTACAGGGGCGTGCCACCACACCCAGCTAATTTTTGTGTTTTTAGTACAGACAGGGTTTCGCCATGTTGCCCAGGCTGGTCTTGAACTCCTGGCCTCAAGTGATCTACCCAAAGTGCAGGATAAAGCCACCATGCCTGGCCCAGACTCATGCATTTCATTGTATGTCAATTTTTACCTCAAAAGAAAAAAAAAATGTAAACAAATGTCAAACCCTAGTTGATGATAAACTCGCTGAAGTATCGGGGGAAGTGCACACACGTCTGCAGCTTACTTTCAAATGCATCAAAAATAATAAACTAGGTTGTCGGGCGGCGGAGGGTGGAGATGGGCTCAGATGTGTGATGCAGCGTGTGGAGGAGAATGCCCCAGTGTGGAGGAGAATGCCCCAGTTGCATCGAGCTGGTGGGGTGCAGCCGTCACCGTCAAACTCCTCAGCTTTTCCATATGTTCGAATATATTGGTGATAAAATGTTGGGGGAAAATCAGCTGTAAGATGAATACGTAAAGGGCTATTTTTGGAGAGACCTGGGGAACATGCTTCACTGTGGTGATTGCTTGGGAGGCCCTCATAGTCTGGGAGTCCCAGCATCCTGCCGTGGGTGGGACGATCCGATGCAGGCCTTTGATTTCCTGGAGTCTAGACTAGGTGTCAGGTCCTGAGGAGGGGACTGAGGCTATCTACTTCTTTGAACATCCATGATTCTGGTCTTCTAGGATTTTACAGACTAGCTGGGAGGTCAAACACATATAGAGGAAAGAGTTAATTGCCTAAAACTTGGTGTGGGGTAGGAAGGCAGCTGGACTCTGGAGATGGACAGGTGAATGGCCCAGGCAGCTGAGGTCTGAGCATACCAGGCCACAGGGAGCCATGGATGGTTCTTGGGGGAGGGAGGCTGTGAGAGCAGGACTGGGCCCAGTGAGTGATTTGAGGGACCCACAGGGGTGGTGAGGAGGGCCAGAAGCTAGGTAATGGGAGGGGAGGGACAGGAGAGTCCGTGGAGCTGGTGGCCTGGATGTGGGCAGAGGAGAGGGCGCCGGGGCTGAGACTGGACCCCCAGTGCTTCTTGGCTTCTCACAGGCTGGCCCTCTGCGTCCATCTGTGTCTCCTGCCATCTTTGGGCCAGCTGCGTGACCTGGGCACAGAGGGCTTTGCAGCAGAGTGGGGCCGTGTGGCCTGGGGTGCCCGCGGGCTGGGACTCCTTGACACGTGCTCTGGTCCCAACTCCTTGCATCCCTCATGCCCGGAGTGTAGACTGCTCACCTCAAAGAGTTGGCTTAGGAGGGAGGAACCAGTGCCTAGCCAGGCCCCTGGTGGGCTGGGACATGGAGGGCTCCCACCGCTGTGGCCCTGCCCACGCCCACTGTCCTCACGGGCCTCAGTCCTGCGGCTTCCCGCCAGCTTGTTCTCTCCCCCTCAGGCTCCCCCAAATCTGTGTGTTCAACTGAGAGTGGGGACGGGACACTGGCATCACCCTTGGCAGGGAAGGAGTGAGAAGAGAGGACCATAGAAAATGAACATCCTGGGCCGGGTGTGGTGGTTCACGCCTGTAATCCCAGCACTTTGGGAGGCCAAGATGGGTGCATCACGAGGTCAGGAGATCAAGACCATCCTGGTTAACATGGTGAAACCCCGTCTCTACTAAAAATACAAAACTTAGCCAGGCGTGGTGGCGGGCGCCTGTAGTCCCAGCTACTCAGGAGGCTGAAGCAGGAGAATGGTGTGAACCCGGGAGGTGGAGCTTGCAGTGAGCCGAGATCGCGCCACTGTACTCCTGGGTGACAGAGCAAGACTCCATCTCAAAAAAAAAAAAAAAAAAAGAAAAAGAACATCTGGGAGCTTGTGCTGGGGGAACCTGAGAGGACGGGGCCTGGGCAGGTTTGCCCTGACACAGATGCCTGGAGGGCGGGTGAGGGGGCAGTGTACTGGGGGACAGGGAACAAGCCCCGCCCTGCCCAAGCCAGGAAAGCCACCAGGGACTTTCCCACCGAAGCTGTCCGGGACGTTCCCACCACAGCACAGCCCTCAGTGGCTAGACCTGTGGGTCTGTGGAAGCTGGACCTGTGGAGCTGTGGGGCTGACGGGGGTGGAAGTCCATGGTGGGGCTGTGTTCACGGATTATTCCTGAGCTCTGGAGTCTGGAAGTCAGGCTTGCCCACCTGTAGGTGACAGATATCCCTGACAGAGGTGCCCATCCACAGGAGCCTGAACCCCCCATGGGAGCTGCCCGTCTCTAATTTGCACAGATCCCTGACCTCAGGGGCAGCCCTGCTGCCGGGACCTGGCCCCACCTGGTAGGGGTGTGGGCCTTGCCAGCCAAGGGCCTTCTAGGACAGTCTGGCAAGCTAAAGGGCGACCAGCAGGCTCTCAGCCATCAGGAGGACATACAGGGTGGTGGGGAGGGTCTTGCTTTTCACCGCCCCTCCCCAAGCACCAAGGGAGGCCTGTTCAGGGCCCCAGCGAGGGGGAGGGAGCCAAGTCTTCCTCCTTCCCCCTGGCTGCAGTCCTCTCCCAGCAAGGCCACTGTGTCCCTTCCGAGATGAGAAAAGGTCCAGGGGTTAGTGTGCCTGGTGGGAGGGTCAGCCCTTCCCACAGCAGAGCAGATGAAGACCTTCAGCATGATCTGATGGCGATCCTGATGAGCCTTCTCTTTGCCGGGCACGTCCTGTGGGTCAGGCTCCTGCTGAGAATGTGACCTGCAACCTCGGGGCAGCCCCACGACATCCGGGAGGGTAGGTACTGCTCACACCCCCATAGTAGAGATGAGAAAACTGAGGATCCAAGCTGGATCCGGGTCAGAGGCAGAGGGTGCACTGGCTCTGACCCCGGGCTGTCCAACTCCAAACCCGTGCTCTGAAATCCCATCCCATCACCTGGCACTGAGCCTTCACCTGGTCCTCCCATCGTCCAGCCTCCTGTTTCACAGACAAGGAGACCGAGAGCCAAAGATGATAGCCAGTCGTAGAGCTCAGCGTCCAGGCCCTGGCCCACCCTTTCCTGTGCAGTGGGGTCCCCACCACCCCATGTGGCTCCTGCTTTGTCTGTGTCCGCCCCGCGGGGCCCCCTGCGCTCACTCCAGCGGGAGCCCTACAGCTTCTCAGGGGATCGTTAATCCCCGTTAGCACAAGCAAACAAACTCCCCGCTCCATTTATTTCATGGGGCTCCCAATTTAATTAGGTTTCCCAGTTTTCCGCCTGTCCTGGGCCAATCACTCCTTAAAACAGTGGAGAATTCATTTGCACCTGCTGTCAGAAAGCGTCTCTCCCCAGTTAGAAAAATAATTAAGCCATCATCACACATCAGGGGTAATGAATCACCATTTTTCATTCAGTTCGCAGGTCGTTTGTTTTCTTCTGCACTGGCAAAGGAGGTGCAAACTAAATTTGAGCAGCTGCCAAGTGGATCCTGCCTCCCTTGCAGAGCCCCTTCCCTTCTTCTCTCTCCAGAGACCCCTTTTCTCCTTGAGTGGTGCCATGGGGACAGCAGCCTCTGAGCATGCCCAGCTCTGCCTGGGTCCTCCACCCTGGGCTCCTGGTGGTGGGCCACAGATTGTCCCCTGCTTCTGCTCTTTCTCAGGTGTGACTCCCAGGTGGCTGCTCTGCAGGTAACGTGGAAGGTCTCACCTGTAAGAGAGCCGTATGCGGTTCCTGTGGTCACCAGAACGGATGACCACAACTGTGTGGCTTCAACAGCAGCATTTATGCTCTCACAGCTCAGGAGGCCAGAGTCCAGGATCAAGGCAGGGCCGCGCTCCCTCGGGAGGCTGGGGCTGGTGTGTCAAGCTGCTGTATCTGGAGCCGGTCGTCAGACCCACAATGATATCTGAGTGGGTACAGACCGTGAACTGCTGGGCCAGGTGCCCTGGGGCTCATAGAGAGGACGCCCCATGTAGGAACTTACAGACCCGTCACGGAGCAGGCTCAGCGAACGTCCAAACACGGGGCATGGGATCGGGGTGAAGGGAGAAATGAGCTGCGGAATACTGGAGTGTTGTCTCCTTTAAAAGTGAAACAAAAGAAATAGGTTCCCCTCTCCCATTCCCTCCCCTCTCCCTCTGCACTGAAGGCAGGGTCTCACGTGCACACTGGGAACACACACGCAGGACAGGGAATAAGGCGTTTGCATTTTGCAGACTCTCTCAAGGTGGTCTCATTGATTGGCTGATTGGTTGACTGTACCCCTGGATCATGAAGGAGTCGTTTTGGGGGGCTCACTGGCTCTTCTTATTTTTTTGTCTTCCCATTTGGCTTGAAGTTGACCTATTTTAAAGTGGTAGTAGCCCCGTTCTACCACCTGGTGGGGCGCGTGAGCAGCAGCGTGCGCAGGGGCGTGGCTCCCGCCGCTCAGGGCTCCTTTCCGAGAAGCTGGCTGTGAGTGGAACCTGACCGCGGAGCCCCGAAGTTCTTATCTTTCCTTTGATCGTTCCTGTAGGAATTGATCTCCCCTGCCGAACCGCTGTCATTCTAGAAGCAGCTCCAGAAGCGAGCACCAGCGTGGCTGACTGCTCTGCAGGGCAGCACTGGAGAGGCTCTGCGTCTGTGAATTTAAAAATGAACACGCCCGGATCTCTAGCTTTGGAAGTAGGGTTGTGACGACGTGTTTTTCTGTTTTGTCTCGTTTTTGTTCGGAGGAGGATCTCTTGGCACAGGGATGCTAGCTAGGCTGTCTGTAGACACATCCAGGAGCTCCCCAGGTGGCAAGGTGTTGTGGCAGCTTTGTGAGGGGCTGGCCCAGCTTAGGAGAGTGTGGGGACTTCGGTTTTGGCTTCGGAGGTGGCCTGACTGATGCAGAGACCCTCCCAGATCAGGGCAGTGACGGGGCCAACAGGTGCCCCCAAAAAGGGGTGAGTCCAGCTCCCACCTCTCAGTCAACGGGCATTAGAGCAGGAGCTGCTGCATTTGGGACACCCCGCTTACAGCCGCATCTTCCTAGTGTGTCTGAGCCTTCTGCATTCTTAAAACTGTGGTTAATTCGCGGGTCACACGTGAACTCACTTCACCCACCCCCAACACCTTGTGAGGTGGGTGTTATGGGTGAACTGTGTCTCTCTAAGATAAGTTGAAGCGCCAACCTCTGGTACCTGTGAACGTGACCTTATCTGGAAACAGCCTTTGTGGATGTAATCAGGTAAAGATGAGGTCACTAGGGTGAGCCCTAACCCACCATGACCAGTGTCCTTGTAGGAAGACAAAAACGCCGTGTGAAGACACATACAGGAAAAGGCCCCGTGACGGCAGAGGCAGGGTTGGAGAGACTCGGCTACAAGCCCGGGAGCCCCTCGGGTGGCTCCAGAGGCTAAGAAGCCATGAGGAAGAATTCTATCCGGAGTCTCAGCAGGAGCTTGGCCCTGCTGACCCCTTGGTTTGGGGCTCCTGACCTCCAGAATGTGAAGGAAAAAATTCATGTTGCTCTGAGCCACCCAGTTTGTGGCTCCCCTCTGGAGTTCCAGAGCCCCGTGGTGCATTTGTTTCACTGTCAGACTTTTTCCCCACTCCAAACCCCATTCCCCGAGAATCCTGCTCCGATCCTGATCCCAGGGGCAGTGTTGGAAGTGTCTGGAAACCGGTTAAATCAGCAGTGGCTCCACTGTCCCTCCAGCACTCCTGAGAGAATCTGTGGGTAGAGACAAGCAGTGGGTGAACCTGGATATCTCCAGACCTTTCCTGAGTGATGGGAAACGATGTCTAGATTCCAGAGCGGGAGTTAGACTGTCCTGCACTAGCCAGTTAAGGACAACGTTCACTTGGAGAGAAAGCCAGCATTCTTTCCAGCGGCGCGTTCACGCTTGCTGAAGACGGGAGCGCCCGAGGGTCTGTGGTGTCTGCTGCTCCCCGGGGAGGGGCCTCGGCTACATCTGCCTGAGAAGCCAGCAGGAAAAGGTGATGAGAACATCAGAGTTTAAAAACAGGTTTTCATAATGGACATTGTCTTTTGGTTTCAGCAGCACTTTTCCCACAAAATTAAAGGTAGATTTTTTTTGCTTTCTCCTTTGTGACTGCTGGGAGAGCGTGGCCTGCTGGGCCCTGGTGCGGCCACCGTGTGGGATTTTGCTAAATTTGATGACCCCTGATGGTGAAAAGTCCTCCCTGAACCACTGTCTTGAAAAGATGGCAAAAAAAAACCATCCCTGCCCTCCACATGGAACCTGCAGTCACGCCAGGAAAACCCTTCATGAAAGCTGGTGCAATGCTGTCACTCTAATCAGAAGCGCGAGCCGTGCACGGAAGCAAAACTGCTGATTTACCAGCTGTGTGTGTGCGGGCACGCACCTTTGCCTCCCGGTGCCTCGGTTTCCTCATTTGTGAAGCGGGGATAGCCTCACCCACGGTACGCATTTCCTGTGGCCGCTGTAACAAACTGCCACGGACTGGGTGGCTGGAAACACAAGATTTTTTTTTAACATTCTGGAGGTCAGAAGCCCAAAACCAAGGGGTCAGCAGGGCCATGCCCCCTCTGAGACTCCAGGTAGAATCCTCCCCACGGCTTCTTAGCCTCTGGGGGCCGCCAGCCACCCGAGGGGTTCCCGGGCTTGTAGCCGCGTCACTCCAACCCTGCCTCTGCCGTCATGCGTCCTTCTCTCATGCATGTCTTCACACGGTGTTTTCCTCTTCCTACAAGGACACCAGTCATGGTGGGTTAGGGCTCACCCTATGACCTCATCTTTACCTGATTACATCGGCGAAGGCTCTGTTTCCAAAGAAGATCTCGTTCACAGGTACCAGGGGTTTGCGCTTCAACTTATCTTAGAGGGACACAGTTCAGCTGTGCACTGTGTGTGTTGGGTGGGCGAAGTGAGTCCCCAGGTGAAAAGTGGTCAGACTCGTGACTGGCCCCCGGTAAACATCACGTAGATGGCCACTGTGCCCCTGCCCTTACTACTTTATGCACTCACATCTCCCAGGGTAATTCCGCTCTCTCAGCCTCAGCGCTGCTGCTACGTGGGAGCCGCATCGTCGCCCACGGTGGAGGCCGCCCTGTACGCTGCAGGGCATTCAGCAGCACCCCTGGCCTCCACCCACCAGATGCCAGAAGCCCCTCCCTCAGTTACGATGACCAACAATGTCTCCAGACATTGCCACGTGTCCCTCCCCAGGAGGTAAAATTACTCTCGGTGGAGAGCCGCTGACGTGGTTTATGTGGTGTACGTATGTTAAACGCTGACAGATATCGTCAGGCTGTGTCCTCCTGCCAGGCCTCGCCAGTTCACATCCCATAGTGGGTCCCCACATTCTGGGGTGACGGGACACCTTCACCCTTTCCCACTTTTCTGAAACCGTGGTGCAAATTGATGCAATGAAGCCTCGTCTAGGCCAGGAGCGCCTCAGGGCTGGACGCTCCCATACTTGGGGGGCAGTTCTGGGAGTTTCTGCAGGCCTCCTTTCTGGTGCATAATGAGCCTCCCGAGGCCCAGCAGGATCAGGACTGCTCTCAGCACTGCTTGTATTTTCTCTTTCTTGCAAAGCACTAGATTGGGCTCTAATTGCTGCTCAGCTGCAAAGCCCTGACTCTGGGGCCCCGACAAGGCGCCCAGAGCCTCGTTCGGGCTCCGAGTCTTCCTCCTCTTTAAACTCCTGTGATACTGTCTGTACCCTAAAGCTGTCTGGGTGGGGGTGTGCAGGACCGCAGACGAGAATATTCTGAAAATCCGCCGCCGGACAGATTCGTGACGGCGTCTCACGGTGATCCAGGACGGAAAATCCATCTTCCCAGCCCCAGGGCCTCTGTTTGTGGTTGTAGCTTTCGGTGCTGGCATCGAACTGTCAAGGCTGAGACACCTCCCCTGCCCACCGCTGTGGCCTGAGAAAGGTATCCAGAAAAACAGAGGGTTCCCCGACGTCCTGGAGGCCTCCCGGGGGTGGTAACAGGTCCCTGCCGTGACTCCTGTGATGCAGCTGGTTTATCTCAGCCATTGGACCATGTCGTAAAGGAAAAGATGTCAGTGAGGTGTGAGCTGGGCTGCTCTAAATCAGACACTATGGCCAGCTCACCTGGCCCGAAGCTTAAATCTGCCCTAGGTTGATTTTGATGGGAAATGAGGTATGCGAGGAGGCTCTTAATGGGCTTTTCTAAACTTCTGGGGGTGGGGGTCGCACTTTTTTTTTTTTTTTGGGGATGGAGTCCTCCTCTGTTGCCCAGGCTGGAGGGCAGTGGCATTATCTTGGCTCACTGCAACCTCCACCTCCCGGGTTCAAGTGATTCTCCTGCCTCAGACCCCCGAGTAGCTGGGACTACAGGTGTGCGCCACCAGGCCCAGCTAATTTTTTTTTTAAATTTTTTATTTTTAGGAGAGACAGGGTTTCACCATGTTGGCCAGGATGGTTTCGATCTCTTGACCTCATGATCCGCCTGCCTCGGCCTCCCAAAGTGCTGGGATTTCAGGCGTGAGCCACTGCGCCCAGCCCACGCTTCTTAAAAGGATAGTCACTTATTTGAATGTAAATAGTGATGCTATGGCAAGGAAATCCTGCCTGTCCGCGGGGCTGTGGGGAGGCGTCTCCTGGAAACACTGATGCTGTGAAAGTGACAAAGCTGTATTTCTTTATTCCCAAATCCACCCCTTGAGACAGGTCGTCCTTGCAGCCAGGAAGCATTTCCAAGATTCAGGCTCTGCGGCTTAGCCTGGTGCGCGTTCCCTGCCGCTGTGACAGGGGTTCGTTCTCCTTGCAGACTTCCCTACCATGGATGACAGGTCCCACCCTGGCCCGGCTTCACGGACCCGTGACCGGTGGAGGCGCTGGAAGCTGCACTCAGAAGGGATCCAGGCTGGGTTTCATGCCCTGTTGTTGCTGTCTGGGAATTCTGGACAACTTTTTAATGAGGGGATGGTCCCTGCAAATTATGTAGCTGGTCCTGCCCACAGCCTGGGGCCCGAGGGGGACAGCTTTCATCCCTCCGAGCAGTAGGTGGGCCTACCCAGGCCAGCTGGACAATGACAGCCCTCCTGAGTCTGGGTCCCTTTTTTCTCTGGATAATGACGGGGTGGCCAGCACCTGTGAGGATGCCCTCCCACTTAGAGAGCAGGGTGGGCATAGGGCTGGGGAGGGGGTCTCAGGGGGAGTCAGAATAAAATTTGCATTAAGGAAGGAGGTCCTTTCCCCCTTTCTGGAAAGAAACCCTTAATTCTTCTGGTATCATTGTGCTGGAGAAGACAGAGGTTTATTTCAGGGAGTGGGGAGCCCCTTTTCCTTAGGATGCTGCATTTTAAAGGGCAAGGCCAGGATGAGCAGGGAGAGAAGCAAGAGTCCTCGTGGGCAGCAGAGGTCACTTTGCAGCATCTCAGACGCACAGACACAGGGAGCTTCAAGTTTGGGCTTCTCTGTTCTGAGCTCAGCCACACCCTTCTCCCCCGGCTCTGCCCAGTCCAAATTTGATCCAAAAGGGTATCTTTCCTTCCACTGGAGGTCCAGGCAGCCAAGGTGGTAACCAAAAGAAGGTGGGAGGCAGGTTTTGGAGGCAGGGCCCTCCGGCCCCAGGTGGAGACGTGGCTTTGCACCCTGCCCTGTTACTTTTGAGATGCTCAGAGTTCTGGGGAAGGACTCAGGGGCTCAGACATCCTCAGGTCCTGGCAGCTTGAGCATCCAGATGACACCAGACCCGGATCCTGGAACGGAAACCAGTGGCAGGCGGGGCTCCTTGTGTGCACCTTGTTAGTGCACCTGTACCCCAGACCAAGGGTGAGGGATGCCCCATGGCCTAGCTGCAGCCCCGCTGGCAGGTGAGGGTCTACCCCTTCTGCAGGATGCTCTGCTCCCACAGCCAGGAGGGGATCTCAAGCCTCCTGAGTCACCGAGGCAGCCTCAATCCAGGGCTGACGTGATGGGCTCCTGGTCACGTCACGGCTCAGCCACTTGCTGTTGTTGACCTTGGGCAAGGCGCTTCTGCCTTGTGCTTCAGCGTCCTCCTCTGCAAAGCGAAAGACCACCAGTCCCACCCGTTGGGGTTGGGGGAGATGACCCACTGGAAGCCCCTGGATCAGTGCCCGGCACACACTAACTGCCAGGCGGGCGCCAGCTGTCACCATCCAGTGTGAAGGGAACCTCGCTGTCCACTGTAAACCACAGCCCAGAGCTCTTGGCTTGTGTGCTGAGCCTGGCTTAGGAGAGAGGGTCTCAAAGACACCTTTGGCCTCAGTGAGGGTCACCTGTACAAATGGAGCCGTGTGTGGCTCACAGATGTGATGCAGCTTAAGCGAGGCCAGACACATAGCAGGTCCCCAGGAAGTGTGGTTCCTCCCGGCACTGAGCGGTGGTTGGCTCCACTGTGCTCAGTCCAGGTGTGGAATGCCCCATCCCTTAGGAGGGGTCCTCCCAGGCAGGGAGCCAAAGGCTTGCTCAAGATAGAGCCTGCAGCTGTTCTCCACAGAGGCCGCCACACATTGCTGGGTCCGGTGTCAGCTCATCGTGGCTGCAAATGAAACAAAGGGACTAACAAAAACATCTAGCCCTTTGCCACTGATCCTTGAATCCCTGGTCTCCGGCAGAAGGTTGACGGGAGGCCCAGATAGAGCACTGCTTTGCGGGCCTGGATCCCCATCAGTCGCACTGAATGACAGCAGCTGTGGCCACCACTGGGATGGCTGATCCACCTTTAAGGCTGTTCTGGAAGGCTGCACTTAACCCTGGGTTCTCATCCACCCTTCTGGCACCTCCTGACGTCTTGCCGCCTCTCTGCGTCGTCCCACCTGCACACGCCCCGAGCGCCTGTGTTGCGTCTCCAGGCCCTTCTCCTAGCTCTTCTCATATCCCTCTACCTCACTGGGTCACTCATGTAGCGAGGGCCCGGGACGTCTCAGGAGTGGGGCAGAGCTGTGGCTCCAATGAGCCTGGGGTAGTTGAGGAGAGAGATGTGTGGGTCAGTGGGGGCTCAGGCTTCAGTGTTGGAACAATTATCTGTGCAAAGAGACTTGGATAAAGAGGCATGGTCCAAGGCTTCAGACAAGACCATTTAGAGTGGGGGCCATTTGTTTACTCTGTGGACCTGTTTCCAGTTCACGTCCTTCATTTGCTCATCTCGCTGGGAGGACTGTGCGTGCTGCCTTGACTGTCAGCCTCCTGTCCTGGAGTGGATGGAGAAGGACAGGCCCTTGAGGCTGGCGTGGCTTGCTCCATTTTTGGCCAAGCACTAGGGTGCCGGCCTAGGGTGGACATAGAAGCCAGACTGTTTTCCAGGGGGTAAGATGAACCCCACCTGCACTCAGAGGGCCCTGGAGACCCCTGCCCCAGTGGTGGAGATGGGGGCTTGGCTGGGCTCTGGCCTCAGGGTCACTCTGCACTGTGGGGAGTGAGTGTCTCAGTGATCAGGGTGCAGGGTGAGCTCCTCCCTGGACCTGGACACAGTGTCGTCCTTGAGTCCCTCATGCTTTTCCATCCTGGGCCCTCTGTCCATTCTCGCAGATCTCAGCCCACAGGCGAGGGCTCAGATGTGTGTGTGATGACCGATTCAGATGATGTGCGCGGGGACCAACTCAGATGTGCGTGATGATTGGCTCAGACGATGTGCATAGTGACCGGCTCAGATGATGTGTATGATGACGGGCTCGGATGTGCACTGATGACCAGCTCCGATGTGTGTGATGACCAGTTCAGATGATGTGCACGGGGACAGACTCAGATGTGCATGACTGGCTCAGACGATGTGCGTGGTGACCGGCTCAGATGATGTGTATGATGACCGGCTCAGATGTGCATTGATGGCCATCTCTGATGTGTGCGATGAATGGCTCAGATGATGTGCGTGATGACCGGCTCAGATGATGTGTGTGATGACCAGCTCAGATGTGCATGATGACTGGCTCAGATGATGTGCATGATGATGACCAGCTCTGATGTGCATGATGACCAGCTCTGATGTGCGTGATGACCAGCTCAGATGATGTGTATGATGACCGGCTCAGATGTGCGTGATGACCGGCTCAGACGATGTGTGGCGACAGGCTCAGATCATGTGTGTGATGACCGGCTCAGATGTGCATTGATGACCGGCTCCGATGTATGTGATGACTGGCTCAGATGTTCATTGATGACCAGCTCCGATGTGTGTGATGACCCGCTCAGCATCCAGTGTGCTATTGCCCTGGCCAGGAGCAGGAGCAGATTGCCGACCAGGAGCCAGCTCCCAGCAGTGCCAGCCAGCGCCGCGAGGTGGCGCCAGGGACCACACGAACGGAGAGCGTTTCCCTGCGGCTGCTCACTGGCCGGGTCTCCCCTGAGAGGCTTGCTTCGTCCAGCATCTCCCTCCCAGTGTATTGTAACCACGACTCTCCTGTCTTCTAACAAGCAAGTTAGGTGCAGGTGGAAGTGTGGGGTTGGGGTGTGGGTAGGAGAGGTGCCCCAAGCCTCCCTTTCCCCCTGTGCTGCAGCAGGCGGCTACGCGGGTGGAACTGAACTGTGAAACCCCAAATCCGTCTCCATAAAGGTTTTGTGTGTTTGAGAAAAAATGCCTTTGCACTCTGCTATGTTCTATCTCTTGCTCATATCACAGTTCATTGTGTATATTTTACAACTCCTACATATTTTGGGGGCACAGGTGCAATTTTGTTACATGTGCAGACTGTGTAGTGGTCAAGTTGGGGCTTTGGTCTCCATCACGATGCACTTGGAATTGCAAATTTTGGTGGTTCTCTTGCTTGGTAGTTTAGGTTTGGGGAAAGGAAATGTGTGTTCGTTAACTGATAAATATTCCTATTTAGTAAGTACATGTCAGGATAAATGAGAAGGAATCCTTTCTCCTCAGAGAAGCTCTGCAGGAGTCAGTGTCTCAGTCAGCAGCAGCAGGTTATGCTCAGTAACAAACAACCCCACATCAGAGATCTGTAGCAATTGCGGGTTGATTTCTGGCTCATATGCATCTTGGTTCCTGAGGGTGTTGTGCTGTGCTGTTGCCCTCACTCAGGACCCAAGCTCATAGAGCCACTGCCCGATGCTTGCCAGATATCGGGAAGAGAGGGTGTGGTACTGCACACACTGTTGGTTCTGCAAACTTCGGCTGGAAGTGACACCCCTCTGCTCCCATTTTGTTGGGCAAAGCAAGTCACGGGATGGTGCCTAACTTAAGTGGGTGGGAAGGGCAGCTCCCCGTGGCTCCAGCAGGAACAGGAGCCAGGAGATTATGAACAACCTCAGTGACAGCCACAAGACACCTGTACCACCGACATTACCATGCACCTGTGAGTGGCCGGGCCCTGCGCTCACTACCGTGTGAGAGTTAGCTTATGAATCTTCACAACTCCACAATGAAAGACGGTGAAATCACGTGCCCAGGATCACACAGCTAGTAAGTGGCAGGGCTGGAATTCAGGGCCAACTGGCTGCAAGGTCCGTGTGCTGAGCTGCCTCTCTCTGCTGTGTGAGTTTGGATTCTGGAACAATCGTTGGCATAACTAACCACTGAGAAAAGAGACGGGGGTGAGGAGGCTGCCCCAGTTTTCTTTACTGTTAGCTCTGTGATGTGCTGTTGTTGGCTCCATTTCACAGAGGAAGGTGCTGAGGCTAAAAGAGTTTGCCCAAGGTCCCGCAGCGGGTCCGAAGTGCCCGGGCACTATGGGAACCCTGTTGCTTGTCGGTGTCTGTTTCCAAGACGGCAGAAAGCCTGACCATCGCGGGGCCCTGGCGGGAGCGTTGCCATACAAGTTTCCTTCCACCAGGGGGAGCACGTGCCTTCTCAGCAAACCCGCGACCTGTGAGCTTCAGAACCGGGAAGGAGGGGACCTGGGGCTTGTCCAGCCTGGAGCCTTTTTTTTTTAACAGATTCGGAAACCGAGGATCAGAGCGGGGGTGTGCTGTCCCCCAAACACATGCGTACTGGTTCTCGTTGTCATGCATGTTGGTGGTCCTGGTGTCTCCACATACCCCCCACCCTAACTCACACGTGCACACAGACTTTCCTGTGCCCACACACGCTCACACGCACATATATGTGGATGCACAGGCAGGCAAGTACACACGCATGTATGCACATGTGCACGTGTACATGTACCTCACTGGGCCTCATTTCTTCATTCCTAAAACTAAATTCCTAATTCCTAAAAGTGAATCAGCACCTGTGAGGTTGGTTTCGGGTGAGATTAAAATCGGTGGCATTTGCCGTATTTGGGCGGACAAGTCATGAACTTGACATTTTAGATAATAATTCAGGAAGATGTTATGATACCACCCATTATTAAGCAGAGGAGACTGAGGCTCAGAGAAGTTAGGTAACCTGCCCGAGTGTTCACCAATCGTGGGAAGGAGAGCTGAAGCTTGAACCCAGGTGTGCTGGGTTTAAATCCTCCCTTTTTCTCCCCCTGAGACAGCTGGTCATTGAGGGTCAGGTGAGAGGTGCTGGAGCTGAGACCCCAGCTTGGGGGTTGCGCTAAGGAATTTGGATTTCATCCTGCAAGCAGTGGGGAAGTCGCTGACGGTTGAAGAGAAGCTGGAGTTTGATACAGTGGTAGTGAGGTTTTAGAAAAGTTAATCAGACTGTCTGGAAAAAGAGAGGCTGGTATCAGGGAGCCTGGCTGGCAGGGGTTACAGGCCACCAGACCCGAGGTGCGAAGGCTCCCATGGCAGTGGGTAGAAGAGAGACTTTGAAGAGACAGCGAGAAAGCCTTCCAGGGAAGGATCTGTGGGAATCAGGGGGCTGTGGAGAAGAAAGCGGGAAGAGAGAAGGGAGAAGCAGAGCTGGCTTTGGGTGGGTCCAGGAACTCCCTGCCGGCACCCGAGCAGTCCCACCAGGGGCTCATCCCGAGGTGTCTGGGCAGGAAGGTGCCTCCTGGTGAGGGGTTCCGCTGCCTCAACTCTCAGATGCTCCATGCGCTCCTCCAGTTTCCCACTGCCAGGATCCCCACCCTGAACTCGCCTCTGGCAAACTTTGAATGGGCCATGCGTTGGGAGGCCGAGACGGGCAGATTGTCTGAGATAAGGAGTTCGAGACCAGCCTGGCCAACATGGCGAAACCCTGTCTCTACTAAAAATACAAAATTAGCTGGGTTTGGTGGCAGGCGCCTGTAATCCCAGCTACTTGGGAGGCTGAGGCAGGAGAATCACTTGAACCTGAGAGGCAGACGTTGTAGTGAGCCGAGATTGTGCCACTGCACTCCAGCCTGGGCGACAAGAGCGAGACTCCATCTAAAAAAAAAAAAAAAAAGCAGTGGCGCAAAGACTGTATTTCCACGCCGGTTGGACTCTGAGTGCATTTTCCAGCACCAAAGTGGGCAGATGGGGCTGAGCCCCGAATGAGCTGGAACCCGTCACCTGGCCGTGATGGTCGTGATGAAACCACAGCGTGGCAAAGCCAAACTCAGAGTGGAGTCTAAGAAGTCCCCCCGGGATGCTGGTGTCTGCCAGCTAAAGGATTGCAGGATGATGGGGCGGAGGGATGTGTTATTCTAGGAGGACCTCTGGGCACTTGAAAGTCAGTGCAGCGTCCCGGAGGTTGGACACCTCAGAACTCTGTGGACTTGCCCTTCACTGCTGCTGGTCCTCCTCTGTGGACCCAGCCCCTCGGCCGGGTGGCTGGCTACGGAGACCCGGAGGCTGCGGAGACCCGGAGGCTGCGGAGACCCGGCGGCTGCGGAGACCTGGAGGCTACGGAGACCTGGAGGCTGCGGAGACCTGGAGGCTGCGGAGACCTGGAGGCTGCGGAGACCCGGAGGCTACAGAGACCTGGAGGCTGCGGAGACCTGGCTCTGGTTGCTCCAAGGCCTCCTTCTCAGCTGAAACCCTCTCTGCTTTGGAAACAGAAAACGCTAGTCTCCAGCCCTGCAGTATCTGAGCATGGCCCTGGCCCCCTCAGTCTCCTCTCATTCTAAACTGTTGTCTTTTGTGCCTTTGTATAAATTAATTCGTGCTGATGAACCACTGAGCACTGGTTCCCCAAGTACGGTCCCCAGCCTGGAAGTACTGGCATTCCCCAGGAACGTACAAGAAAGGCATGTCGTCTGTCCCACCCCAGATCTCTGGAGTCAGGCAGTCTGGAAACCGGCCCAGCATGCTCATGTGTCATGTGTCGGTAAGGCTGCCCTTACCTGAGTGGAGACCCACTGAGGCCGAGGCAGGGTGGGGGACTCAGTGTTTAACAATAGGCTCTTCCAAAGGAACTAAAGCAGGTTGATGTGTAGCATTTGTCAATTCCCCTGCTGTAAATACCCCCTCAAGGGCTGTCAGCTGCTGTCAGCTGGCTTGTAGAGTTCCTGAAAAGTACGAACCAGCTGCAGCATTACTGACGGGGAGAAGTCAAAAGTCCAGAAAGGGGGCCTCCCAGGGGCAGGAGTGCTCCAGAGAATACCCAGCTACTGTTTATTTGGGCATCTCATTCTAGGGGTCCCCAGACCTTTGTGTTTCTACCCCCAGTCCTCCATATGTCACATAACCACCAACTCTCGTTGCACACCAAAGGGGTGAGTGACCCGAGGTTTGGTGGTTAGTGCTCTCCTGGAAGAGCAGCGAGGGAGAGAGGAAGGGGACCCCAAACTTCAAAAGTGAGTTTCCTCCCCTGTGACGCGGTGCTTGCCACACCGCCCCCCCGCGCCCACCGCTTCGTCCCTCCGTCTCTGTTCTCATTCATGGTCAGTGTGGAGGAAGGATGTAGAGAAAAGGCCATTGGTGGGGCCACGTCTCCCTCTGAAATGCTTATTGCAGGAGGCGAAGGAAGCTGAGAGGCAAGGCCCCAGTTCTAAAGGATTGGAGGGCTTGGCGGCTGGGAGGAGTTAAGGGAATCTGTTCCCTGCCGCTGGGAGAGGATGGTGATCGGTGAGCACAGCTCAGAGATAAGTGGTTAGCGGGCAAGATGAATTATCAGTGGGGCTGTGGTGGCCACCTGTGTGAGTGATGCTTGGCGAGAGGCTCCGGCAGCACCGGGGCATGTGCAGGAGGGGTGGCTGGAGGCGGCTGCTGAGGAGCTGCCACCTGTGTCCTTGCCGGGAACCCTGGCCGGGACGTGGACATCCTCCGTGGCCACTAGAGGGTAGTGCTGCTGCAGGTGGGAACGAGATCCAGCCCGCAGCTGTGCAGTGAGCTTCCTGGAGCAGGGGCGCTCAGAGCCAGCTTAAATCCCCTGTTTTTAAAAGAGATTAGAGATTTATTAAAAATCTTCTCTTTTAAAAATGCCTGCCTTTGGTGACTAAGTAAGGCGCATGCAGGTGGGAAGGCATCTGGACACAGCTGAAAACGATTCCATGTGTGTTGGAAGAAGTAGGGAACAGGCTCCATGCGTGGGGAGATGAGTAACCCTTGACAAAGCTCCCTAAAACAGGATCTTGCACTGGCTCTGCATCCTCGTTCAGCCGTGGTCATGCCTGGGTGCTTTTGAGGCCCTGGAAGGGCCCAACTCCTTGTTCTCTCAAGCTCTTCTGGCCTGGGCATGACTCTTCTGTGATAGAGCCCCCACCCCAGTCACAGCCCATGGAGCACATGGGGGCTGCGTAGTTATGGCCCAGTCTGTGTGGTCAGAGAGCTGCTAACACACATGCACACACACATGCACACACATTTGTATGCACAACCACACATGCACATATACATGTCCACATGCACACACATGCACACGTAGGCACACACACTGCACAGTGCACACATGTACATGCACACAAGTTCATATCCACTTGCATGCACACACACACACACGTACACATTCACACATGCACACACAGGTACACGTTCACACATGCATGTACATGCACACATGTACACATGCACACGCATGTATGCACACTCGTACACACAATCACACACTCTTGCACATGTGCACACACACTGTACAGTGCACACATACCCATGCACACGTTAGTCTGGTCCTGCTCTTGGGGTATGGGTTGGGAAGGAGTGGGCTCTTCCCTTGAACTCCAAGTGCCCAGGCCCCCTGCAGTGTGGTTATGGGTTTTCAGGAGGCAAGAAGAATCTTCCTCCTGCTCCCAGTGAAAGAAGTGGCCCCACTGCACCCAGCCTGGGGGCCCCCAGTCCAACAACATGGCACATAGGCAGTGGTGAGAACCACAGTGAGGCAGAGCTCATGGCCCCTCATTTGTATTTGGCTTGGGGGAGAAGCCTGTCCTCTCTGGCCTCAGCTTTCTCATCCAGCCCATGCGGGCGGTACCAGCCATCTTCCAGTGAAGACGGTGGGACCCTGTGGGCCCTGGCAGTATTTATCCCTAGATCAGGCCCTGCCGGAAAGCTGAGGTTGCTTTTAAAAGACCTGGGACTTGTTTTCAGGGTCTCTGATGAGTGTTCCCCAGAGTGTGTTTGCCTTCATGTTTTGACTCACGCCTGTGAGTTGTTAGAATAATAGGACCGATTTTTCTTAACCTTTAAGGATGCTGGGGTTTTTTTGTGATGAAAAGCACACTCAGATACACAAAACCCTTTACTAGGCTGTATCAGATCAGTTTTTACTGTAGAAACAAATTACTGAAGTCACGCAGTGGAAATGCTGTGTGTAAGCATGAGTGTGGCCAGACCCCATGCTTGGACAGTAGGACTCAGTAAAGACTCTTCTAGAACTCAAGAGGGACCCCAGGGAGCCCTGGGGACCTCTCAAACCCCTGGGTCCTGCTTTCCTGTCCCTGTTCAGTACTAGAGGTACTGGCCTGTGAATGGGGTGGGGAAAATCATGTAAAAAATAGTGAAAAAGAATTCTGCAAGAGCAGAGTTTCTGCCTTCCAGGTATCTACCTTCCAATTCTGAGTTCCATTTTTCTCCTTCATAAGTAGACCTGTCTTCCCAAGTAGACAGCAAATGTCAAAATATGGGGTCCTGCCACATCACACACGGACATGGCTGCTAGGGATGGCCTTCTGCCACTAGGCGGGGTGGGTAGAGACATGAGAACTTAGCCTTCTTAGCAGGCTAGTCAGAAATGTGGTCCTGCTTGGAGTAGGGGGTGGGGCCGGGTAGCCTGGAGGGGCTGGACCCCAAGGGCTGCAGGGAACAGCGGGGCCAAGATGTCGGGTGGGGAAGGAACTCCTTGGGGAAAGGTGCCCGTGGTTGTTGGCCGGGAGCTCACACTGACTCTGGGGAAGGTGTCTGGCTCTGTGGGACCTGGTGGAGAACAGAACACTTGGGGGCTCCTTCCTCTGTCACTCACTGACATCATGGTGATAGTATGAGGGCTCTGGCTTTGGACCCCAGCTTGGATTCCAGCCCTGCCACTCACTAGCTGTCGACTTTGGACTAGTAACTTTCTGGCTCTTATTGAGTTTCCCTATGTGTAAAGTAGTGATGGAGCCCCACCTTTTACAGGAGGTGATGGAGCCCTCACCTATAACGGGAAATCGTGGAGCCTTCATCTATGATGGGAGGTGATGGAGCCTCCTTCTGTCATGGGAGGTGATGGAGCCCCTGTCTGCTGTGGGAGGTGATGGAGCCCCCGTCTGGTGTGGGAGGTTCCTGTCTGCAATGGAGGGTGATGGAGCCTCTTTCTCTAATGGGAGGTGTTGGAACCCCCATCTGTTACAGGAGGTGATGGAGCTCATGTCTGCAATGGAGGATGATGGAGCCTCTTTCTGTAATGGGAGGTGATGGAGCCCCCGTCTGGTGTAGGAGGTTCCTGTCTGCAATGGAGGGTGATGGAGCCTCTTTCTGTAATGGGAGGTGTTGGAACCCCATCTGTTATAGGAAGTAATGGAGCTCCTTCTGTAATGGAGAGTGATGGAGCCCCCATCTGGTGTGGGAGGTGATGGAGCTCCTGTCCGCAATGGAGGGTGATGGAGCCTCTCTCTCTAATGGGAGGTGATGGAACCCCCATCTGTTACAGGAGGTGATGGAGCTCCTGTCTGCAATGGAGGGTGATGGAGCCTCTTTCTGTAATGGGAGGTGTTGGAACCCCATCTGTTACAGGAAGTAATGGAGCTCCTTCTGTAATGGAGAGTGATGGAGCCCCCATCTGTAATAGGAGGTGATAGAGCCTCCTTCTGTTATGGGAGCTGATGGAGCCCGTCTGTCACAGGAGGTACTGGAGCCCCTGTCTGTAACGGGGGTGATAGAACCCACCCAGAGGGCTCACAGAATGAGGGAGCAGCACACGTGGTATTTGAGAGCGAACCTCTGTCTTTGTGACTCACTGAGAGTTCTCAGATGGGCATGGGGGACCAGGCTCAGCCAGCAGCTCTGATCACTGTGGCCAGGAACAGGCACAGCCCCTCCTGCCTGGCAGGACAGGACACCTGTGTTCTTGGGGGCTCGCTGATTGTCCTGCATCCTGCACCCTCGATGGATGATGGTTTCAGGCTCCTCCATGAGCTTCTTGGCAAAGTTGAAGCTCTTCCTTCAGTGACCTTTGTGGGTCTTGCCTGACTTCCCATGGCTGGTAGTGGACATGGGGCCTGGTGTTTCCCTTGCAGCCTCCCCGCCCTGCTGGGTGCTCTGGTTTGAGCTGCCAAGGGCTTCTTTCTGCCTTGTTGTGGGACCCTGGAGAGCTCTCTTCCCAGGCTCTGTCCTCCCCTTCCCGTCTCTGCCCTTCCCAGTTATTTCCCATGCACGTTAGGTGTTTTGGGACAAGCTGCTGATGTTTGTGGCAGGTGGGCCCAAGAGCCAGGGCATTCCTGGGACCCGAGGGGTTTGCAAGGGCCTGGCAGGGGCCGGGAAATGTTGGTCCCACCACAAAGCCCTGCCTCTGAACCAGGCCCTGGAAGGGCAATCTGATGAGGCTCCAGGGACCTTCTGGGCCTCTCCCCAGATAATGCTGGGAGAATTTGGGTGGGCAGCAGCCGGCGTGTAGCTGCCGAAGTTTGGAAGGTCTCCCTCCCCACTGAAACATCCCCCGGAAGATGCGTTTTGCCGCTGGACTCTTGGCCAACAACTGCTAGCCAGTATTTAGATGTGCTGTGTTCAGGGGCCGGTGTGGGTGGGAGCCAGCCTGCCAGCAGCTCCTCCTCCACGGCAGGTGACTGGCCCGCCAGCTGGGTCAGCGCTGGTGTATGAGGCTGCAGCCTGCTTGGGCCTCACCCCTGGCCGTCTGTGGACTTCCCGAGGCATCAACTGTATTGACCGCCTTGGTCCCCAGATGCGCAGGCCTGGGTGGGCCTGAGGAGGGTGCTGGCAGGGCTCCGGCCCCTTGATTCTTGGTGCATCTCTCTTGCATGGGTTTGGAAGCTGGCTTTGCAGATACCACAGAGAGGGGCATTTTGAGGGCAGACGGTTCTCCAGAGTCCAGCCTGCTTAAACCCCCTGTGCAGTCACCCTGCAAGAACACTCTTGGGCCAGGAAATGTACTCCCAGGGAGGTGGACCAGCCCCTTACAAGCAAGTAAGTCTGTTAGGCATAGACAGGGAGGGCGTGGCCAGATGTCCTGTGGGTGGACTTCTCCCCCACAGCCTCTAAGAGCTCCCTCTGAACAGACCTACAGAGAGTGCCTGGCAGTGCGGCCTCCTGGGAGATTCATTACCTTCCTCGCTCCCCTTACCGGGGTCCCCAGAGTGAGTCCTGGAGGCTCAGAAACCCTCTTTGTTTTCCGACATCCCCAGAAAGTGCAGCTCCCCTGCCTGGACCTGCCTGACCTGGCCACAGCCCTCGCCCTGAGCCCGCTGTAGGTGTCCTCTCCTTGCTGTGGGCATGTGGCGGCTGCGAGAACTCACACGAGTCCCGCTTTGCCTCCAGAGTCCAGTCTGACCTTTGAAAGCCTGGCTTCTAGCCCCGTGTCTGGCTTTGGGTCCAAACCCTGAATCTTGCCTTCCCCCACATACCCTGATTGCCCCCCCCTCTGACATTCCTTGCCACATATGGGGGTCCCGGGGGCCACTACACCTCTGAAATAAGAGGCAGGGAATGCCAGGACCCAGTGTTGGCCAGGGAGGCCTCTTTCTGCTCTTCCAGCAGCATCTCCCGGGTGTTGTGTGCCAGGATGGAGGGGCAGGGGACACTGAGCTCCCCAGGCCCTACAGTCATCCAGGGGGTGCCCCTGATCCTCACCCACCAAGCTCTGGGCATTAACCATCATGATTCCCACCACATGTTCTAGTACTTTCCTGACCTTGCACCCACAGAAAGTCCCTAGGAACCCCTCAGGTGTCCCATGCTCTGACTCTGTAAGGGGCACTTTCCACACGTTGGGGCAGGAGGCAGCCATCGGGGGGGTACTCCTCCAGGGATGCGTGTTCCTTCAGCAATGAAATTTAATCAGCAGCAATTAATTCTCTGTCAAGAAAGCCCAAGATTTTGTGCTGGAAGGGGAGAAAAAGTGACTAAATCTTTGATCAAACAAGTCTCTGTGCTGAAGGGTAGATACAGTTAACTACTTTTACTGGTGCACCGCCGCGGCCGTGGGGTGGTGGAGGGTGCCTTTGCACCTTCTTGGGCCGCTTGGGGAGGCAGTGGTCACGTGGCCAGCCGTGTTAGACCCTCTAGACAACAGCCTGTCCTGGGGAGAGGCCGGACAACCTGGGTGAAGGAGGCGAGGGGTGGCTGGAAGCCCCCAGGCAGGCTGTGTGATGTGATATTGTCCCTGGTCTATGGATACACCCCTTTTCCCATCCTCTTCTGTGCTGTGATCTCAAGAGGACAATAATCAGATACTGGACCCCAGGGCTCTGGTGAAGGCTGCGGTATTGATTCTACACACTGTGTGTGTGTGTGTGTGTGTGTGTGTGTGTGTGTGTGTGTGTTTGAGAGGCAGAGATTGATTGATTTGGAAATGTGCCCACACAGCCCCAGAAAATGTGGTCCTAATAGCTAAAGCCCATCGTTAAGAAAATTTAAACCAGCCATTCAAGTTAGTCACCCTGGCCTCCCCACCCTAAACCTCATTAAGAGGTCAGCAAGGTTCTGGAAATGCCCCATTCAGGCTCCCCTGATGGCATCCACCAGCAAGCACCCAAAGCATGGACGCCAGGATGGCAGGAGCCCTGTTCCTTTTGCATCAGGCTGCAAGGAGCCTGGGAGGCGATAGGCAAGAGGGCGCTGCCCAGGACCACATTGGGTGAATGGCATTCAGAAGCTGTTTGCGAGGATGCTGGCACTGAAGCCTTGGAAATGCGCGTGAGTGTGGTTGTGGCCAATCTGGTCAGGTCTTTGGTTCAAAGAAAGGGTTGCCCATGACCGCAAGGGTTGGCTTCCCCAGCAAGCACATGTGGAACCAGTTCACAGGGGCCCCGCCTGCCCGTGTCAGCCTTTCTGGCTCCTGCCCTAGAGGACATGGGAAACAGGTTTGCCCAAGAACCCCCTGAGGAGTAACCACGTGCCGCCCAACACAGGCTGCTCTTGGGAAAGTACACTTTTTGCCACTGTCATGACAAGATACAGGCTGTTTGGTAACGCAGTTGGTGGGACACAAGGAAGGCTTAGCCCCCAACCTGGAGTGGTCTAGAGCCCCCCATCCCTGCAGGGATGCAGTGGAAGCCTGGGCAGTGGATGCTGCTGTCCTGACAACTGGTTTCCATGGACAGCAGATGAACGAGTGCCTGGTGCCCAAAGCTTGCTTCAGTGAATGTGACCATCGTCTCCCGTTGGGTGGTGGCACAAGAGCCCCAGAGAAACTGAGTCTGGGTGGCTGGGTATGGCTAGGCCACCCCAGGGTGAGATCTGAAGCCCAGCACGGTCTCCTATTCTGTGGGTCCCGCAGTGTGTGAGTTTAGTCTTTCTGGACCTTTTCTGCCATGCCCTGGGGGGCTCTGTTGGCGGCTGCTGTTGGAAGGGTATCGGAGTGCATGGAGCACTGAGCTGTCCTTGGAGACGTTTTGTCAAATATGTTTTGTGATGATGGTGACACCGGGTTTCGGTTTTATTTCCTCAGTGCACCCCTGGGCCCCGCTGAGAGGCTGGTTCCCTTCTGTCTGCGTTTCCAAATAACCTCCTCCTGGGGCTCTCAAGTCCAGGGAGGGAGCTGCAACATTTGGAGATGGGAAAGGAAGGCGCTGAGGCCTGCCTGGGAGACTGCTGGCTGCTGAGGGGCCCTCAGAGTTCAGAAAATGGGAAAAGAGGGGTGATTCCCCTAGCAGGAGAGTCCTGCCCCCAACTCTGCCCCTACCTCAATAACAGATCGAAGTCGTACAAGGTGGTCAGTTTATTCACACACCAAGTGCCTGTTCCGCACAGCTGGATGCCAGGCCCGGTGTGTGGGTTGAGGGGAACATGGACACCAGAAGATGCCCTGCCTGACCGGCCCTAACACGTCTGTGGCCCAGGATGCGCTGTCTGACACGGCAGCCCCGAGCCCCGGGGAGCTCCTCAGCACTCACAGTGCAGCCAGAGAGGTGCTGTGATGGGGACACACGCGCTGGGCTTCAAAGACTCCGTACAAAGAAAAACATGTACACCATCTCATGCATGGTTTTTACATTGATCACATGTCGACCTGACAATGTTTAGAATGTATCAGGTTAAGTGAAAAAAATTAACATGAATCTCACGTGTTTCTTTTTACTTTTTTTTTTTTTTTGAGACAGAGTCTTGCTCTGTCATCCAGGCTGGAATGCAGTGGCGGGATCTTGGCTCATTGCAACCTCCGCCTCCCAGCTTCAAGCGATTCTCCTGCCTCAGCCTCCTGAGTAGCTGGAACCACAGGCACACACCACCATGCCCGGCTAATTTTTGTAATTTCAGTAGAAACGGGGTTTCACCGTGTTAGTTAGGATGGTCTTGATCTCCTGACCTCATGATTCGCCCACCTCAGCCTCTCAAAGTGCTGGGATTACAGGCATGAGCCACTGCACCTGGCCTCTTTTTACCTTCTTAATGTGACTACTGGGAAATATAAAATTATATGTGTGGCTCCCTTGCATTTCCACGGGACAGAGCTGGTCTTGGGGCAGCAATGTCTGCCGACACAGGTGCCTCGTGGAGCGACGTCCAAATACGGAAGTGCTCGTGGAGGTGTTTAGAAAGTGTGGTGGAGGCTGGAGGTGTTTAGAAAGTGTGGTGGCAGGGCACCAGAGCACGCAGGTAGAACCCAGGCTCCTGTTCTGTTGAGGGCCACTGTGGATCCATTGCTCACCAAATGCATCCAAAATGCTCAGCTTGGTTCTCAGTGCAAAGCTGGTGCCCCACGATTTCCAGCCCCTTCTCCTGAGTGCCTGCCCCTCACCCATTTTTCTCCCATTTCCAAAGGACAAATGCTGCAGTAAACGGTCCCTGCTCTCTGGCTCAGCATCTAGGAAAGGCTTCCAAGAGGCCAAGGAGGCTCTGGGCAGACCCCAGGGGTTGTGCAGCCCTCTCCCAGGCCAGGGGCGCTGACAGCCAGGGCCACGGTCAGCAGGTCCAGGCTAGGGCCCTTCATTGTGAATGCACAGCCTGTCGGCCACCTTCACAAGAGCCTTGGATAAAGTGTTCCTGTGAAGAAGATAATTGAAAATTAAAAAAGACTTTGTTAATTTGATTAGGCAGAGCCGTAGTTGAATTGTTCTTCATCAAAAGAGATTTAATTTTGACATGCAATTAAATCCTTCTGCTGTAAGATCTGCCCCGTGTGCTGGAGATGGGCTTGGCAGCCTGGGGGAGGGGTGGCAAGGGGGGGATTGTGGAGATTTGTTAGGTGGGGGAGCCAGACGGGGAGGGTTAGAGATGCTGAGGGTTGGGGGAAAGATGGAGATGATGGCCATGCGGTCATGGACTAGGAGAGGAAGGGGCTGCAGTGGGGCTGTGGGAGGTGACTAACAGAGGGACTCAAAGAGGGATGGAGGGGAAGAATTTGGAAGAGAAGCAGAACAGCAGAGCCGGGGATGTGCGGACAGGGAGGGAGAAGCTGTACCAAGGAGGGTGCGGGAGAGGCCGCGGCAGGAGGAGCTGCAGGACGCACATGCAGACTCGTGCGGGCCTGAGAGCCGCTCTGTGCTTCTTAGGTGGGTAACTAGAGGGAGGGGACTGTAGGTCACATGTGAGGACCCGGATGGCATCTTGGGGGCCTGAAATCATGAAACACCCTGGAGTCCGATCTGGACCGGGAATTGGATGTGAGGGAAGCCATCTTCGGGGGCGCAGATGAGTCCATCCGGGATTTGCGGGGGCTGAGCTGTGTGGCCCTCACCACAAGCGCAGTGTAGCCCTGGAGCCAGCTTCCCGCCTGGAACGCCGGCCCCTGAGAGGCTGAGTCTCCGAGGTCCCTGCTCACCCGTGTTCATTCTTTCAAGGCCAGGGTGTAATTCTCTCTGGTTAAAATGATAGTGGTGTTTGACCAAAACAGCCATCCGTGCTTAATGTAGAAAATCCAGGACATTGAGAAAGGTGTGAAGATGGAGACAAGTGTGTGTCTCCCTTAGGTGAACGAGGGAGGACCTTAAAACAAAACGAAAACGGGGTAGAATCAGAACACACCCCTTCTTCGACTTTTCCATTCATAGGAGGATTTTGTGAGCTCTCGGAAGTAGGAGGTCATCCCCGAGACCTGAGTCCCCAGGGCAGGCAAGGAGTCGGGAATTCTGGCAGTGACCCCACAATGTGCGGGCCCATCCTGAGCCCTGGGAGTGAAACAGGCAAACCCTTATTTGCGTGGAGCTGAGCAGCCACAAATAAGCAAGCGCATGGCTGGCTCACCCCGACGCGTGCCATGGGACGGTTGCCCTCCTGTGCCAGGATGGGGCTGGGAGTGGCAGAGGTGGTGGAACGTGTCCATCAGGCTTGGGATGGACATCGCCCCTGTGACAGCTTCCCCAGTTGAGAATCCCCCTCCCCAGGAGGCATGGCCAGAGTCAGACCCAGGGCTGGGACACGGAACCCAGGCTCCTACCCGCTTTCCGAAGCTTGTGCAGCCTGGACGGGGCCTCTGGGCCCTGGGGCTGGAGCAGAGGCAAATAGCAGGTGCCGGTGACCAGACTCCCCACCCCTGTACCCACTGTGCGGCTGTGGAGAGCAGGATCCATGTTCCCTGCCAGCCTTTCAGTGGGGAAAGGGTTCCGGGGGCGAGGCTGAGATCAATGTGCTGTGATTAGCAAATGTTATCCATTAGCCCCTACTGGAGAAACTTGGGGTAATTGTGTGAAGTAGCTGCATTAACATGGGACACAGCCTGGCTCCCAGGTGAGGCTGGGGGACAGGAGAGTGCAGAGCAGGAGAGCGAGAGGAGGTTTCTTTTTCCGGGCCCCCCACACAGCCCCAGCACCTGGGAGGTTCTGTCCCGGGCTCAGCCCACCCATCCGAACCCTGTCCTTGGCTTCCTGGGGTCTGTGAACACAATCCCAAAAGGGCGGCCACGGGTTATGTCCTAGCGAGTCCGACACCTGGGCAAGTGCGATATTTTTTAATGCTCTCAATCGTATTATTTAAATATATCCTCTACCTGTTCTTGGGATGGAAGTTATGGTCTGGGGCATGCCTGTGTCTAACTCATGTGTTACTAAAGTGGGATCCCCCTCATGAAGCTAGTCCAGGCTCCAGAAAGGGAGTCAGCTGCTCTGTCCCTTTCTCTGAGCCCCTCTTGGACTCTTCTAGGAGAAGAGTCTTCTAGGACCAGTGGGAGAGGCTCAGTTCTTTGTGTCCAGAGTGGTGATGAGGGCTAAGCCCCTACGGGGAGGCTCGGTGCTTTCCAGGGCTCTGGGCTCGGTGGAGACCCGCTGGGACCCCTGATGCGCCCCCCCTATGAGATGGATGTGCTCTCAGAGGCTGTGTTGGGAGTCACGGGGTCCGGGCACTTGTGCCTTCACAATCCGCTTCCTCCATAAAGAAATATTATAGTTTGTGACTGCATTGGTATAAAAATGAATATATTCCTATCCTATATTAAGACACTTTCCCTAACCTAAAAGTTTATTCTGTTTTTAAAATAAATGAAAGTATTTGTATGGGCCCTGGGCCTGACGGAGATATGCCCTGCCCCCTCTCTAGAGTGCTGGGAATTCTCAGGTGACCCAGTCCCGCAGGCAGCCAAGTGCCCACACATTTCCAGGCTGCCCTCCACCAGGGCAGCGACCTCGGGTCACCAGGGACACGCACACCTAGAAAGCCGTGGGCTTCTGCAGTTTCCAAAGGGATGCAGGGCAGAGGGGCAAATAAAGGACCCCAAGCGGTGTCCCAAGCCCCTGATTACAATGCTGGCACTCAGAAGCTCGATGCCCCTCCCCCGTGGACACAATGCCGTTCTGGCTCCCTGCTCCGGCTGTCACCGTGGAACCGCCTGAGTGCAGCTCTGCGTCCTACCAAAGGGGAGTTCCTCGGCCGCCGCACCTACAGCATGGGTGCGATGGAGCTGTCAGGAGGATGTCACCAACTCGGAGTGATGTCGCTGAGCATGGTGTGTGTGTGTGCGTGCGCATGCCCACGTGCATGTGTTTCTGTTTACAGGTGGGTGTGCATGTCTGTGTGTGTATGAGTGTGTGTGTCTCCACATGGATGTGTTTCCGTTTACAAGTGGGTGTGCATGTCTGTGTGTAAGAGTGCCTGTGTCTCCGTGTGCACGTGTCCATGCAGGGCTCTGTATGCGTCTCTGTGTAATTATGTCTGTATGCATCTGTGGTCCACGTCTCTGCATCTCTGTGCGTCTGTGTAGTGTGTGTGTATCTTTGTGTACACGTGTGCTCTGTGTGTCTAGACAAATATGCAAGACCAGCTGGGCAGTGGAAAGCCAGAGCCATGCCCCAGAAGTAGCCTAATTAGGAAAAGGAGTCTCTAGAAGGAGGGATATTTTGTATTTTGGTCTAGGGTGTTTTGCCCACTGCGGTTTCTCTAAGAACAACACGGAACACCCCCAAACTCAACCTGCAAGCAGGCTGGAGGGAGCAGCGAGCCTTGGTCCTCAGGAGGTACTGGCGGGAGGGCAGGTGTCGGGCTCCAGGCTGGGGTGGCACTGAGCAAGGGAGAAGAGAATGGGGGCTTCCCAACCTCCCACATCTCGGGGTTCCAGGGAGGTGAAAATGGAACCCTGAGAAACCAGATTGTCCTTGTGCTCACGATGTCTCCACAGTGGAGAGACAGAAAAGCGAACAGGTGAAAGAAGCACCCCCATCCCCCTGCGAGCCTCCCCACCTGCTGAAAACAAGGTCCTCAACTCATGGTCACTGGACCTGGAATCTGCACCCCTCCTCTTCCTCCAGCCCCCGTGCGGCCCTGGCTGCAAGACAGCAGCTCCCACTCCTGAGAGCTGAGCAAACACGCAGTGGGCTGGGCCGGGGATGCCCTGGTAATTTAATTGAGTCAATTTGCTCACGGTGGAATATGACTTCTCTTACAATATTTTGAAAAAGAATTCAGCTGAACACTTGGCTGTGTGTGTTTTGGGGTGGGGGTTCCCACCTGAGGCCCAGCTTTCTTCATGTTGGCAGCTCCAGTCTCCCCAGTATCTGCAGAGAGAGGGTCCTGCGGGTGCCTGGCCGGCCCCTGCCACCCCCACCTTCCCTCTCCACCCACACCTCCTCTTTGCTTGTGACCCATGACTGGGAAGGCAGCTTCAGGAACAGAGACCGGACTTTCTCTCTCCTTTCCAAGTGGGGCCAAAAATGGGAGGAAATCATTTCATTCCAACCAGTCGATTCCAGGCTGGGAGTCCCTGGGACCAGTGGACAGAGACAAACCTGGAGAAGGCAGTCTCCTCGCCCAGGGGCTGCTGGAGAAAGGAAGGAGGGGGTGTTGACTTGGGGGACACAGGGCCACCATGCTGCCTGGGAGGGGGTCGGCTGGGCTCTGGGGCATTCAGACTCCACATCTGGGCATGATCAGGACGAGAATCGTCTCTACATTTATTGTGCTTTCACTGTGTGCTGGAAATGGATCTTCATATTCTACAAACAGAATCTCACTAAATCCCTGCTCCACACTGTGAGGGAAGCACAACTGCACTCCCCGTTTTACAGCCAAGGAAACTGAAGCACAAAGAAGCTAAATAACTTGCCCGAGGCCACACAGCTGGTGTGGGGCAGGGCCAGGATTGGAACCCAGGCACCCGGAAGCAGGCAGGCTCACCTTGTCATGGACCTGACGGTGAGGGGCCGTGTCCTGCAGCCTCTGGGCTCAGCGGCCCCTTTCAAAGGAGGGGTTTCATGCTGGCAGTGAGGTTGAATTGGGTATCAGAGTTGTGCCCCTTATGGCCTCCAAGGGGGCAACTCCATCCCCTCTCACCCCACCTCCATCACTGCAGCCACTTGCCCGAGTCTGCTCAGCCCCCAGAAACTTTTTGCACACCTGTGTGTCCCACCCTGAGTTGAGATGGCAACAAGGTGGCAGAGAGCTCTCCCAGAACGCTGCTCCCTCCCCAGAGCCCAGCACGTCACCCTGCTTCTGGGGCCTCCCCTGGGGGCCGAGAGTATGTTATCCCTGATTACCCTCAACACTCCCCAAATACACACCCTCAACATCCCCAGCACTGAAGAGCTTCGTGTGTGTGTGTGTGTGTGTGTGTGTGTGTGTGTGTGTGTGTCTTCTGTCTTCCTAACTGGACCAGCAGCTTCTTAGAGGGAGGGCCCTGTCCCCTCTTTACCCATCCAGCCTTCCACAAGTCTCTGCAGCGTGGGTTGATCCATAATCAAGGCTTGTTGACCAGCTGCCTGGGAAATGATTTTCCTTCACTGACTCTTCTCTGGAATCTCCTGGAGGAAACTTGTCTTGACCAAATGACGGGATTTAGGAGGACCGTGTTCCTGCTCCCGGGGATGTCACATTACTGTAGGAACACAGGGTGTCATTCAATGGCAGGGACCTGGTGTGCTGGCTCTTGGCGAGCCCAGGGGACCAGGATCTGGCAAGGTGAGGAGAGTGGTGCCCTTAGGCTGGTGGAGCGGCAGGGGAAGGGAGGTGGGTAGGGCTGGGGCAGGAGGGAGAGAGGGAAGCAGCCGCAGCTTGGGGCTCTGGGAAGAAGGAAGCCACTGGGCTGAGAGGAGCAAGGGCTGTGGATGTTGCCTGGAAATAGAGTAAATAGAGTTTCTTTCAATCAAATCATATTTTAAATGCACTGGGGGAGGCTCAGTCTGTAAAGAAGTCTTGCCAGAAATCTTTCCCAGAAAATAACCCTTTTGCTAAAGGCAAAAACACTTTCCTTAAGTTATCTGTTTTGATATGGAGTGTTCTTAAAAGCCAGGCACACCTACACGTGTGAAAACAAGGAGAAAGCCCGCAAACATGCGAACGGAGCCTCAAGCGTGTACACATGTGCCGTGCGTGTGCCAACCTCGCTGCGTGTACCTGGGCGCAGCCAGCTCTCGCATTTTCTCATCAGTCTGGTTCAATTTAAATTAAAGCAAATGTTGAAAGCCCTCCCTTCCAGGTTTTATTTGCTGCCCTAAGTCTTCAGCAGCAACTCATTAGCTTAATGGGTTTTCTTAATTCTCATCTATTAGCAGATCCTGTTTCTGCATGGAAAGCCGGTCCTTTCCAAAGAAGAAAGGCTCAGCCTTGTTCTACCTGGACACAGAGCAGCCTGCCCCCGCACCACCACCCACACACCAGCCCCCTCGCCTGGAAACCCCTCTGGGAGATGGTGGTCCCTTGCCCTGGGAAGCTGCGGCTTCTCGTCTTTACTTCTCTCACGCCCACTCTCCTCGTCAGCCCCTCCTCTCCCTGGAATCTGCTCCATGTAGAGGAAGCAGCTGCACCAGGTGCTTAGAAAACTCATCACAAAGCCAGGCGAGGTGGCTCACGCCTGTAATCGCCGCACTTTGGGAGGCCGAGGCAGGTGGATCACCTGAGGTCAGGAGTGCGAGACCAGCCTGGCCAACATGGCGAAACCCCGTCTCTACTAAAAGTCCAAAAATTAGCTGGGCTAATTATTAGGTGGGCCCCTGTAATCCCAGCTACTCAGGAGGCTGAGTCAGGAGAATCGCTTGAACCCTGGAGACGGAAGTTGCAGTGAGCCGAGATCGCGCCACTGCACACCAGCCTGGGCGACAAGAGTGAGACTCAGTCTCAAAACAAAAACAAAAACAAAAAAAGAAAACTCATCACAAAACCGTAGGGAGATGGGAGGAAACTGGTCCCTGCGCTCAGCCTGCCCTGGAGGAAGGAGGTTGTGTCCTTCCAGGGTGGCCCGTGACTTGCTGGGCAGGTGGTAGGCCCGGCTCCTGCTCGGGGGTTGAGGGGGAGCTCTGTCCAGGAGAAAGCAGCCGTGTGGAACTCACACATAAAAATGATGCTGGCACCCCAGGGGCCTCCAGTGTGGGCTGTAAAACCACCGAGACAGATTCAGGCCAGCAGGCGTCAAGTCCTCAGATGGAGTGTTTGCGAAATGCTCAGATGTGTGTTCAGGTAAGCACCCGTCTGGCCCCTCTGACCCATTTCACAGAGCACTTTGGAGAAAGGATTTCAGGTGTGTTCTGAATGGAGCCAGGATGGGTTCAGGCTGGTGCTGCCATTCATGATCAGAGGCTCTGAGCACGTGACATGCTCCCACGCCCAGCCCGAGTGCCTGGTAGGGTTGGGCTGGGTCCTTGGCAAGCCCCCTTCCCTCTCTGAGCTTCATTTTCTCCAAATGGAAATGTGGGGAGAGGTGTCGACTAGGCCCTTAAGGAGCTGGAGTTGAGTATGTATGTGTGGGGGCCGTAGGGGTGGGGAGGACAGAGGGAAGAACTTGGAGGGGTTCATGGACCTGAGGCCTGGGCCACAGCTGGGGGAGTCCGGTGCATTTGTAACACATGGAAATGGGGTTGGAATCAACCTGCTCCCCTGCCGTCACCCCTGTCTCTGCAAGCTTTGGAGGCCAGGCCTCTGCCCCACCTGCTGAGAGGCGACGTGAGCTTCCTCTTCCGAGGAGTGAGATAAAAGTCCAGTGGGCCGGCCCCATCCACCCTGGGCTGGGCTCTAATTGCTGGCCCTTGTTCCTTATCAGCCCCTGACTCCTGCCAGTCCCCGCCCACCTTCTGCCCTGTCTTGCTCTGCGTTATAGACTCATTTCACGCAATTGCACCAGAAAAATCTCAGGAACAGACTCATGTTTTCTGTCAGCTTCCCCCAGCACACCTGCGGCCAGTTGGACACGCAGCTCTACCTCTATGCTGGTTCCTCCTGATGCCCACGCAAAGGTGGGCAACAGTCCCTGCCCAGACTCCCCTTTTTCTGGAGCATGAGAAGGGTTAATCAGGTGTGTCTCACACGTCTGTCCCTGCCCTGCCCCTGTGGGTGGGGAGGAAGTCCCCAGGAAACATGGGGGAGCTGACATCCCAGAGCCTCCAGCCAGGAGACTGGGCTGAGCTAGGCTGTTCATCCTGGCAGGGATCTGGGGGGGATTTAGAATGGAGAAAGACCCGCAGGGGTGGGAGCCCGGGCCAGGCCTGGCCTTGGGAGCATCCATCACACAGAGGCGGAGCCATGGACTGGCCCATAAGTCCAGGGGGGAGACATAAAACTGGGGGGTCATAAGACTGAGGAGAGCCATAGGATGGGGGAGCCCATAGGGCTTAGGGGGATCCACAGGATGGGGAGGTGGGGCCTGTAGGACCTGGGAGGAGACATAGGATGGGGGGGATTTGACAGGGGGGGGTCTATAGTATAGAGGGGCTATAGGACCCAGGGGAGCCATAGGATTGCCGGGGATAGTATGGGGAGGCCATAGGACAGGCTGGGGAGCCAGCTGACAGAGTCCTGCGGGCAGGCAGTGCTGTCCGGGGCAGGCTGTTCCTGGGGAAGGAGCCCTCACAGCACCGGGCAGCGCATTGCTGAGGGCTGCCGTGGCCACAGTCATCCTCGCAGTTACTGGCGTTTAGAGGGTGCATTCACCGTGCTAGGCCCAAATGAAGCGTCTGCGAGGAGGGTCTCCTCGAACCTGCCTGTAACTGAAGCGTCTGCGGGGAGGGTCTCCCCGAACCTGCCTGTGGGCTGTGGTTGCTCTGCACCTCTCCTTGGCCTGCTTAGGAGCCTCGATCCTCTGATCCTGGTTTTGGTATGAATTGAACAATGCTTTCTGCGGGGACAGCCAGCTCCCCATCTCAGTGTCGTGACACAGCAGAGACACGCTTCTCACCATGCCAGGTCCCTCAGGGCACGGCTGACCAGGGCGAGGCTCTGCTCCCAAGGGTGACCCCAAGCCCCAGTCCCTCCCACTTGCAGGATCTGCCATCTTTAACACGTGGTTTCCACATTTTCGAGAAGAGGAAAGAGCGTGAGGGCTGCTGGGGGTGTCCTGGAGATGACACGTGTCCCCCCACCACATTTGGTTGGTGGGACCTTCCTCATCGAGTGGCCCCTAACCCTAGGGACTGCTGGACACTCTGGGCGTCTCGATTTTCTCTTTAAACAGAGTGGTGTCAGGAGCAGCAAGGAGTGCTCTGCCTTCAGGAGCCAAAGCCCCTGATAGACTGCATGGGGTCTATGGAGCCCAGCAACAAGGGCCACTCTGCAGCCAGGGAGCTCTTGCCCCCACAGGGAGCAGGAAAGGGGAGGGCGAGCATGGGCACTCAGCTGAGGAAGACGGAAGCCCTGGGCTCCTCTGGAATCTGGCCACGGGCAAAGCTTCCTCATTTGTTCTAAAGCAGCAAGATATTCACAGCCCTTCGGATGTGCCCATTTCACAGTGGAACGTACCAGAACCTTCCAAACCCAGGTGCCCAGGCAGAGCAAAGTGGGGTTAATCTGCCCCATGGAGGCAACAGGGCCGCCACTGTGGCCCCTCGCCATGGTCCCTCAGTGAAGAAAGGCAGAGAAGGAGGTCCCAGGCCCCAGTGCAGAGCAGGTGGCCCAGGGACACCCAGACAGGAGGAGGGACACCGTGCTGGCCTGGGAAGCCACCCCACCGTGCATGCCTCCCCAAGTCCCCTGCCGTGCATGTCCCCCTTCCCTCCCTAACCCCCTACCGGGGGAGGAGAGGAAAGGTGCCTTCCCAGTCACAAGCACCTGCTGGGAGCTCCAGGTGTTCTTGGCTTGGCCCCACATGGGGGCACTGGTTTCTCCAGATAAGGTGCTTGGCCCTGGGAACTAAGGACCCAGAGAAGCATGTGTGTGCATGTGCCTGTGTGCATATGTGAGTGAGCTTGTGTGTGAGTGAGTGTGACTGCAAGTCAAGGTGTATGCATGAGACATGTGCGTGTGTATGTGAGCGTAGGCCTGTGTGTGTTAGTGAGCACGTATGTGTTAGTGTATGTGACCGTGCATTTCAGGGTGTATGAGAGATGTGTACATGTGTGTGCCTGTGTGAGTGAGCACACATATGTATGTATGTTAGTGTATGTGACTGTGCATGTCAGGGTGTATGAGAGACGTGTACGTGTGTGTGCCTGTGTGAGTGAGCACACATGTATGTATGTTAGTGTATGTGTGCATTTCAGGGTGTACCAGAGACGTGTACGTGTGTGTGCCTGTGTGAGTGAGCACGTGTGTGAGTGTATGTTAGTATGTGACTGTGCACATCAGGGTGTGTGCATGTGTATGTGAGCATGTGAGCATGGTCGGATGTGTCCACCTTGGCCACAGCATTGAGGTGGCAGCAAGTGCATTCTGCAAGTGTCAAGTGAGGCCCTGGGTGGGGCTCAGGCACTGGGTGGGGCTCTGGCCCTGCTGGGAATGGGAGGGCTGCACACGTGGCAACCCGGGCAGAGTGGTGTCTCCAGCTTTGCTTCCTTGGGGAATCTATCTGGAAGATTTTCTGACGTCCAAGTGCTGTCAGTGACTTCTTTCCTCTTGGCTCTGTGAGCGTTGGCTCCTGGTGAGAGAGGTGCTCTGGTGATGATGGGGTTGGCACCAAGACCTGGTCACCACAGAGCAGGGAGCATCAGGAAGGGCTGGAAGCCAGCGAGGCCCCAGGTGTGAACTCCCTTGCTGGCCAAGAGCCTTCTCTTTGGTGGGATCCCAAACTCCATCTAACGAAGGGCGTCTGGTGGGGCTTAGAGGAGAAATGTGCACCTGCAGCCCAGTGCTCACCCTCAGCCAAGGCCACTCTGCACCGACGTAGCTGGAATTCTCTCTCCGTGGGAGCTTCTTTGAGAGGGAAAGAGGGGACAGGAGGGACAAGGCCAGGGGATAGACACTCAGATGTTTGACCAAATCTCCATCCATCAGGGCGGGCAGATGATCTTTCCCGAGGCTGCAGAGAGAGCCTGAGCTGGGGTGGCACCAGGAGCTGCAGGACCTGAAAGGCCCTCTAGGGAGAGGGGAGGCAACAGCAGTGAAGAATCACCTGGAGACACACGTGGGCTCCCAAGGCCATTGCGGGCAGAACTGACCAAGATGGTGGTGGCAGGGGAGCGGCTTTCAACGCTAACCAGAGCAACACCAACCATGCCCCAGAACACACACCCAGAGTTTGGGGTGGCAGGAAGGGAAAGGCCTGGGAGGAGGCGCCTTGTGTATGCCTGGTGTTCGAGGGGATCCCCAGACAAGCCCTGTCTTGCTAAGGCCATTTGAGTTCTGGGGGTGAAAACAGCAAACCCTCCGAAACGCGTGTCCTTTGCCCCCAGCAGTCACGGCAAGGGTCACGGTCAGGGTCCAGGGCAACCCCTCTGGTGAGCCCCCATCAGCCCCTCCCCGGGGAGTGGGGGCAGACTGTGGTAGAAACTCCGGTGCCTTTGGGTACAGATGTGGAGGTGGCGCCGTGCCTGGGGAGGTGGGAAGATGGTGTTGGCACCCGGTGCCACAGGTCAACCCCGGCTGATGGGCAGCCCCTCCCCACCCAGAGTTGCCCGTTGCTCGTGTGCTTGGAGAGTGGCACAGTGCCACCGGATGCCCACCAGCTGCACTGGGCGCAGTGAGACAGCTCAGAGCAGATGCCCCCAGGCTGTCCAGGGGTGGCAGAGCTGGTGTGGTTGGAGCCCCTCCTCGCTCTCCTTGTGTGGTGGGCCGTGGGCTGGATAGCAGGCGGCGGTGAGCGAGTGACTGGGATCTGCCTTTTCCTGCCTTCGTGAAGCCCATGGCTGCATCCTGTCATGGGCCCTGTGTGGGCCATCTCCTGCCATCAAAAAATAGTGAAAAGTAGATTTTGCCACAGTGTGGATACAAAGACAAAAGCATCGTTGGCCCTTAAAGTTCATTTTATCTTCTCATTTTAAAAGAAATCATGACATTTCCATGGCCCTAATGGTGTCAGCCCTGGCTGAGGATCAACCTCCCGGACACCCGTGTGTCTGGCTGGAGGGAGGCTGAGCGTGGGGCCTCGGACCAGCATCGGGCTGGTGTGCGAGGACCTCTGGGTTGGTTGCTGCTTGGAATCTGGTCAGCTCTTCCAGCACCTTCTCGGATGGTAACAATCCAGGGAGTGGTGTCTTTCATGGCAACATGAGGTCACCCACCCACGGGCTTCTCAATTGTCCTGCAGAGGAACTGAGACCAAGGCAGCAGGTGCGGGGAACCGGTGGAACCCACGACTGACTCCCAAGTGTGGCATTTTTGTCCATCTGCAAATGCGGGCGTCCTAGGTTTGGAAATGAACACAGTTCAAATAGCATTGTGAAGCCACATTGGGAAACCCAGATGCAGGACAGCACGCAGGATCCTGGCTTCCTGGTCCCCCACCTGGATGGTGTGGCCTGGCTACAGCCCCAGGCTGGTGGAGGGGGAGGTCTCTCCTCAGCTGCTGCTCCTACTGGACCCCTCATCTTTGCAGCTCCCTTTGCTTTAGATAAGGCTCAGCCCTTCTGCAGAATGACGTGGGCACGGCTGTGGAGAGGGGAAAAGTTGTTCTGTAAGAGAACCCATCCCGTGGGATCCCGTGGAAGGAAAGACAGGGCCAATGCGTAATAAAGGATGGTGTGGACAGGAACTTCTGTCCCCACGCCTCTTAATCTCATTAGCAGGAAATGAAAGCAAATCCCATTGGGACTAACCTTGCCATGTGCTGAGAATCTCCTGTAAGAATTTCAGGTGTCCCTGACCCTCGGTTGTTGTTTGTCTTTGGCTGAAGTTAATTCCCCAGCCCTGAATGCACACAGAGTCATGCCGGGATGTCCCAGACATTCGGAGGCAGGAGAAACCCATTCATAGTGAACGATTGTCGGTGGATTGTCCACAGTGTCTGCCTTCAGGTGAGCAGCCTTCCTGGGGGGCCAGGCGGGCTCTGATTCCTCCTCTGTCACATACCTTGGCTGCCACAGAGACCCCCCAAAAGAGCTGCCTGTCCGGCCCACCATGACACCCACTGGCCGTGGCTCCCTTTGCCTGTCCTCCCCGGAGGGGTGGATGGTAGTGCCATTTTCTCCTCTGCTGCATCCCGTAGTAGGTGGCTGGGGAAATATTTTCAAGTTACTGGCTGGGAGTAAATCTGACTTTTGCAATCTAAACCTTAAAACCAGGGAAAGCGGACTCTTCTTACTGTGTGTCTTCTCTTGTCTCGGTCTCTCCTGACACCTGTAGCCCAGAGCTCATGAGTGCTCATCGCTAACTGCTGGGTGATACATGCATGAATCTGGCCAATGTGATTTGCGTTTTGAAGAAGGATCAAGCAGTGGGAGAAGGTCGGGGGACTTGAGGTGGAGGAGGACTGGAGGGGAGGATGTGGAGGAGGAGTAGGAGGAGGAGGGGGAGGAAGAGGAAATGAAGAAGAGGAGGGGAAGGGGGAAGAGGAGAGGGAGGAGGAGGGGGAGGAGGAGGAGATGAAAGAAGAAAAGGAGGAGGGGAGGAGGGAGAAGGGGAGGGGAGGAGGGAGAGGAGGAGGACTTCGAGGAGAAGGAAGAGAAGAAGGAAAGGAGGGTGTCTGAGGCTGGGGTCCTCCGGAAGCCGACTCTGCGAAGGTGACATGCAGGCCTGGGGTCAGCACTCATGTGGGAGCGAGGGCAGCAGAATTGGGCAAGGGAGGTGTGAGGCTGTGAGGCAGTCACAACACGGTGCAGCAGACCTCTGCGTAGCTCTGGAGCTGCCCCACCTTGAGGCAAAATGGCATGGCCTTTGTACCCCTTTGCCCACCTGTCATGGATGTGGACCCTCCCCAGGGCCCTTGGGCGAGGTGGCTCTCTCTGAGGACAGTACTCTGGGAGGGACTCAGCTGAGAGCCTTCAGCTGCCCAGGGTCCCAGCAGCTGGGGTGAGAGCAGCTCCCCGGAAGGGGCTCCAGGTGGGCCAGCACAACATCTGCTAGGAAGGACAAGGGTCGTCCTGCTGGGCTGTGCCCCAGTCCTGCCAGTGTCCACAGGCAGAAGCCTTCCAGCTCCTCAAACATTGCCTCTGCTGGGCTGGGGCCCTGCATTCATCCTCCTCTAGTTGAGCAGATGCTGGGCTGGCGGCGAGGCGGCTGGGATCGACTGTGCACGATGGAAGGGTCAATAAGGCACTGCTCGTTGGGCTGGCTCTCTCGCCGGCAGACAGCAGGAGCTGGGAAGTGGTGCTCTATTCATGATGTTTTGATTTCTCAGGCTCTGGGGACACTGACTTTGATAGATTGAGACGTGGCGCCGGCATAATATACCATAAAATCACAGCTCGCTTTTAGAGCAGGCGTTAGCTGCCAGATCCCACCCATTCCTTTAGAATTAAATAAACACTTTAAAGAAAAAGAAACGGCTTAGTATAGAGACAGCCACGGTCTGCAGGCATGAACAGGTCAGGGAGTCACTGGCTGGGCTCTGCTGTTCTTTATACAGAAAGCAGCCCCTTTACCAGTGATGGTGCCCGAGATGCCTGATCGTCTACCAGAAAGACTAGTGCGGTGCCTGGGCATGACTTGGACCACAGGCTGATCGTGGGTTGCTTCTCGTCAGCTATGCAGCTAGCTTTCCTAGTGACCGGGTTGATTGATGCCTCTGTCTTGCTGGTTTTGAAGCTTGCTCTACTTGCTTTCCCTAAGGTGACTTTCAGCACAGGGGCTCCAGGCTGCAGCATGGTGTGTCCCCTGTGGGCAGAAGCATCCCTGTGTGCTGCCCTCCTGGTTTCAGATCAGAAATGTGCAGTGGCAGGACATCCGTGGCGTGGTCATGACGCTGATGGCGTCTTTGGTGCAAGAGTGTGGTATCCAAGAAGGGCTGCCATCTCCATGGTTACCGGGCACCCAGAGGTGTGGCCGCTGTGCTCTTGGCAAGCCCCCTTCCCTCTCGGGCAGCAGACACTATAGCCCCTTGACCCTGCCAGGTGCCTGCCCCTGCCCTCTTTACCTTGTGAATTCTGTGAGCTCTAAATCAGATAGCAGCGTCCCCATAGAATATGGGGTAAAACTATTTAATCTACATTGTCAGTGTGGGGAAGATATATTCCTTCAGGTTTATTTCTGTGGAAGGTGTTATCAAATATGCTGGTGATTCATGTATGGGAAACATATTCCGTTAAAGCATTTTTCACCTGCCGCCGCGCCGGCTTCAGTGGGCACTCATTGTCTCCTGGCTTGCCGTAATCCATTTATCTGGTGTTCGCGTGGGAGCGCCAGGGCCGCGCTAGAGCACATTGGAATTAAGTATGAATTAAATGTACTATTAAAATAAAGTGTTATCACAGGCATTTAATGAGTTTTATTCTTTAACAGTTTCATTTTGCAATTTTTGATGCCCAGGCAGCTTTCTATTTCATTTTCTCTTAGTGGATTTTCATTTAGGAGTTTGTTGTATTACTTAACATCAAAGGGGATGCTATTTTTTCCCCACAGTTACAGTCATCCCTCCCACTTCTGCTGGAGTGGATATTTTGTTCATAGGAGGATGAAACTGGAACAAGCCAAAGTGATTTTTTTAAAGGAGTTGAAAAGAGCAAGGAGTTAAGATTTTCCCCAGAAATACCGTGTGCATGTGCATGAGAGAGTGTGTGTGTGTGTGTGTGCGCACATCCAGAGCAGAAACTAAAGTGTTGAGGGTAGAGAGGCTTTATTGGGGGCCCAATAAATACCAAGAGACAAGCCTCCCCCACCAACTCTAGTTAATGTGTCCAAGACTGGCCCAGGGAGCATCCTGCCCTTTGCTTGGATGCTGCCTTTCTGAGCCTTGGGCTGACTGCTGCCCAAGCACTGCAGCTGGGTGGCTCCTGCCCAGCCACTCCCTGGGCACCAGGAGTCAGCCTCACATTGACTGAGTGGTTCTGGCCACACAAGGTAGCCTCTCCAGCTGAGGGAGCAACCCAGGCTGTAGGTAAGGCCACATGCGTGGGCTGGGTAGTCATCCTGGGGCTTTGCGGGGTCCTCTCCCTGGAGGCTGTGCTGGATGGGCTATAATGTGTTCCTCTAGGTCCCCAGCCCCATATGGTGTCCCCCATCAGTGGAGAGCGTGCTTCCCCACCAGAAAGCAAACAGCAGGCTATCCGACCTGCTCACGCCCGCTCCCCGTCACCCACCAGCACACCCTCATCCTTCAACCCCTGGCCCCTTTGTCTTACGCATCTTTTCATCCCCAGAGCTGCACGCAGTGTCTGTGCAGTCAACACACTCATTAACTGCGCACTGACCCATCAGATGCCTGGGAGACGTGCTTGGCCTGGGAGAGCAGCACTGTCCCCAGCTGCAGAGAGCATCTCTTTCCTCGCAGAGTTCAGAGTCCACCTGCATCTGAATGGCAGCTTTATCTCCATCAGCCCCGTCATTCAAGGAACACCCAAGCGTGTGTCTTCTATAGACTGCAAGTCCAGTTCAGGACTGTCCTAAAACAGCATGCCAGGAACAACAGGAAATGGAGATTTGGGATTTGGTGATCCTGTCAACTGATGGCTACCATCTCTGCTCACTTTGTGCCAGACCTACTCTGGGCAGGCAGGTGGAGCAGAGAGGAAGGCTGAACACCAGTTCCCACGGAGCCTGCCTTCTGGGCATGGGGCTGTTTAAATGACTGAGTGAATGGTCCCAGAGTGGTGCGTGCTGTCCCGAAAATCCATGGGGTGGGTGGCTGGTGGCTGTTTCCTGTAGGGCTGGATTCTCTGAGGACCTGGCATCTGAGCTGAGGCTTGAGAAGGCACAGCCCCATAAAGCCTGGTGGAAAAGGAGGGCGTGGTGGAGCACAGGCTGTGATTTGTGGAGGAGCTGGAGGCCAGGGTGGCTGGAGTGGAGTGGGTGAGGGGGACGAGGTGGGGAGAGTTAGGGGCTGCAGGAGCCCGTCGTCTGCTTTATCCCAGTGCAGTGGACAGCCCCAGAGAGTTCTGAGTGGGGCAGGGGTGCGAGCTGATTGACCTTCCTCAGTCAGACCCAGGCTGCTGGGGGGCGGACGGGCTGAGCATGGAGGCTGGAGGGCTCTGGAGGTGTTGGGGGCTCTGGAGGCGTGTCGGAGGTCCCTGAAACACCTGCTGGTGGCCTGGATACTGGCATCAAGGAAAGGAGGGAATCGAAGGCCCTAGATCTTCGATTGGGCCCCTGGGTAAGAGGTATGTTGCTCGCGGAGACCCCCCAGGGAAGCTGGGCAGGAACAGGAAGGGGAATTGAGCCTTGTGTTGGGCATCCTCAGAAGATCTGAGATACTTCTGAGATACTTCTGAGGCTTCTTGAAAAAGCCGAGGAGGCAGCCAGACAGAAGAGTTTGGAAGTCTGGGGTGGAGGTGACCAGGCCTGGGAACACCTTAGCCCCCTATTTCCAGAGGGAACAGCCCACAGACTTCCTGGGTATCCCAGGAATCCTGTTCCTCTCCCTGGCGTTGCCAAGAGAGTCTCCATTCACAGCGCATTTGCCCTTTAAAGAGTCCCCTGGTTCTTCTGCACATTGACCCTAACTGTCACCCGTGAGCCATGTCCCCTCTCTGTGCATCAGCCTTGCTGGCACTACAGAACCCCTGGCCACGCTCAGGAGTGCAGGAGCCACCTCAGACACAGGAGTCATGTGCCTCCCCTCCATCTCCCCTGCAGGAGCCACGTGCCTCCCCTGCGGCTCACTATGGCCCAGAAACCTCGCATGTGCAAGCGTCATGCCTCTGAATTTTTACTTTCCCGTAATTCTCCGTTTTCTGCACTTGGAGAAGGTACTCTGGCTTGTGAGATATTCTGGGGCTTACCCCGCTCCAACCCTAGAGGGGTCCTGGACTCAGGACAGGACATCACCAGCATTTGGGGATATAGATTGGGGAGTGGGACCTCTCACACCTGTGTGGCCTCGAAGTGTCCGAGAATGAGGTCTGCACACAGAGCCGGGCGTTCAGGGTTGTCTGATGTTCCCGCTTTACCCCTCTCTCATAGCTGTGGCAACAAATTCCAGCTCTGGTGGCCTTGAGCAGTCCCAGAGCTCCTCGGAGGCCCCATCCCATGGTCTCTAATGAGCCTGTGCAGCTCAGAGCCAGTGGAGATGAGGTGCCAGTAACTGGCTCCGTCACAGGAAGCAATTGCCCGGCAGGCCGGCTCTCATTTTCCTGGGGCGCCAGGTATTCAAGCTTTGCAAAGAGGCCTCTGGGCCCCTCACACGCGGGACATAAAGGCTCCCATCTCCATCCCAAGCCACAGCCAGGCCCCTGCTGACACTGCTCCCCCTGCTCCCCTCAGCCTAGTGCCATCCAGGCCCAGCGCAGGTGGCCTTCCACGCCCACCGCCACCCCCACCCCCTGGTCCCCTGGGTGATCCTCTCCCCATGCCTCAGAGCTGGGGCTCTGTTTGGCTCTGAAAGACGCTGCACTCAGCCTCTCCCACCGTCCTACGCAGACGCTGGCCGGGGATCTCAGCCAAGCCCTGAAGGGCCGGGATTCTGGCTTCAGAGAAACGCAGGGAGACAGATGCATTTTCCCAAAGGCAGGAAAATATCTGAGAACCTGGGAAGCTCTCTGGGGCGCTCACCTCAGGCTGAAAGACCCCGGTGTGAGGCAGGAGGCAAACTCTGTTGGCTCAGCGCTTGGCCGTGGCCCGTGGAGGGCTGTGTGTGAGCTGGCAGTGGAGTGGATTCTCTCGAAGGGAGTGATCTGTTACCCACCACATTTGCGCTTTGATGACTGAGTAAATACGCAGCAGGCAGGGAACATTCGTCCAAGGCAGCTGTATTATTTACAGAGAGACTCGAAGAATCTCGGAGAAGAGCCAACACCGCTTGCATATTAAAATGGAAATGGCAATTAACTACCAAAATAAGACATTTTTATAACATTTTTATTGAAGTTTTAATGAACAAATAAAGAAACAGAGAAATCTGCCTATGCCTTGTGAGCCATATAAAAATGACTAAATCAAGATGAAATGGCAAGAACTGGCAACACCTCCACTTCCTCTGCTTCTCTAAATAAATAAGTGCAGGCAGTTACACTGGGTACCCCTGCACAGCGCACACACGTGTGCACACACACATGACCTTGGCCCAAAGACCAAGAAATGAATGATGGAGTGAAATGCTGTTTGAGGGCAGAGTGAAAGAGAGGGGATGCTGGGAGGAGGAGGAGAGATGGACGTGGGCTGGCATGTCCCTTAGGGAAGCCCTGGACAGTGCCTGGCAGAGCTGCTGATCAGCTGGGCCCTCTCCAGCTGTGGCACAGAGAGCCACGCGGGCTCAGGGGCAGGAGGTGGTGGCCAGGGTGTTGGCAAGGTGCTGCAGGTCCTGGTGACTCCAGTAACCAAGGGCCACCGTGAGGGTCCTCCCAGCATCTGAGAGATGTTTAATCTTTCCACAAGGAAGGCAGTGGGGGATGCAAGCTCATGCCACCTGCACAGAGCTGTTAGCGGGTAAGCACCTCGATGAGCGTCTCAGATAGCCCCGATGGCAAATGGATCAAGGCGCCAACCAGCAGCCTGGGGAGAGGGAAGAGGCCAGGTCGGGCAGTGGCAAGCCGAGGATGGGATTGGTCCAGGAGAAATTGTCTGCAGATGGGTGGGTCTGGGGAACAGCCTGATGTTAGCAGAGGGAGGGTGACAGCTGTCTGTCACCCTCTTTCAAACCTTTGGAGCCAAATGTGTGTCTTTCTTGACTTAGGAGGGGTTCGGCCATTTATTCCTTTCCCTTCCTTTGCCTGAGACGTGAACTTCTGTTTCCAAAAGCTGATGTTCTTCCCAGGCACGGTGCGGCATTCAGCAGAAATAACCCGGACAGGCTTCTCTCTCCCAACAATTACTCACAATACACAAAACACAAATTGGTTTACAATCACACCTCAATTTTATCACAACTAATTTCAAACTCATATTGCCACTCCCCTTCCCCCAACATAATTTAATCTGTTTCTTAAAAAAAAAAAAAAAAGGAATTTGATCCAGAGCAATTTTTCTCAATTAAAATTTGTGATTACATTTCTGAGTTTCCATGGCAGAGTTGTGAGTGGGGCTGTGATATAATTTAACTTCTCCTAAATTGCTGACACCGATAACCCTATAAATTAACAGATGGCGGAGGGAAATCTCCTGGCTTCTTCCTGGCTAGTTTTTTTTAATGGTCTGATTTTTGTAATAGGGGTTTTGAGTCCCAGCCAGGTATCCCTCCACGGGCAGCGGTGAGAGCTTGTCCCATTTCATCGTCTCCGATGCTGGCTGCGTGGATTTCACTTCAATGAGGATGGAGTGTCAAGAAAACTGTTCACGTCCCTGCTGAGCGCGGGCACCTTTGCAGAAGCTGACGGGTGGGGGCCCCAGGGTGCGGCGCTTGGCGGGGCTGGTGAGCAGCTTCCAGTGGCACCTGTTGGCGGGATTGCAGTCTGATGAGCGTGCCCAGCTGGGTGCAGGGTTCCCTGCAGGTTCCTTGGTTCCCTGCAGGCCCAGGCTGATGGGCCAGGCTCTCTGTTTCCAAGCTCACTGCTGCACCCTCGCTTTGCTTTTGTTGGTTGCTTCAGATATCGATATCGTTGTAAGGGTGGGAAGCTGGGCTAGCTGGCCACACCCCTAAAAACCTCCAGTACCATGAAGTATTTTTGTTTCATGAGCACAGCATGCTTGCTATGTTTCATGAAGTTAAGGTGCATGGAGGTCGGAAAGAGAAAAGGCAAACACCCAGTCATAAGGACACTGAATACCAACATGAAAAAAAAAATAAAGAAACATCAATGACCTAGGCCGGGCATGGGAGCTCACGCCTGTAATTCCAGCACTTTGAGAGGCCAAGGCAGGAGTATTGCTTGAGCCCTGGAGTTCGAGATCAGCCTGGGCAACAGAGCCAGACCCCCTGTCTACAAATAATACAAAAATTAACCAGGCATGGTGGCGTGCACCTGTAGTCCTTGCTGCTCAGGAGGCTGAGGTGGGAGGATCACTTGAGCCCAAGAGTTTGAGGCTGTAGTGAGCTTTGATCACCACTGCACTCCACCCTGAGCAACAGAGTGAGACCCTATCTCAAAAAAAAAAAATGACCCAAATTACGAAGTGCAGGAGATAGTCAAACCTGGCAGAGCCACCAAGAGGCCCCTGCAGAGCCAGCCCTCCCTGGAGCCCCATCCTATGGTCCTGCCTTAGTCGGGGTGGAGAGGTGGGTGATTTTCTCTTCTCTTCCAAGGAGTGTCTGCTAAATTGTTCAAATGTGATTGGCCTGTCTGGGTGCAGAGATTAGGAGCCAGCGGGGAGGCAGGTGCCGTGCCCTTCCTTCGAAGGCTATGCCTCACCTTCAGCAAAATATGCTCTTTGGAATTTGTGGGGGAGGATGTGGAGAGTAGCTTGCTAGATAAAATAAAGGCTGCTCAGTTAAATCTGAATTTCAGATTAACAATGAATAGTGTTTAGTGTAAATATGTTCCATGCCATATTTGAGATAGACTAGTACTACAAATTATTTGTTGTTTATCTGAAACTCAAATTAAGCTGCATATCCTGTATTTTTCTTTGCTAACACTGGCAGCCCTGGGGAGGGGCGGGGTAGGCGCTGCAGTCAGCCAAGCCCCTCAGCTCTTGCCCTGAGCCTGTGGGGTCATTAAGAGGTGGATTAGGGATACGTTTAAATCCGTCTAACCCATTTGAATCTTACTTCCTCACTCATAAAATACAGTTGTAGAGAGGATTACAGGATGTGTTGATGGATACACCTGGCCTGGTGCAAACCCACCCATGGAAGTTTCCAGTGCTCTGTGCCTCCCTGGGCTGGGTGTGGGGCAGGGGGCAGCTTCCCTGTGCCACTCGTGGTGTCTGCTCTGCGCGAGCCCTCTGGGGGCACTTGGGAAAAGAGGGAAGGATACTTTGTTCTGGTTCCCAAGTGGCTCTCGAGCAATTGGCAGGAAGGTAGAGCTGATACACATGAGAAACCCAGGGATCCTGATGGCGAAATGGAATGGCCACACCCTGTGTTGGAAACACTGCCTGTGACTATAACTCAGAAAAGAGAGAGAACCAGGCCGAGCACGGAGGCTCACACCTGTAATCCCAGCACTTTGGGAGGCCAAGACAGGCAGATCACCTGAGGTCAGGAGTTCGAGACCAGCCTGGCCAACATGGTGAAACCCCTTCTCTACTAAAAATACAAAAATTAGCCAGGCGTGATGGTGCACACCTGTAATCCCAGCTACTAGGTTGACTGAGGCAATGGAATTGCTTGAACCCGGGAGGTAGAGGTTGCAGCAAGCCGAGATCATGCCACTGCACTCCAGCCTGAGTGACAGGGCAGAACTCCATTTCAAAAAAGAGAAAAAGAAAGAAAAGAAAAATGAGAGGAAGTGTAGACTTGAGGGGTTTCATGGAGGAGGTGGGATTTTGCCTGAGTCAGAAGGGAGGGCAGTGTGCCGATGGTGGGGTCTCCCCACGGCGTGAGCATCCTCGCCAGTGCTGGGGAGGGGAAGACGGCTCTAGCTCACTACCTTCCCCCTTGTGCCTGTTGTTAGGTCCCAGAGGGATGAAAAATAGCTTCTTTGGGGCCAGGCACACTGGTCACACCTGTAATCCCAGCACTTTGGGAGGCCAAGGCAGGAGGATCTCTTGAATCCAGGTGTTTGAGACCAGCTTGGGCAACATAGGTGGACCCTGTCTCTACAAAAAATATAAAAATTAGCTAGGCTGGTGGTGTGTGCCTGTGGTCCCAGCCACTTGGGAGGCTGAGACAGGAGGGTTGCTTGAGCCCAGGAGCCCAGGGTTATGATGAGCTATGAATGTGCCACTGTACTCCAGTGACAGAGCAAGATGCTGTCAATAATAATAATATATAATAATAATAATAATAGCTTGTTTGGGATCTGGTAAGTGGAAGTTACTTAAATACTAAAGTAAAAAAAAAACTTCAATTTACTGATTTTTTAAAAAAATGAACTTAATTGGTAAACATTTGTATTGACTTGGAAAGCAGTAAATAAAAAAAAAACACCCTTGAGGTAACAAAATATTTCTCTGTCTTTTTACAAATTCAACAAACGCACTTCATTCTTCACCACCCCCCTATACCGCCCCCCTGCGCTTTAAACTCTTGCCTTTTCATTTAGCATGAGGAGTGAAGTCGTCTTTCAGAGTTTGTTTTTTGTTTGTTTGTTTGTTTTGAGACAGAGTTTTGCTCTGTCGCCCAGGCTGGAGTGCAGTGGTGCAATCTCGGCTCACTGCAACCTCCACCTCCTGGGTTCAAGTGATCCTCCTGCCTCAGCCTCCCAAGTAGCTGGGACTACAGGCGTGCGCCACCACACCCAGCTAATTTTTTTTATATTTTTAATAGAGACAGGGTTTCACCATGTTGACCAGGCAAGTCTCAAGCTCCTGACCTCAGGTGATTCACCTGCCTTGGCCTCCCAAAGTACTGGGATTACAGGCGTGAACCACAGCTCCCAGCCTCTTTCAGAGTTTTTTAAACATTGGAATGAAGCTTTACTTTTGCTCCTGGCTAGTGTTTGTTTTGTTTCGTTTTTGGGCAGCTTACAAGTGGCGCTCTTTCTGCTTAAAGGCGAGTGTGCTCATGTGCAAGCACAGACACTCTACATGTGCGTACAGCCTGCTTGTGTTTGCGTTTTAGGATGTGTGTGCAAGAGCAGCAGCCACAGCACCCGGGGAGGCCGAGTTTGTCACCAGCGGGTGTGGGCGTGTCTGGGGCCCCCGTGGGGCTAGGACAGAGCAGGAATGCCACATGGAGGGCACCGGCTCCCCAGTTGTCACTGCCGAGTCTCTGTTGTGAGTGCTCAGGGGGACACTTTAGGACATAGCTTCTCAAGCAAGAGGTGGGTAGCCAAGTGTCCCATCTCAGTGCCACTGGGAGGCTCAGCCCGACAGGAGCTGGCTGAGGGGGACGGAGTTGCAGCAGGGGCAGTGGCTGGCCCAGGCAGGCCCGGCTGCACTTTTGACACCTTTGTAACTGCAAGGTGAAAACTGACTTTTCATGATTCTTCCCAACAAATTCTTACCTTTGGTCTCTCTCTGGACATATTTTAGGAAAGAAATTATTTCCCAAATAGTTATTCACACCTATCACTAAATTATGTCCTTCTCTGATGGCATAAAAAAAAAAATCAAAACTGGCTGGGCACAGTGGCTCATGCCTGTAATCCTAGCACTTTGGGAGGCCAAGGTGGGTGGGTCACCTGAGGTCAGGAGTTCAAGACCAGCCTGGCCAACATGGTGAAACCCTGCCTCTAATAAAAATACAAAAATTAGCTGGACATGGTGTCAGGCACCTGTAATCCCAGCTACCTGGGAGGCTGAGGCAGGAGAATCGCTTGAACCTGGGAGGTGGAGCTTGCAGTAAGCCAAGATTGTGCCACAGCACTCTAGCCTGGGTGACAGAGTGAGACTCCTCCTCAAAAAAAAAAAAAAAAAAAAAAAAAAAAAAAAAAAAAACTTCCCTGTTTTAAAAGTGAAAAAGTACGTGCCTCACGGCAGAGGTACCTTGGCATTGCCCAGGTGGGATCAAGTGCCTCCTCTCTCCCCCACCCCGTCTGCAGGAGGGTCTGCAAGTATGTCCTGCTCCTGGGAGAACATGCCTCTCCAAGTTTCACAAGCAGGAACATTCAGGCAGCAGGCAGGACCGACGTCAGCTCAAGTTCTTGCCAAAAGTCAAGAGCCAAGAACACTTGAGCTTAGACTTCAGTTGGGGTGAACGCCCCAAAGCACATCCCCACATTCATGCTCTAATTCAGGAGAGGGGAAAGAGTTTATACAGACGCAGTGATATTTGGAGTTAGGAGTGAGCCAGATGTCAGACTATGGAAATTACCTAAGTCACATATTACATAAGGATGTCAAACATTTAGCAGAGCTGGAATTTTCCTTGCACTTACAAGAAACATAATTTCTAAAAAGCAGTTCGGCCAGGCACGGTGGTTCACGTCTGTAATTCTAGCACTTTGGGAAGCTAAGGCAGGTAGATCACCTGAGGTCAGGAGTTCAAGACCAGCCTGGCCAACATGGTGAAATCCCATCTCTACTAAAAATTAAAACATTAGCTGAGCATGATGGTGTGAGCCTGTTATCCCAGCTACTAGGAAGGCTGAGGCAGGAGAATTGCTTGAACCTGGGAGGTGGAGGTTGCAGTGAGCTGAGATCAAACCACTGTACTCCAGCCTGGGCAACAGAGCAAGACTCCGTTTCGGAAAAAAAAAAAAGCAATTAATTCACAGGCTTGGGGTATATTCAGCTTTTAGTTTCTAACATGCGTTGAACTCAGGGGTTCAGGAGCAGGTGGCTTCCCAGGCAGCAGGACCTGGAGAGGCTGGAGGGGAGCTGCCTCTGCCACCATCGCCCGGGGCCACTTGGCTTGGGTACAAGCATTGGAAACGGGGGCGGGTATCCCACGCAGAGAGGAAATGCTTGCCTGGCAAAGTCAATGGAGTTGTGCCCCAGTGGCTGAAAACAGAAGTCAGCCTGCTCTGCAAACAACACGTCTCCCCAGAGCCCTCGATACGTTCTGCAGGCTTCACATGCTTGTTCAGAGCCAAAGCCTTGATGCCTTTCCTCGGAAGAACTTTCTTCTTAGGGAGAGTCAGCTCTGAACAGGGACCCCCGACCCCACAAGTGCCGAACCCCGTGTTAAATGTTAAATGTGTTAAGTTGATTACACGGTCATGTTTTAAACCTCTTGGAAGTAGGTGAGAAAGTGGAATCCGAGAGTCAGAATGATCCCGTGTGGGGCTATAAAGAGGAGAGGCCGGTGGGAAGAGTCCCCATTAGAGGGGCGGACTATTAGCAAAATAACACCCATTAATAATCCCACAGCCAGGGAAGGGAGCCCGCTGTTAGCTGACGCCGAACCAAGTGCAATTCTCTATTAAGGGAGCTAATTATAGCTTTTAATTTTACTTTAGAAGGATCAAGGATACCTTGCAAAAATGCACAGCGTGTTAAACTACCTTGTCTTGTGGAACTAAAAATAGTTATAATAATGATTAATCGTGAAATATGGAAATTAACCCCTCTCTGAGGGGCCGGAGTTGGAGGTGAGGTCCCTGTGCCTGAGTCTCTCACACATCTGGGAAGGGAAACCCTCCTGAGGGCTCCTCTCCCCCCACAGCTGCACCAGAGGCAGCAGGAACCTGGCTTGCGCTGAACGCGCAGTCTGTTCCACGCCTCAGTCCCTGTCATCTTCCTACTGCCTTCCACGCTGGTTTCTCCCCGTGGTGGAAGTGAAGTCTGTCCCGGGGTTAGTTCTGAGAAAAATGTTGAAAACGCCAAGACTGAAAGGGCTGAACTATGGAACCACTGAGAGTATCTGTAGATGCCGGGGGCTGGGGTGTCCTCACTCTCCTGCTCCAGGCAGATGCTCCCAGTGCCTTTGTGTTGATGAGCAAATTTCCCCATCAGTCTGCCTGAGAGGGAGGCTCCGGCAGTGCTAGCTGGAGTGAGCCAGTCATTGTCAATGAGTAGAACTGATGTGGCCCCAGTGCCTACAGAGGCTCTTTAGGGCGGTGACACCGCCATGCATGACACTAGAATGGTGGGCCTGCGTCTTTACACATTTGCCCAAACCCACAGGATCACCACACTGACAGCTAATCCTCCTGTGAGCCCTGGACTCTGGGTGACAATGACGTTGTCCGTATAGTTCACCCATTGAACTGATGGACCCTCTGGAGGCGGTTGTGGACAGTGGGGGACTGTGCATGTCATGGGGAGGGCAGGGGGTCTGTGGGAACTCTCTGTACCTTCCCATCCATCCCACTATGAGTGTAAAACTTCTCTAAAAACATTAAGGCTATTAAAAACAAAAATAAGAGTCGGGTGGTGAAAGGGAAGATCTCCTGAGAGAGATGCAGAGGACTTGGAGGTCGATGGTCAAGTGGGTAACGCGGGGGTGGGACCTCAGGGAGCGGCCCCCACTGCACACCTCATCTGCAGGACAGGACAGTGCAAGGTTCGCCTGGGGAAGGGTGAGAAAGCCAGTGGGGGCCCCTCGTGCCTCAGGAGCACTCTGCTTGATCTCCACCTTCAGCCAGACACCTGGCTAAGCCTCGGTGGTGCACAAACGCGACTGGCTGAGACCGAGGAGGTCATGTGAGCTCCAGGCCCCAGAAGACACGCAGCTTTCTGGAGAGGCCACGTGCAGAATCACGTGGCTTTTCCTTGCAGTGATTTCCTGGAGGTTTGGTGTTTGGTCTGCAGCTTCACTGCAGCATCTGCATGAGTGATGGGTATTTCTCCGGGCAGTATTGCTTCTTATATAGTGGCATCTTAGCTGCTATATTGGATTTCCCAGAAATTCTGTAAGCTAAGATTGTTAGATGAGTCTCTTTTTGCTCAAACAAACAAAGCTTGCTCATCACCCAGGTTGGGCACCTAGTGAGTGGCAGGGAGGAGGAGGAGCATGCAAGTGTGCTCCCACTCACAGGAGAGTCCACGGAGCTGGCCAGAGTCATTGACAGATCTCAGGGGAAGGGAAGATCCCACCCCATGGAGGAGAGGATGGGAGGGCAGTGCTCCCAGCCACCCTGGGATGAAGGAGACTTCAGCAGGGACTCAAACACACACTTGCGCACCAGTGTCCACAGCAGCCGCAGAGGCCCTGGTGAGCAGCTCCCTGATGTGCTGTTCAGGGCGAGGTTGTTCAGGGCATGATCGTCCAGGCCAACGCAGGCTCATAGTTTTATTGTCAAGGGACGATGTCCCTCCTGTGCAGCAGATACATCAGGTCAGACCATGTCATCCTGATGTCCCGAGGCAGTCCCTGTGTGATCCTCACTCCTGTTCCAGGTGGATGCTCCAAGCGCCTTTGTGTTGATGAGCAAACTTTCCCATCTGTCTGCCCAAAAGGGAGGCTCTGGCAGTGCTCGCTGGAGTGTGCCAGTCAATGTCAATGAGTAGAACTGATGTGGCCCCAGTGCCCAGCAGGAGGACCCATTCCCAGTGCAGACAGGGTGGGGCTGCAGAGCCTGTGAGGCTGAGCCCCACCAGGTGGTCCCCTAGGTGACCTGACACTGTGAGGTCATTTCTGGGGGGCAGCAGGCTCTTTGCCACCCATGCCTCATTGTGCACCATTCTTTGCCTTTCTTCACTCACTGTGGATGTAAGGGAACCCTAGGAGGTGTGGGCCACACCAGTAAACCAGAGTGGACTCTGACATCATGGAGTTTTTACCTTTCCAGAGGGAACATTTAAGAGGTAAGTTGGGGATGTGATCTGAGACAGCGGTGCCTGGCCAGTGAATGGAAGGCACTTGGAGACCATGCATTCCCTCAGGGCACTTCTGTTTTCATCTGTTCTCGCACTGCCATAAAGAACCGAGGCTGAGTAGTTTATAAAGAAAAGAGATTTAATTGGCTCACAGTTCTGCAGGCTGCACAGGAAGCATGGCTGGGGAGGCCTCAGAAACTTACAATCATGGCAGAAGACAAAGAGGAAGCAGGCACATCTTCACATGGTGGCAGGAGAGAGATCAAAGAGGGCAGTGCTACACACTTTTAAACAACCAGATATCATGAGAACTCACTCATGAGATAGCACTAGGGGGTTGGTGCTGAAACATTAAAAACCACCCCCATGATCCAATCACCTTCCACCAGGCCCCATGTCCAACAGTTGGGATCACAATTCAACATGAGATTTGGGTGGGGACACAGAGCCAAACCATAACAACTTCCCTTGAAAGGAGGAAAAGGCAGGACACAGAAGGAGGTGGGTGCTGATGGGGCTGGTTCTAGTGGTTCTGGTGGATATGCTTGCTCCACCAGGAATGCAGAAGCTTCTCCTCTCAGTAGAAGCCGGGGTTCACAGGCCTCTAAGATCCCCTCCCATCCTGATTTCCCACAGGGACCTGTAGGCCCTGAACGACTCTCTAGGAAAACAAATGTCAAGGAGGCCTTAAAACAAGGGTGAGGGTAGGACTCCAAAAGCACAGGCAACAAAAGAAAAATTGTACTTCCTCAAAATTAAAACCTGAGGTATCAGAGGACACTATCGAGAAAGTGGAAAAGCAACCAACAGATGGGAGAAGATATTTGCACATCATATCTCAGATGAGAGTTTAAAACCCAGGATACATCAGGAACTACAACTCAACACCAAGAAGGCAAATGGCTCACTTTTAAAAATAGGCAAAGGACTTACTACACATTTCTCCAAAGCAGACATACAAATGGCCAACAGGCACATGAGAAGATGCTCCACATCATCGTCACCAAGGAAATGCAAATCAGACCCTCAACAAGACTCCACCTGGCACACAGTAAGATGTCTGCAATAGAAAAGACAGCAAGATTGAAGCTGGGAGGTGGAGGCTGCAGTGAGCCACTGCACTCCAGCCTGGGTGACACAGTGAGACTCCATCTTAAAAAAAGCAAGAATGGGCAAGGATGGTTAGAAACTGGGACCCTTGCTCCTTGCAGATAGGAATGTAAAGCATGTGGCTGCTTTGGAAAAACAGTTTGACAGTGTCTCAAAAAGCTATACAGAGCCCTACCCTGTGGCCCAGCACTTCCACTTCAAGGAACATGCCCCCAGAGAATTGAACACAGCGACTCAGAGACTCTTGTGCTGGTGTTCATAGCAGCATCGTTCACAGCAGCCAAAGCGTAGAAGCAAAGCAAGTGTCTGTCGATGGATGAACAGATACACAAAATGTGGTCTATCCATGAATATTACATAGCCTGGTAAAAGGAAGGAAATTCTGGCACATGCTACAGCACAGAGGAACCTTGAAAACATTACGTCGGGTGAAACAGCCAGATGCACAGGGGCAAATACTGAACCATTCATCGTGCATAAGGTCCCTAGAGAAGGCAGATTCAGAGAGAAAGAAAGTGGATTAGAGGTTACCAGGGGATGCCAGGGAGGGGAAAAGGTGGGAAGGGGAGTTAGAGAAAGAAAAAAATGAGGTGACAGCCAGGGCACTGGAAGGTGGGAGAGTCGCCATGGGGGCGCCTGAGCTCAGAGAGACCTTCTTTCCCCGCAATTCATGCCAGCTCACGCCACCCTGCAGGCCGCCCTGCCTGAGCCCTGTCTGCCACAACCCTCATCAGGGGCTCTCACAGGATGGTGCATCTTCCCTGCAGAGCACCAGGTCACAGGGACACACCGGCTGGCATGTGAGCCGTGGTCATTCTTGCTTTCTCAGGGACAGAGGCATGGTGGGGCAGGGGTCACAGCCATGCCTGCCTTCCATGAAGTCCCCAGGGCCAGCATGGCTGGACTTGCCCAGGACTAAGGAGTTTCTGGGATGTAGACTTTCACTGCTAAAATCAGGATAATCCTAGACAAACCAGGATTCATTGGTCACCCTATCAATCCATAACTATGAAATGAAATGAAATTGCCTTTTACTCTAAGAACCTATAGTCACAGGATGTATCAGTCAGGGTCCCCCCAGGAGAAGGGAGACCCATCTGGGAGTTTCAGAGAGAGCATTTAATACCAAGAATCAGTTACACTGACCAGGGAAGAGTTGGAGAATTAAACAGGACCATCAGAGGAGGAAGGACAGCAGCAGACAGAAGCCCCTAGGACTGGAGAGGCGGGATGGGGCGCAGAGCCGGCCACTGTCAGAACTGCCTGTCAGGAGGGGCTGCCAGGGCAGCTGCAGCCAGGGAGGACAGAGCTGTTGGACAATGCCACGGACAGGGGGCATCCTGGGCGCTCTCCTCCCCATGCCTGAGCCACCATTGGCTGGCTTGAGTGTCTGATTCTCTCTACACAGGTGGGGCGGGAATGGATCTGCGAGGGATGAGCAGATCTGAATGACCTAAGGACGACTTTGGTGGCATGGACGATGTGGACTGTGATTTTCTGGAGCCTCTCCTCCTGGAGCAGAGGGCACCCAACTGTGGGTGTGGGCCACGTGGCCTAGGCTCAGGGAACCCATTCTGTCCTGGTGATCATGGCCGTGCCTGCCCCGGGGGGCTCAGGGAACCCATTCCGTCCTGGTGATCACGGCTGTGCCTACCTCGGCTTCCCTAGGAGGCAAGGCCCTGCTGGGGATCCACCACTGATGGCATCTCTCGGTGCACCAAGCTACATGACGCATCTTTGTTGAGCTGTGACGGTATTCCAGGGCTGGGCTGAGCCCCGGGGATACAGGGGGAAAGGAAATAAGCAGGGACGTCATCTTCAGGCATTGCCGGGCCTGGTGGGATCACCAGACATCAGACTGGAGTCGCACAAACCAGTGGAAACATGAAAGAGTGGTCACCATGGTCAGGGAAATGCTCAAGGCATCCTGGGGTGCTTCAATGGGAGGTCTGGGGGTTCTCTGAGAAGCAGAATTTCAATAGGGACCGGGAGGGTGAGTAGGAGTTGGGAGAAGGAGGAGAAGGTGGGAGAAGTGAGGAGGAGAGTGAGAGGTGACAGACAGAAGCAGGAGCAATAGCAGTGGCCCCCGGGAGGCAGGATCTCAGCAAATGAGAGTGACCCCAGACCCAGCAAGGCTGTGTGGCTGAGTGGGCAGAGGAGTGCGAGTGGTGAGAGGTGGGAGGAGAGGGTGCAGGCAGGACTGTGCCTGGCCCCGCAGCCCACAGCTCAGTGGAAGGCACGTGCAGGGGCTGAGCAGGGATAGGTCTGGCTGCTCGGTGAGGGTGAAGCAGGGACTCCAAGCAGGAAACTTGCATGGTTGGGGCAGGAGATGATGGAGCGCCAGGCGTGGGGATGGGGAAGGAGCCAAGAAATGGGTACATTTTGGAGACAGAACTTACTGGACTTGGCAGTGAGTTGAATTTGTGGGAAGAGGGAGAGATAGAGGCACAGCTGGCTTTCAGAGGGGATGTAGCTAATAAGGTGCCTGGAGGGATTGTTTACCCACATGAAGGATGCAGAGGGAAGAGCAGGGTTTCTCGGAGAGTGGAGATGTCGGGAGATCTGCTTGGACACATTATGATTGAAAAAGTGGGTTTAGGCCGGGGGTGGTGGCTCATGTCTGTAATACCAGCACTTTGGGAGGCCGAGGTGGATCACCTGAGGTCAGGAGTTGGAGACCAACCTGGCCAACATGGTGAAACCCCGTCCCTACTAAAAATACAAAATTAGCCGGGCATGGTGGGGCATACCTGTAAGCCCAGCTACTTGAGAAGCTGAGGCAGGAGAATCACTTGAACCCAGGAGGCGGAGGTTGCAGTGAGCCGAGATGGCACTACTGCACTCCAGCCTGTTTAAAAAGAGTGAAACTCTGTCTCAAAAAAAAAAAAAAAAAAAAAAAAAAGGAAAAGAAAAGAAATTGGGTTTGTTCTGATGGTAACCAGCAAGACCACTAGCTCCTTGCTCCAAACTCACCCCTAGGGGAAGAATAGAGTGAAACCAATGAGACAGCAGATGGAGGGGGTGAGGGGTTTCAAATCATTGTGCATGGGGCTATGGCTTTGGCCTGGAGCAGGGGTGGGCCAAACACAGCTATGGGAGAATAAGCGTGAAGGGGAATGTTTGATGTCTGTTCTTACTTAGCCCAGCTCCAGCCACTATTGCCTTGGGACAAACCATGCCTGTCTATACCTGTGGCTATGCAGGGCTCAGGTGCAGGTGTTAATACAGCACAGCAGCAGAGGGACCTGTGCTCACAGGGAGCCAAGCAAAACAGGTGCAGCCCACCTGACCCCAGCAGTCACTTCCCCGCTTTTCTGCAGACGACCAGGAGACTGCACTATTTCAGGCTTGGGGAGGTCCCTCTGAATGCCGCATCTCTCAGGAGGGGGAAGGTGAAGCTCTGATCTAAGGAGGAATTTGGTGGAGTGGATGGGGTTGACTGTGATTTTTTGGAGCCTCTCCACTTGGAGTACATTCACCCACCGCTCTCTGAGATCACTCAGGCTTACTGGGCTACCCACCTCTCAGACAGGGCAGGGCAGAGTAGCAGACTTCCACTGGAGGGAATGAGCTGGCAGGCAAAATAACAAGGTATTCGAGAAGCACAAGCATTTTTTTTAAGGCAACAAACTGAGTTACAGCTTCCAGATTCTATCAGAATAGAAATACCAGAACAGAGGGACCAATTTTAAAAATAAGCTTAATAAACCTCCTAAATGAGATAAGGGACATATTAGCAATGTGAAATAAGATCAAGAAGATATACAAAGGAACCGAGTAGAAATTGTTGGTGTTAAGGTATAGCTGTGGAAATAATGCGATACAGGAGAAAAGTACTAGAATAAATAACTGAGGAATGCATTTGTGAATTGGAGGACCAGCTTGATGTATCAGCCAAGAAAAAAATAAGGAAAAGCACAAAGAAAAAGAAAATAGAAAAGTTCTAACACAAGGAGGAAAGAAGTTAAGGTGCTAATGTTAAGTTGTTAACATGTGGATCATAGAAGTCCTACAAAGAGAGAAAAATAAAAATATAGAAGAGGACATATATGAAGAAAATGTGGAGATAAAATCAATGGGATTTAAAGAAAAAGGATGAAAGAGCCCAGGTTGAAGAGGTCTTGGAGTCCCAAAAAGAAGAGATAAGAGGGAAACAAAACCTATACACTTACAGTGAAATTTAAGAATAACAAAGATAAAGTTCTTAATGTTTCCAGACAGGAAGAGATCACACACAAAGAGCAAGTTATTATACAGACTTCAGGATTTTCAACAGCTATGCCAGATGCAGGAAGACAATGGAGTGATATATTCAAAGCACAGAATAAAAGAACATAGAACATAGACTTTTACATGCAGCCAAATTGTCATTCAGATGTGAAAGCTAGTAAAACTTCCATTCTCCTATGCAGTGCAACAAAGAGAGAAAAAGAAGCTAGATGTGTAAGGATTGGAAAGAACAAAAAATTGTATTATTTTCAGATGATATGATCATTTACATAGAACCCTTGCCCAAATCTACACAAAATCTTTTAGAAACTGGAGAGTATAGCAAGTTATCTGGCATAAGTTTAACTCAGTTTTTATCTACATACCAGCAGCAAACACACACAAATAGAAGACATTGTTTTTAGTAGTATCAGAAAATGTCAAATACCTAGGAATAAATTTAATTTTAATTTAATTTTAAAATGCTTAAGACTTATACAGGCAAAATGTACAACTTTATGAAGTGTAAGTAGAGGAGTTCTAATAAATGAATAGGAAGTTTTTATATCATTAAAATGTCATTTTCCCCATGTTGATCTATATTGACTACAGCCAATGCAATTCTGATTAATTCCCAATTGGAGCCTCATCAAATGACGATATAGAAGATTAAGACACCAAAAATTAGCCAGAACCCCTCTGAGGAGCAGAGCATGAAGGAGATACTTCTCCTATCGCATATCTGGGCTCATTGTGAAGCTATGGTAATTAAGATTACCTAGTGTTGTCATAAGGATCAACCAATTAATCAATTCCCAGGATTCCCAGAAACAGATCCATGAACTTATGTAACTTTGGTTATGTTAGAGGTAGCATTTCAAATCACTGGCAAAAGGCAGGGATGTTTAACAAAGTGAGCTGGAAAAAAAAATTGTGTAGTTACCCATATACAAAGTACACTATTAGATCTCTACCTCACACCATATTTTGAAAATGGACATAGGTGGATGAAGTAGTTAAATGTCAAAAATCTCTTAGAGGAGGCCAGGCATGGTGGCTCACACCTGTAATCCTAGCACTTTGGGAGGCTGAGGTGGGTGGATCACCTGAGGTCAGGAGTTCGAGACCAGCCTGGCCAACATGATGGAACCCTCATCTCTACTAAAAATGCAAAAAATTAGCCAGGTATGGTGGTGTGTGCTTGTAATCCCAGCTACTTGGGAGGCTAAGGCAGGAGAATTGCTTGAACCCGGGAGGTGCAGATTGCAGTGAGCCAAGATCACACCACTGCATTCCAGCCTGGGTGAAAGACTCCATCTCAAAAAAACAAAACAAACAAACAAACAAAAAACAAATCTCATAGAGGAAAATGTCTTAAACAAGACACATCAAATGAGTATAAAAAAAGATTGACAGACTTGAGTACATTAAAGTTAAGAAAAAATAAGTGCTTTTTAATTCAATATATTGAATGGTTTAGAAAAAGTGAAGTCTTTAAGAAGTGAAAAGACTAGAAGAAAATATTGGCAATACACACAACTGACAAAAGATTAGTATCAAAAATGTTTAAATAACTGAAAATCAAGAAGAAAAGTATAAAACATCCCAAAAGAGAAAAAAGCAGAGGACAGGCAGGAATTTCATACAGAAGAGAATATATAATCAATAAACATAAAAAGAGATGTTTAACCTCACTAATCAGCTGGGAAATGCAAATCTAGACCACAATGAGTAGCGTTTAACTTCCATTTGATTGGCAAGACTTTCAAAGCCTGACAAATCCAAGTTTCAGAAAATATAATGATCATCAGGCTTCTTATTCATAAGAAGGACAGCATAAATTGGTTCAATCCCTTTATGAACAGAGCAATAAAACTGATAAACTTCTATCTAGCAAGACCAACAAGGATAAACAAAAGACAAATTACCAATCTCAGTAATGAAGCAGGGGACATCACTACAGACCCTGCAGCCATTAGAAGGATAATAAGGGAATACTACAGGCAACTCTATGCACGTAAATGTCACAATTTAGGTAAAATGGATCAATTCTTCAAACAAAACAAACCAAAACAAACAGGTGGAGAAGAGAAGCTCTCAGGAACACTGCTGTTGAAGAAGACAGTTAGAATTGTCCTCTGAAGAACTCCAGCATTTAGAGTTCAGCAAAAACAACAGAGAATAATCAGCCCTACAGGCAGAGAACAGTCAGCAGTTTAGTGTCACAAAACCAAAGAAAAACTTGTTTCCAGAAGGAAGGTAGGAGTGGTCAAGTATGGTCTGAGGACAGGCAAGTGACTTCATCCTCTGAGTTTTGCAGTCAGAGGGTCAAATGTGACCTTGATAAGAGAGTTTTGATGAAGTGGTGTGGACAGAGGCAGATTGGGGTGGGTTGAAAAGCAAACAGATGGCCGGGCGTGGTGGCTCATGCCTGTAATCCCAGCACTTTGGGAGGCTGAAGTGGGTGGATCACCTGAGATCAGGAGTTTGAGACCAGCCTGGCCAACATGGTGAAAACTTCACCTCTACTAAAAATCCAAAAATTAGCCAGGCATGGTGGCATGCACCTGTAATCCCAGGTACTTGGGGGGCTGAGGCACAAGAATCGCTTGAACTTGGGAGGTGGAAGTTGCAGTGAGCCAAGATTGTGCCACCGCACTCCAGCCTGGGCAATGGAGTGAGACTCCGTCTTCTAAATAAATAAATAAATAAATAAATAAATAATCAAACAAAGTGACAACATGAATCCATCCTCTGCAGGAAAATGATTGAGAAGCCCAATGAGGAAGGGGATAGAGGGAGAGGGCAGCAGCTCTGGTAGGGGGTGGCTGTTGGGAGAGATGCATAGTCCTTGTTTTTATTGGTGCTTGTAGAATCGCCGGAGGTTGTTTGAAAGCTCTCGGGAATGGTAGAGCCTTCCAAGGATGTACTCACTGGCAGTCTGGAATTTTTTCATTTATGCCAACTCAAATTAGCCAGTTAAAATTTCCCCCAAATCAAGGAATTTTTTTGGAAGATATATTTGCATTTTTTACTTTAGGTCTTGACTCCTTAAAGTCTGGAGGAAAAGATGTTGGCCTCAGGACCCGGGACATAGAACCCTAGCTGTGTATGAGCATCCTGATTCTCAAATCATCCATCCCATTTGCCTACACCTCTGACAGGGGTGCATGTAGCCCACACTAACCCCTCTTGGAGATTTGATGTGGTTTATATAAGTGTTTGTCCTTGTCACAGACACTAATGGATCAGTGGCATCTTCCTGGCATCTCTCATACCCACTTGAGTGGGATCTCTCTGGAGAGTATGGGGGTCTAATTCCATGGTCCTGTGCATGCAGCCGACCTGTGGGCAGGGAGATTCATGTAAGAGCTTAGATACGGGCAGGCTGTGTCCAATTCCTGCCCCGTGATTCCTCTGAGTGACTTTGGGCTGTTCTTCCACCTCTGAGTTCAGCTTCCTCACCTGTAAGATGGGCTGACAGGACCTGTCTCATGAATGATGAAGGAAGATGAATGATGGCACCCTTTTCTTCACTGCCTGGCTGACAGTACATACCCCACAAATGGTAGCCTCTGTTACTAGGGGTCAGTGTGCAGCCATCCCAGGTGACACCTGATCCACGGGAGAATCCAAGAAGGGAAGCTGATGCCCTTGGTCTGGTGGTGGTGTTGCTCAAGAAGCTAAATGACATTTTCTTCCTCCAGTGTTTTTGGGTTTTTTTGTTTGTTTGTTTGTTTTTTCTTTTGAGACCGAGTCTCACTCTGTCTCCCAGGCTGGAGTGCAGTGGTGCAATCTCGGCTCACTGCAACCTCGATCTCCCAAATTCAAGCAATTCTCATGCCTCAGCTTCCCGAGTAGCTGGGACTACAGGTGTGCACCACCACACCTGGCTAATTTTTGTATTTTTAGCAGAGATGGGGTTTCATCACGTTGGTCTCAAACTCCTGACCTCAGGTGATCCACCCTCCTAGGCCTCCCAAAGTGCTGGGATTACAGGTGTGAGTTACCTCGCCTGGCCCTTCCTCCAGTTTTAAAAAAGCCACTGAGCTTATGAGCTATTAGTAAGGATGAACACAGTCCAGGTATCACTTAATGAAGAGATCGTCATGTACTAAGCCATCTAAAGGACAAGTCACAGTGAATCACCAGCAGCTGGCTGGATTGTTATTGATTGGGGTTTTCTTAATCCTTTTGATTTCTGGGGAGAAAGAAAGAAAAACTCAACACTCTTCAATCTGAAATATAGCATTACCAGGTTTCTCTCTCTCTCTCTCTCTCTCTCGCTCTTTCTCTTTCTCTTTCTCTCTCCCCCCACTGTGTTCTCTTTCTCTTGTTTAACAAAACTTGAAAAGTCATGTAAAGTAATCCACATTTTAAGTGCATGAGAATAACTGAGAAATACTGTGACAAGCCCCGTTGTAAAGTGAGTCTCTTCACCCTAGTTTTCCTTAAGTGCAGATTTTCTTATTGAGAGCTTTGCTTAAAGCCACATTTCGCCTGTTTTGTTTTTAATTTATTGGGATTTTCCCCCATTATTCTCATTAGGATTTTAGGACCCACACTCCTGTGCCCTCTGCCTTTCCGCACAAAGCCCCATCAACCTCTCCAGCAGTTCCTCCAGGTCATCCTTCGACTCTGACCTGCACGGCTAAAGCACTTCGCTCACTGGCTGTGAACACCCAGGTTGAGCCGCTAGGCTTTGCAGGGAGGGGATTCATTGCAGGCTTTGGGATCCCATGGCTCTCCTGTAGCCCAGGACTTAGGTTCTGGAGGCCCGAGGTGCTCACCTCACTTCTCCTGCTTAACATATTGCCTTTCTCAGCAAGTGAAGGCTCCAGCATTTAATCAGACGAGAGAGAGAGACTTCGACTCTGACCAACATCCACCAGCCAAAAGGAGAAAAAAACAACAAATGCCCAACAAAATACAAATAAATTTCTCTAAAAGTGCAGTTGTTGGGAAAAAGAAAAGGCGGTTTGTCAGGCTGACATCAGAGTAGCCGCAGTCACCCTGACAAGCCGCAAAGTCTAATGTTTTATTCACCAGGCCTGAAAAATAACTTCCCAACAAGGGCCCCATAAATAAACCAGTGTGATGAATATTACACGAAATAAAAACTGATAAAGCAAAGGCCCTAAACACGAGCTGCACCACGAGGTGAGGGAAGCACATGGCTTTTATCGCCTCTAATGCCAGGTGACAGGTTGGGCCAGGCTGCCCCCAGCTCACAGGGAGGCTGGGAGGGGGCCGGGGAGGGGGCCAGCCATGGAGGACACCCTCTTGCCCCAGCCTTGGGGGCCAAAGCCAAAATTTTCCAAATGAATTCCACTTTTCATCTCTTTTCACATTAGCGCATCACCTGCATTCACGGATAGAGTTATTTCCATCTATTAGGAGCCACCGGCTGCAAATTGTTTTTCCCTTAGCCCTGGCTTGGGGGTTTGCAGGGGCACATGGTTTATGAGAGCAGACAGGCTCGCCACTCCTCTTTCTGTTAAGATGGTTATGCAGGGAGCCTGGAGCTCAGAACTCAGAAAGGGAGCAAGGGAGACGCTCCCTGGCTCTGTCCCCCATGCACACACCAAGGGGCAGTGACTGCTTCTCCAGGTAGAGAAATGGACCCTAAGGCTTTCCAAGGTGCCAACAAGGAGCCTCCATGTGCACAGCCCATGTGGCGTGTAGGACAGCCGTGCCCCAGCCCCAGCCATGCTGCCTAGCCTCAGCTCCCCTGGCTTCCAACACCCGCCACTGTGCTGTAATTGCCGGACCCCCAGCAACAGCCTCCCACGAACTCAATTAGTTACGCACGAAGAGGGCACAACTTGGTGATAGGTATATGAATAATGGGAAGTTGTAAACAAGGTATGAAGCTGTATAGTATGAGGAAGTAAAAAAGGAGGCTGCAAAAAAGTGGGCTGTGGCATATGAATTGGACATTTCTGTGCATGCATACACACATGAGACATGAACACATGCCTACATTTCTGTGTGCACACCTGTGCACACACATGTACACACACACCTGTGTACCCCTGCCTGCATTCCTGTGTGCATGACTCTCTGCACACACCCACGCCTACAGGTGTGCATGACTGTGTACACACTGTGCATACGTGCATGTCTGCCTTCCCGTGTGCATGTCTGTGCACTCACATGACTGCACACACACCCGCAAACACTCAGAGGTATTTGAATCTTTTCTTCAGATGACTGTTTTGGGGAACCAACTGCTGAGCCCAGAGGCTGTCATTATGTTTGTTTGAGTCCAGAGCTTGACTTGCAGGTGTAACTGTTTCTCCATTGCTTAGACACAGAACTGAAACTCAATGCTTCTCCATTCTGAAAGGTTTTCAAACAGGAAGGGGTGGTGTTTGGGGGCATTTTTTCTGATTCAAGTACCACAGTTGTTTATAAATACACCCTTTCCCAGCCCTCTCCGGCATGCTGACTCTGAGGAATTTGCTTTCATGGTTAGCAATGGAATCCAGATGTTCATTACAGATGTTTTCATCTTTTTTCTTTTCCTTACTTTTTTTTTTCATTCATCGGATGAAGTCAGGCTGTCATGAAAAACTGCAAGTGCTTGCGTCTCCAGGTTTCTGAGTGCCAGACCCGTGTCATGAAACAGGCAATAATTACATGCTCATCAAGCATGTGGGTTGCCTTTAATCACCCCCAAATCATGTCGCTTTTCAGACACACCAGGATGTGCAGTGAAGTCACTCTGCCCCATGCAGCTGGGGAGGTGTGGAGGGGAACACACTCCATCTTTACACAGAACTCTGAAAATCACAGGGCGGCTCAGGCTGTAAGCCCAGGAACCCTGCCCCATGGGGAAGAACGAATAGAAGCTTTCACTTCTGGGAGGTGGGGCTTGCGGAAGGCAGCTGCTGGCAGCCTGGCTCCCAACATAGATTCTATCATGCTCAGAGAGTTTTGTTTTTGTTTTTTGTTTTTTTTTTTGAGATGGAGTCTCACTCTATTGCCCAGGCTGGAGTGCAATGGTGTGATCTCGGCTCACTGCAACCTCCACCTCCCGGGTTCAAGCAATCCTCCTGCCTCAGCCTCCCAAGTAGCTGGGATTACAGGCGTGCACCACCACACCTGGCTAATTTTTGTATTTTTAGTAGGGACAGGGTTTCACCATGTTCGTCAGGCTGGTCTCGAACTCCTGGCCTCAGGTGATCTGCCCGCCTTGGCCTCCCAAAGTGCTGGGATTACAGGTGTGAGCCGCCGTGCCCGGCCCATGCTCAGAAGTTTAACATCAGTAGGGTACAGGACTCTGAAAGACAGAGGGAGAACAGGGGGCATCAGCAGGACTCTGCTTCTCTGCTAGCTGTTTGTCCTGGTCACCAGTTACTGCTGCATTTCAGCAAGGGCTGGAGTCGTAGAATGTAGGTGCTAGAAAGGAACTGCACACCTGTTCAATCCAGTCCTGTTTTATGCCAAAAAAAATTCTGAATCAAATAGGAGAAGGGACTTGAGTGACTTGTCTAAGGTTAGGACCAAAATGAGGACCCAGACCCCAACTTCCAGGCCAACAGTTGCTGTGCCAGCCCGAGTTATCGTCTCCCAGCACAGCTCTTCTCTCAGCAGGGCCTCCAGACCGGCAGGCTCAGAACCTTCTTGAAACTTGTTTAAAAGCAAATTAGCAGACCCCATTCCACACATACTGAATCAGAAACTCTGGGAATGGGGCCCAGCAGTCTGTGTTTTAAGGAACCACTTCCTCCTTCCCTCCCACCAGCTCCAATAAGGAACCCACCCAGCTCCAGTGAGAATCTGTCTTTCTACTGAGCTCGTGGGTGAGGCTGGTGTTGCACTGTGCCTTTTCTTGAGGTAGGCGATGGGTAATTCTCACTTTGAGAACAATGGTTTTCCAAGCTTCAGCGCGACTAAGAATCAATGCTGGACACAGTGGCTCATGCCTGTAACCCCAGCGCTTTGGGAGGCCGAGACAAGAGGATCACTCGAGCTCAGGACTTCAAGATCAGCCTGGG